>NC_000018.10:13010499-13310549 GCF_000001405.40 Homo sapiens
AATTGGATTTCAGAATTAAAAACTTTTATGCTTCAAAAGACACTATCAAGAAAGGAAAAAGACGGGGCCGGGCACGGTGGCTCACACCGGTAATCTCAGCACTTTGGGTGGCCAAGGCGGGCGGATCACCTGAGTCTGGGAGTTCAAGACCAGCCTGACCAACATGGAGAAACCCCGTCTCTACTAAAAATACAAAATTAGCCGGGCATGGTGGCACATGCCTTTAATCCCAGCTACGTGGGAGGCTGAGGCAGGAGAATCGCTTGAACCTGGTAGGTGGAGGTTGCGGTGAGCCGAGATCGCGCCATTGCACTCCAGCCTGGGTAATAAGAGCGAAACTCCATCTCAAAAAGAAAAAAAAAAGTTGTACAAATGGCCAGTAAACACATGAAAATATACCCAGTATCATTAGACATCCAGGAAATGCAATTCAAAACCACAATGAGGCTGGGCACAATGGTTCATGCCTGTAATCCCAGCACTTTGGGAGGCCGAGGTGAGCGGATCATTTGAGGTCAGGAGTTCGAGACCAGCCTGGCCAACATGGTGAACCCCTGCCTCTACTAAAACTACAAAAATTAGCTGGGCGTGGTGGCGGGCGCCTGTAGTCCCAGCTACTTGGGGGGCTGAGGCGGGAGAATCACTTGAACCTGGGAGGTGGAGGTTGCAGTGAGCCGAGATTGTGCCACTGCATTCCAGCCTGGGTGACAGAGAGAGACTCTGTCTCAAAAAAAAAAAAAAGAAACAATAAAAACAGAACCACAATGAGATGCTGCTTCACACTCACTAGGATAACTATAATAATAAAAAAAAAGGAAAATAACGTCTTTGTGAGGATATGGAGAAATTGAAATCCTCATACATTATTGGTAGAAATGTAAAGTGGCATAGCCACTTTGGAAAGCAGTTTGACAGTTCCTCAAAATGTTAAATATTGTGTTACCATGTGACTCCGCATTTGCACTCCTAGGTATATACCCAAGAGAAAGGAAACCATATGTCCACACAGAAACTTTGTTTTGTTTTGTTTTGTTTTTTTTTGAGACAGAGTCTTGCTCTGTCACACCTAGTGCGTGGTGTGATCTTGGCTCAGTGCAGCCTCTGCCTCTTGAGATCCAGTGATTCTCCTGCCTCAGCCTCGCAAGTAGCTGGGATTACAGGCATGCACCACTACACCCAGCTAATTTTTGTATATTTAGTAGAGACGGGCTACTAAATATACAAATATTGGCTAGGCTGGTCTCGAACTCCTGATCTCAAGTAATCCATCCACCTGCCTCGGCCTCCCAGAGTGCTGGGATTACAGGCATGAGCCACTGTGTCCGACCTCACAGAAAACCTTGTACATGAATGTTCATAGCAGCATTACTCACAACAGCCAAAAAGTGGAAGCAATTCAGATGTTAATCAACTGATGAATGGACAAAGAAAATGTAGTATGGCCACATGAGTGGAGTATTACTCATCCACAAAAAGGAGCAAAGTACTGATACGTGCTTTAATACAGGTGAGCCTTGAAAACATGCCAAGTGAGAGAAGAAAGACACAGAAGGCCACAAAATGTATGGTTCTGTTTATCCATAGGGAAATCTATAGATACAGAATGGCAAATAACGGAAAGTAAATTATTGGTTGTCAGAGGCTGGAAGGTAGCGGGAATGGGGAGTGATTGCTAATGGGTATAGTGTTTCATTTTGGAATAATGAAAATAGTGGTGATGGCTGCACAACCTAGTGAACATACTAAAAGCCACTGAACTGTATACCTTAAAAGAGTGAATTAATGATATATTAATTGTATGTATCAATTAAAAAAACTTCCCATGTACCTACCCATTGGTATAAGATTTTGTCATACTTGCATCATCTCTCCTTTTCACTACTTTTTTCTGATATTTTAAAATTTTTAGATGCCATTTGTGCATATTTCAGTATGCATCTCCAAAAGTGTGGACATTTTCTTACATAACCACGGTGCTATTAACACAGCTAACGAGCTTAGTGATTCTTTTTTTATTATCTGATACAGTTGTTCATATTGATTTGTGTGAATGGGGGTCTGAGAGAGGTTTTGTTATGCTGCAGCACCTTTGTTGCGTCTCGTGTGTCAGTGCCTTGTTGAAATACTCTAGGTCAGTCACACTGTAGTTTGTCCCACTATTTGGGTTTGTCCCTTTGCTTACTCAAGGTGTCATTTCTCTTGTTTCTCTCTCCACATCTCCTTCAAAGCAAAAGTTAGCTGTAAAGTCTTGATTAGATACATATTCAAGTTCTTTGGTACAATTTTTTTTATGAATTCCCTGCCCTAACATTTAAAAACATGTAACTGACCTATGATGGATTCATATACATCATTTAAAAGTGCTTTTATTCTATTTCAAGAGAAAAATATTTCTTGCTATTTTTAGGTATCGTTGGGTATTTGGTTGATAAAATAACCTGGTCTCTCAGTTTGTTTTTGTTTTCTTACACAGACTCACCTATTGATTTTCATTTACAGTCATGGATGAATAATAAGGAACCCAAGGTAACCTTTTATATATTTGGTATCATTTTCTGGAGTACTATAGGGCAGTAAAATTTCATATTTCGCATATATAACTGTTAATATTAGTTAGATGTCATCTACTTTTTTCTAGTAGAGCTCTAACTTATCCAGCTTCAGTAAAAATGGGAGTTTCTCTCAAGTAATGAGAAGGTTCAGGGGTAGTGCTGGTGCCTGGGACTGTATTCTTGGGCTTGGTGATGTCAGAGCTGAGTCCATCTGTTTGCTCTGCTTCACTCTGTACAGGCTTCATCTAGAATGTTAGCTCCATGAGGGCAAGCATTTCTTTGTGTGTGTGTGTATGTGTTTCATTGTATCCTGAGTGCCTGAGTGTCTGGAATGGTTCTCGGCCCTTAGTTGTCACTTAATAATTTGTTAAATGATAGAGAAGCTGTCTCATTTGTTGGCAACACAAGCCTATACTCTTAACACTTGTGATCAGAAAAGAGAAAAAAGACAGGTCTAATGAGCTCCCTTGGCTCTTATGTCCTCCCCTCTGCAAATCACTGTGCCAAGGGGTGGGTTGGGATGAGCCTGGATCTAATGTCCACTTCTGTGTGTGTGCTTGTGCGTGAGTGTGTATACATGCGCAGATAGAGGAATGCAAGTGACAACCCCACTGGACCACCTGAAGTATAAAGGATGAGCTCTTTAAAGGAGAGATGCTGAGAAGATAAACAGTTTATGCCCAACATTACCACCAAACCTGGATTTCAGGCATGCAGTCATGAATTTATGAGACTTACTTACAAAATATAAACTAAACACTGTTAAAACTTATAAAAAGGAGGTACACCTTTTGTAAGAGTTGTAAAGTTTATTTTTATAGAATGAATGCAAAAGGGTCTAAAGTAAAAGTTATTTCCCTGTGCCAGCGATTGGCAAACCATAGCTTATGGCCTGCATCCAGTCTGCTGGCTGTTTTTGTAAAGTTTTATTGGAATACGGTTGTGCCCATTTGTGTATGTTTTGTTTATGGCTGTTATTTGTGCTACAACAGCAGAATTGAGAAGTTGTGACAGAGATTGTACTGCTCATAAAGCCTGAAGTATTTATTATCTGGCCCTTACACAAAATGTTTGTTGACCCTGCCCTATGCACTCACCCTGTATGTGACCCCTAGTAAGTTTCAAGTGCGAGAGATGCTTTGTAGAGGAAGTTAGGTGTAGTGAAGTTGAAATTAATTAATTTTTGAAATTAATAATATAAGGGACCTTAAAACTGGAAAGCAACAAAAGTATAGAAACATGAGATGCTTGATTAAAAAGAGGAAGAAATGAGAATAGGGGAAAATAAACGTGTTAGAAAACAGACTGAAGGGAGCTGCTACTGCGTGTAGGTCTCATCTCATCTGTGGAGCTATGCCACTTTATCAGAATGGAGACATTTTCCAGGGACCAAGCATGGCAGAGTACACAGTGTTCTCAGTAGCCAACATGACCAAAAAGACAGGGATGTTTTACATATTGTGCTTTCCCATACAGATTTTTTCCCAATTTTTATATTATGAAAACTTTCAAAGCTCAGAGCTTATATTGCACAGCTGTTAACATTTGCCATATTTTAAGTGATCATCTATTTTAAATAACAGTAGATTATAGTAGTCCTTGATGCCCCTGGTGCTTAGATATTTGTGAGAATAGCTCAGCACTGTCCTCTCTAAATGTAAAATTGGATTAAGATTCCATGTTTCTGTCTTAAAAATCAGTGCGCATTTTCCAATATAATTCCTATGCTGGTGTTATTTACATATATATGTAATATATATGAAATATAATCACACTTAGAGGGAAATGTTACATTTTCATTCTGGGCCTTGAGTATCATTAAATGGCTGCGTGCCCTTTAGGGTTACATGTTCCCTGGTTGAGGAGCAGAGAAATTGATTTTTCCAATGTAATGGTGCAAACAGTTCCTTAGATACAGGCTGCCTGGTCTAGCTTTGCTGTTATCTTCACTTTCTCGTAAGCCTTGTGTTGCTCAAGTTCAGTTATGTATTTGTGTACTTACTATATTACGAGCCTCTCTGAGCATGTGCACAGTTTGAGGGAAGCCTTAAGTTTTAAGGATGTTCTATTGGGCAGGTCAGGTGAGGGAGGTGGCGTGGGGGAAAGGGAAGTTATTAATACATGTACAATTGCTAGCCCTTTATTGCCTAAGCTGTGATTTACAGATACTGAACACAGTGGAGGTTGAGAACATATTTGGTCCTTTTTGTAGCCTTGTACTATGCTCTTCAGAGCCCTGAATGTGCTTCTCTTACTTGCCATTTTGTTTCTTATAGATTGTTGTGCTTGATGCTGGAAAACATTTTGAAGACAAGACTCTAAAGAGTGACCTAAGCCACACTAGCTTATTAGAAAATGAGAAACTTATCTTACCGACAAGCTTGGAAGATTCTTCTGGTACTGCAGAGTAACCTGTGTTTCCCTGGTCTTCACCTTGCCACTCCACTTTATTCTTCTTTGTTGCAGTAGTTATGATGCCAACTTTTTGGGTTTTTTGTCCTTACCTTTTCTTCCTACCTGCCAGCACTCAAATGGCCACTTCTATTAAGTGATGGAATTGAAGAATTTATTTCTATATATCTATCCTGATATGATTATACTCATCCTCAGTTTAACATAGTTAGGGTACAAAGTAGTCACCTGGAGGTGCCCTTCAGTATATAGCATTGTGTTTAGAAATTAGGGGAACCATGAAATTTTTTTTTTTTTTTTGAGATGGAATCTCGCTTTGTCACCTGGGCTGGAGTGCAGTGGTGTGATCTCGGCTCACCACAACCTCCACCTCCTGGGTTCAAGTGATTCACCTGCCTCAACCTCCTGAGTAGCTGGGATTACAGGTGCCCACCACCATGTCTGGCTAATTTTTGGATTTTTAGTAGAGACAGGGTTTCACCATGTTGGCCAGGCTGGTCTGGAACTCCTGACTTAAAGTGATCTGCCCACCTCGGCCTCCCAAAGTGTTGGGATTACAGGCGTGAGCCATCGCGCCTGGCCAGAACCATGAAATATTTGGCCTCTGCTCTCGGACACCTTAGTCAGGTGCAGAGAAGAGATGCAGAGCCAATTGTCAGATTGGTTTTCATAAACCCAACAGGCCCCAAATGTGCCTGGGAATTATAGGGGGTGAGAAATTAACTCTGATTGAGGCAGGTACTGAAGCTTTCTAGAAAAAGGATGGAGCCTGTGCCAGGCCTTAGATATGGGAGGAGGAGGAGGACATGTCAGGAAGCAGGAACAGCATCAGCAAAGGCCCTGCTGTAAGCACGTGGGTTGTGTTTTGGGAAACAGCCAGGGGTTTTGTGTGGCAAGTTTACAGCACCTATAGGAGGCCACACTGGTAAATAAGCCCAGAAAAGTAGACTGGGGCCACATTATGCATGACTTTGAAAGCCAGGCTGATGAGCGGAGTGAGCATCACATCCATGGAGAGCAGGTTTTGCTATCAAAGGAGTTTTCAGACTTTTTTGGATTTTGGAATAGTGGATAAATAATCATTGACCTGAATGTATCCAATCTTTGATTGCTTTAGTATGCTGGATTCTTGTAGACAGAATTGCTAAGACATAGGTGATGAGTGTTGTTGAGACTCTTAATGTTGATTGCAAAATTGACCTCTAAAGTGACATTGCCAACTTAGAAGACCATGACTGACTGAGGGGTCATGTTTTATTTTGTGCTTGCTGAGCTGGGTGTTACAGTGTTGAAAACTCCTACAGTGGCCTTTCTCCTTCCCTCCCTCCTCCCTCCTTCCTCCCTTTCTTTCTTTTACTTCTCCTGTGATAGGCTCATCTATACTTTTTTGAAAGAGGTAACCATTTGCCACACCATTTTCTGGAAAGTCTGCTTTCTTCTCATTGATTTGTGATGCCACATTTATTGTATCCTGACTTTTGATAACATGCCAGGGTCTGTTTCTGTCCTGTCTTCTCAAAGAGGTTAAATATTTATCTTGTATTAAAATGTTCATAATGGTTTATAATTGACTGAAGTTACAATAGTTTTCTCATGTCAAACAAAAAAGACACCAAAATCTTAGTCCATTGACTCATTTATGTCTTATCGGCCTTTTTAATTACAAATTATTGCTTAGTCACTACTTTAAAGCATGTCCTGTTTTTTCTCGATTTTATCAATAGATGATGATATTGATGATGAAATGTTTTATGATGATCATTTGGAGGCTTATTTTGAACAACTGGCAATTCCAGGAATGATATATGAAGACCTAGAAGGACCAGAACCTCCAGAAAAAGGTTTTAAGTTACCTACAAATGGTCTTAGACAGGTGTGTTCCAGTCTTTATGATTTTTCAGAAATTTGACATTAGAAAATTACTATTGGTCTCCTTGGATGTTCACATGAAATGTAAGCCTTTGGACTTTGGACTTTTCTTTGGACTCTGTGTTTCCGAGGTATGAATTGATAAGAAATGCCTACCCTTTCTTCCTTCTTGGTACCTTTCCCTCACCTACAGAAAATTAAAGGAGTAACACAATGGACATCTACACCCTCTTCCTCCAGTTAACCAATTGCTAAAGTTTGCCACCTTTGCATTTTCTTTCTCTCTCCATAAATACTTTCTTCTCTGAATCATTTGAAAGTAAGTCACAGAGAGTATGACATTTCACTCGAATACTTCAGCATTTATCTTTTGTAGATAAGGACATTTTCCTGCATAACCACAATTCTGTTACCTAACTTTGATATAATAATTTAAATTACTGTACAGTCCATGTTCACATTTACCCAATAATCCCCAGAATATCCTTTATTCTTACTATTTTTTATCTACAATTTAATCAAAGATTAACCTTGCCTTTGGTTGTCCTGTCTCTTTATTCTCTTTTAATTTGGAGTAGTTCTTTCATGACGTGATCTATTTTGCAAAATCTAGGCCCTTTGTTTTGTAGAGTGAACTGTAATCTAGTCAGGAGGGAAAAATAACCATAATCTGTTTTCTCTCCTGACTAGATTAGATTAAACGTTTTGGCAAGAATACAGATTAAACAGTTTCTCATGAATGGATTCATAGTAAACCAAGCAGTGTTGTGTACTTCTCATTGCCCTACACCGGGAGACGTTTATCTCTCCCACAATTGGTGATACTGTTTTTGATAATTTTGGCTAAGGTGATGTCAGCTGGATGTCTCCTTGTGAAGGTAGCTTTTCCCCTTCGTTATTAATAAGTCATCTGTGGGATGAGATATCAGCCCTTTGATCATCTTATTCCCCGGCAACTCTTCACTAGCTGGTTTCAGTGTCCTTGCTGACTCTTGGAAATATTGATTACTCTCGTGGTGACAATGGCGATTTTTCTAATTCCTTCTACACTTATTTTCTGGCATCCTTCAGTAAAGCCACATTTTCTCCCTCAAAATATTTCATTTTAATTTAAAAGATTAATACAGCTAAGATATTCTTTCAACAGGCAAATGAAAACGGTAGCTTAAACTGCAAGTTTCAATCAGAAAATAACAGCTCTCTGATTTCCCTCGACTCACACTCTTCTGAAACAACTCACAAAGAGTCTGAGGAAAGCCAAGTTATTTGTCTACCTGGGACTAGTAAGTATAGAAATATGATTCTTTTGTTCTTAAGTTCTAGTTTTGACTTTACTTTTTTTAAAAAAAAAATATTTCTCTGGTATGATTTAGCATATATTAACTCTTCTAGTCCCTCAGGTCTTTAGACAGTCTAAAACTTTTCAAAAGAGCTTTTAATAATAGCTGAGTAAATTAGTGTTACTAGAAATACCGTAGTATATATTTCTTGGATTGAATATTACAAATAATTGTATTCTATCCAGACATTGATAATTAAATATGAATTCTTTGGGTATGGTAGCAGTTTATCATGTTTATTATTGCCTCTTACTGTTGCTTATTTTCTCTCTACGAAAATGGCTAAATTTGTCATAGGAGTGCTAAGTATTAGGGTTACATAAAATAATTTGACTGGCAAGAATCAGTTATTATGTTAGATTACTCAGATTTGATGTGGCTCCTTTAACATTTTTCTTTATTTTTTCAGGTAATTCTATAGGTACTGGAGATAGTAGAAGGTACACAGATGGTATGTTACCATTTTCCTCTGGTACTTGGGGAACTGAGAAAGAAATAGAAAATTTGAAGGGTATTGTTCCAGATCTTAACAGTGTAAGTTATGCATTTTTCTTAGATTTCCTATAAAAAAAGGAATAAGGGGTCTTTTGTGTTTATATGATATCAGTTTTTTTCAAAGAAACAGTAACTGTTGACTTCTGAAAAATACAGAAAAAGTACTCACTACTGATAATTTTTCGATATGTTTATAAGTATCATACAATTATATACATTTTCTTGCATTTAAATATTTATTGACTTGCATTTAGATTAGTCATTTGGAAAGTTCTTTAGCCCAGTGTCCAGTCATTACATGAAAAAGCAAACGGATCTTTTACCTTGCTCAAACATGTTTGTTTTTCATTGTTTCAGTTTTTTCTGTTTGTTAATAGTACCCCGTTTCTCCTGTGCCTGAAGCTTGGTAGTCATTTCTGACTCATACCTATTCATTATGCCCTTTTTAAATAGTGTTATTATAGTTTTATAAACTGTGATTTGAATTTTGCATGTAGGTTAATTTTTTCTCACTTAGACCCACTTGTCCAGTACTGATTAAAATAATGCTTGCTTTTTTGCTTTATTCTGTGCATCTCTATTTTGTACATGTTAAATATATTTTTAATTTAAATTTTAACTTGTAAAATACATATAAAATTTACTATCTTAATCTTTTTTTTTTTTCTTTTTGAGACAGTCTCACTCTGTCACCCAGTGCAGTGGCGTGATCTCAGCTCACTGCAACTTCTGCCTCCCAGGTTCAAGCAATTCTCCTGTCTCAGCCTCCCAAGTAGCTGGGATTACAGGCGCACATCACCACCTGGTTAATTTTTGTATTTTTAGTAGAGATGGAGTTTCACCATGTTTGTCAGGCAGGTCTCAAACTCCTGGCCTCAAGTGATCTGCCCACCTTGACTTCCCAAATTGCTGGGATTACAGGAGTGAGCCACCACACCCAGCTACTATCTTAATCATTTTTAAGTGTACAGTTCAATAATGTTAAGTACATTTACATTGTGCAGCCAATCTTCAGGACTCTTCATCTTGTAAAACAAACTCTACCCATTAAACAACAAACCTCAGTTCCCTCCTGCCTTCCAACTCATGGCAGCTACCATTCTACTTTCTGTCTCTATGAATTTGCCCACTCTGGGTAACCTCATATAAGTGAAATCATACAATATTTGGCCTTCTGTGTCTGGCTTATTTTATTAAGCGTGATGTTTTCAAGGTCTGTTCATGTCGTAGCATATATCAACATTTCATTTTTTCTTATGGCCGAATAATGTTCTATTATATATACCACATTTTATTTATCCCCTCATCCTTCTGTGGACACTTGGGTGTTTCTGTCTTTTGGCTTTTGAGTGTAATGCTGCCGTGAACATCAGTATACAAATACCTGTTCGAGTCCTAGCTTTCAGTTTGTTTGGATATATATGTAGGAGTGAAATTGTTGGGTCATATGGTAATTCTGTGTTTAATGTTTTGAGGAACTGCCATAGTGTTTTTCACAGCAGCTGCACCAGTTTACATCCACCAACAAAACACTAGGATTCCAATTTTTCCACATCCTATTTAACACTCTTTACTTTTTTCCCTTTTTAAATTATAGTTATCCTAATGAGTATGAAGTAGTATCTCATTGTGGTTTTGATTTGCATTTCCCTGATGACAGTGATATTGAACATCTTTTTATGTGCTTCTTTTCATGTATGTCTTCCTTGGGGAATTGTTCATTTAAGGCCTTTGCCCACTTTTTAATTGAGTTTTTTTGTTGTTGTTGAATTGTAGAGTTCTTTATGTCATCTGGATATTAAGTCCTTACCAAATGTATGAATTGCAAATTTTCCTCCCATTCTGTAGGTTGTCTTTTACTTTCTTGATATTGTCCTTTCACGTGCAAAAATTTTAAATTATGATGTAGTGTGATCTATTTTTATATTGCTACCTGTGCTTTTGTTGTTATAGCTATGAAATTGTTGTCAAATTCAATGTCATGAAGATTTTCCTGTTTTATTCTAAGAGTTTTATAGAGTTAGCTCTTACATTTAGATTGTTAATCTGTGACTTTGTGAAAGAAAAAGAAAAAAGGGAAAAAGAAAACGATTGTTGATTTGTTTCGAGTTTATTTTTATATATAGTGTTAGGTAAGGGTCTAACTAACATCATTCTTTTGCATGTGGATATTAAATTTTCTCAGCACCATTTATTAAAAAGGCTGTTCTTTCTCCATTGAATGGTCTTGGCACTTTTGTCAGAAATCAATTTATCATGTATGTGAGGGTTTATTTCTGGCTTCTCTAGCCCATTGGTCTATTTGTCTGTCTTTTTGACAGTACCACACTGCTTTAATCACTATATCTTTGTAGGACATTGGGAAGTGTTAGTCCTTCATCCTTCAACTTAATTCTTCTTTTTCAAGATTTTTTTGGCTGAGGCCCTTTGCAATTCCATATGAATTTGAAGATCAGCTTTTCCGTTTCTTTAGAAAAGGCTGTTGAAATTTTGAGAGGGATTTTGTTGAATCTACAGGTCACTTTGGGTAGTATTGATACCTTTGCAGTGTTAAGTCTTCATATTCATGAAGACACAGGATGTGTGTCCGTTTAGGTCTTTAGGTCTTCTTTCTTTAAACAGTGTTTTGTAGCTTTCAGTATGTCTTTCACTTCCTTGATTAGATTTATTCCCAAGTACTTTCGTCTTTTAGATGCTATTGTAAATGGAATTGCTTTCTTAATTTACATTTTGGATTGTTTATTGCTGGTGTTTAGAAACATCTGATTTTTGTGTGCTGATCTTGTACCTTCTAGATTTTTCTCCATTGTTATCTTCTAGGAGTTTTATAGTTTTGCATTTTACATTTAGGTCTGTCATCCATTTTCAGTTAATTTTTGTGAAAGGTGTAATGTCTTTTTTGAGATTCATTTTTTTGCATATAAATATCCAATTGTTCCAGCACCATTTGTGAAAAGACTATCTTTGCTTCATCGTGTTGCCATTGTTCCTTTGTCAAAGATTAGTTTGACTATATTTATGTGGGTCAGTTTTTAGAATCTCTATTCTGCTGATCTGTTTGTTCTTTCACCATTACATCACTGTCTTGATTACTGCAGCTTTATTAAGTAATGAAATTGGACAGTGTCTTCTCACTTTATTCTTATTTTTCAAGATTGAGTTGGTTATTCTGGGTCTTTTGCCTCTTTGTGTAAACTTTATTTTTTTTTTTAATTTTTCTTTTTATTGTTTGAGACGGAGTCTCTCTCTGTCACCCAGGCTGGAGTGCAGTAACATGATTTTGGCTCACTGCAACCTCCACCTTCTGGGTTCAAGCGATCCTCTCTCCTCAGCCTGCCAGGTAGCTGGGATTACAAGTGTACGCCACCATGCCCAGCTAATTTTTGTATTTTTAGTAGAGATGAGGTTTCACCATGTTGGCCAGACTGGTCTCAAACTTCTGATTTCAAACGATCCACCCGCCTCTGCCTCCCAAAGTGCTGGGATTACAGGCATGAGCCACCATGCCCAGCCTGTGTAATCTTTAGAATCAGTTTGTCAGTATCCAAATTCAGAACTTGGCTGGGATTTTGATTGGTATTAAATTGAATGTATAGGTGAAGTTGGGAAGAACTGACATTTTGACAGTGTTGAGTCTTCCTATCCATGAACATTGAATATCTCTCTATTTATTTGGTTTTCTTTTATTTCTTTCTCAGAGTTTTGTAGTTTTCTAGCACATAGATGTTATATATATTTTGTTAGATTTATACCTAACTTATTTCATATGTGGGGGTGTTAATGTAGATAGTATTGTTTTAAAGTTCAAATTCTACTTGTTCATTGCTAGTGTATAGGAAAGCAGTTAACTTTTATATAATAAACATGTATGCTGTCATCTTTTATTAGTTCCAGGAATTTTTTTGTCAGTTCTTTTGGATTTTCTGCATAGATAATCATGTCATCTACAAACAAAGACAGTTTTTATTTCTTCCCAATCTATATACATTTTATTTCCTTTTCTTGTCTTATTGCATTAGATAGGACTTAAAGACAGTTTTTATTTCCTCCCAATCTATATACACTTTATTTCCTTTTCGTGTCTTAATTGCATTAGCTAGGACTTATAGTATGATGTTGAAAAGTAGTGGTGAGAGGAGACATCTTTGCCTTATTTCTGATCTTAGTGGAAAGGCTTCTAGCTTCTTACTATTAAGTATGATGCTAGCTATAGGTTTTTTAACTTATTTTATTTTTATCAAGTTGAGAATGTTTCTCTCTCTAGTTTACTGGGAATTTTTATCATGAATGGGTGTTAGATTTTTGTCAATTTTTTTTTTTTTTGCAGCTATTGATATGATCGCATGATTTTGTTTTTTTTGTAGTCTGTAAATTGATTTTTGATTGTTGAACCAGGCTTGCATACCTGGGATCTCCTTGGTTATGATGTATAATTCTTTTTATATAATATTTGATTTGATTTTCTAATATTCTGTAGAGGAGCTTTGAATCTGTGTTTATGGGAGAAATTGGTCAGTAGTTTTATTTTTTTGTGATGTCTTTAGTTTGGGTATTAGGTTGATGCTGACTTCATAGAATCTGTTAGTAAGTATTCCCTCTGCTATTTTCTGAAAAAGGTTGTAGAGAATTAGTATAATGTTTTCCTTGTTTGGTGGAATTCACTGTTGAACCTATCTGGGCATGGTGCATTCTATTTTGGAAGGTTATTCATTATTGCCTTAATTTCTTTATCAGATAGGGGCCTACTCAAATTGTATCTATTTCGTGAGTTTTTTTCTGATAAGAAGAATGTGTATTCTGCAGTTTTTGGGTGAAGTATTCCATAGATGTCCATTATATCTAGTTGATTGTTAGTGTTGAGTTCAACTGTGTTGTTATTGAATTTCTTCTCGCTGGATCTGTTTCTGATAGAGGAGTGTTGAGGTCACCAGTTATGATAGTTGGTTCATCTATTTCTCTTTGTAGTTCTATTAGTTTTTACTACCTGTATTTTGATGCTGTCTTGTAAGGTGTATACACGTTAAGGATGGTTATGTCTTCCTAGAGAATTGATTCCTCTATATCATTATGTAGTACCCTGCCTTATCTCTGATAACTTTCCCTACTTTGAAGTCTGCTCTGTCTGAAAGTAATATAGCTATTCCTGCTTTCTTTTGACTAGTGTTTTAATGGTATATCTTTCTCCATCCATTTACTTTTAATCTACATGTTGGTTTCTTGTAGACGTCATATACTTAGGTCTTGTTTTTTGATTCTCCTCTGAAAATCTCTTTCAGTTGGTGTGTTTGTTTGTTTATTTATTTATTTATTTTTTGAGGTGGAGTCTTGCTCTGTTGCCAGGCTGGAATGCAGTGGTGCAATCTCGGCTCACTGCAACCTCTGACTCCCTGGTTCAATTGATTCTCCTGCCTCAGCCTCCCGAGTAGCTAGAATTACAGGCATGCACCACCATGCCCAGCTAATTTTTGTATTTTTAGTGGAGACGGGGTTTCACCATGTTGGCCAGGATGGTCTTGATCTCCTGACCTCATGATCCACCCGCCTTGGCCTCCCAAAGTGCTGGGATTACAGGCATGAGCCACCGTGCCTGGCCTATTTATTTTTATTCATTTATTTTTTTGAGACCGAGTCTCGCTCTGTTGCCCAGGCTCTAGTGCAGTGGTGCGATCTCAGCTATCTGCGACCTCCACCTCCTGAGTTCAAGCAATTCTCCTGCCTCAGCCTCCCAAGTAGCTGGGATTACAATTGTGCGCCACCCCACCTGGCTAATTTTTTTGTATTTTTAGTAGAGATGGAGTTTCACCACGTTGGCCAGGCTGGTCTCGAACTCCTGACCTCAAGTGATCCACCCGCCTTGGCCTCCCAAAGTGCTGGAATTACAGGCGTGACCCACTGCACCCAGCCAGTTGGTGTATTTAGACCATTGACTTTGAAAGTGATTAATTGATATAGTTGGATTAATGTCTGCCATGTTGTTCTTGTTTTTTTCCCCTATTTTTTTCTTTCAGTCTTATTCTTCTCTTTGTGGTTTTATTTTAAGAATATTATTATTATTATTATTACTATTTTGAGACAGGGTCTCTATGTTGCCCAGAATGGAGTGCAGTGGCAGGATTATAGCTCACTACAGCCTCGAACTGCTAAGCTCAAGCGATCCTCCTGCCTCAGCCTTCTGAGCAGTTGGGACAACAGGCACATGTCACTACACCTGGCTAACTTTTAAATTCTTTGTAGAGCTAGGGTCTTGCTATGTTGCCCAGTCTGGTCTTGAGCTCCTGGCCTCAAGTGATTCTCCCACCTTGGCCTCCTGAAGTGCTGGGATTACAGGGGCCAGCCACTGTGCCTGGTCTCTTTGTGGTCTTAATTCAGCATTTTATATGATTCCATTTTCTCTTTGTTAGCATATCAGATATAATTCTTTTTTGTCCCACTTTTTTTAGTGGTTGCTCTAGAGTTTGCAGTATATATTTAAAATTAATCCATATTCACTTTCAGATAACATTACACTGCTTAACAGGTAGTTTGAGTAATGATAATAACAAAATATTCCTAATTCTTCCCTCCCATTCCTTGTATCATTGCTATCATTCATTTCACTTACATATAAGTAAATATAAGCATATATGTGTGTCTGTATATAGACACACACCCTCACCTATGTATACATACACGTAAGCATACATAATTGAATACATTGTTGCCATTATTTTTCTGAACAATGTTATTAGACCAGTTAAAAATTAGAAAAATAAAATGTTTGTTTTACCTTTACTTATTCTGTCTTTGATGCTCTTCCTTTCTTTGTAGATTTAAGATTCTGACCTATATATTTATCTTCTCTCAAAATAACTTTTTAAAAAATTTCTTGCAAGGCAGGTCTGCTGGCAACAAATGCCTTCAATTTTTGCTTGTCTGAGAAGGTATTTCCCTTTCATGTTTGAAGGATAATTTCTTAGGGTACAGAATTAGAAATTGATGGTTTCTTTCTTTCAACTCTTTAAAGTAGTTTACTTCACTGCCTTCTTGCTTGGCATGGTTTCTGAGGAGAAGCCAAATGTCGCTCTTTGTTCTCTGTGAGCAAGGTGATTTTTTTCCTCTCTGGTTTCTTTAGGATTTTTTCTTTATCTTTGATTTTCTGTAGTTTGAAATGATATGCTTAGGTGAAGTATTGGTTTTGGTTTTTATTTATTTTTTTCCAAGTACAGCCCTATTGCAGTATGCCTTTATCTTATTTGGAGTTCTGTGAGCTTCCCGGTATGTGGCTTATTGTCTGAATTAGTTTGGGGAAATTCTCAGTCATTATTGTTGCAAATATTCTGTTGCTTTCTGTTTGTCTTCTCTTTTTGATATCTCTGTTATGCATATGTTATACATTTTGTAGTTGTCCTGCAGTTTTTTGAGATTGTTTTTTTCATTCATTGTTGTCTTTGCATTCAGTTTTAGAAGTCCATTGGCATATCCTGGAGCTCAGAGTATCTTTCCTGTGCTGTGTCCAGTCTACCAATGAGCCCAGCGTAGACATTCCTCACGTGTTACAGTTTTTGACCTCTGGCATTTCTTTCTGATTCTTTCTCATAAGTTCCATTTCTCTGTTTACATTGCCACTCTGTTCTTTCATGTTGTCTGCTGTATCCATTAGAGCCCTTAGAATATTCATCATAATTGTTTTTGATTTCTGGCCTGAGTATACCAACATCCCTGCCATATCTGGTTCTGCTGGTTCTGATGCTTGCCTTGTCTCTTCAAACTGTTTTTTTTGCCTTTTAGTATGCCTTTTAATTTTTTCTTGTTAGCTGGACGTGATGTACCAAGTAAAAGAACTACTGTAAATAGGCCTTTCATTATGTTGTGGTAAGGTGTTGGGGAGGGAAAGCATTCCATAATGCTGTGATTCAGTCTCAGTCTTTAAGTGAGCCTGTGTCTTTAGACTGTGCACTCCACAAGTGTTTCTCAGTTTTTTCCTCCCCTTAGGATGGACAGGGTGGCTAGAGGGAGCTGGAGTTGGGTATTTAACTTTCCCCAGGCTACTTAGGCTCAGATAAAACCCCAGCAGGTTAGGTTTTCTTGAGGTTTGTTCTTGTTTTTTCTAAGAACAAAGTGCCCTGTTATATTTCAAAATTACCCCTTTCTCCTCCCCATACTGGAAGCCCAAGGGGATTTTTCTCCATTATTTGCTGTGAGAACTTGGTTGTGCTGCAAGTAAAACTCACAAAAGCATGGGGCCCACCTATGACTGGATCCTCTGGAGTTTTTAACTCTCAGACTTTTCCACACTGAGCCTGCAGCAATTCACCAGTTACATGTCAGGTATTCCTTCTCTGCTGGTTACTGTGGAGGTTTCTGCTTGGGAGTATATCCCCTGGTATGTTAGGATGCTCTGTATTTGCCTGTCTCTCCAGTTTTAGAGGCCCCAGTTTATCCTGTTACCTTCTCTTAGGGATCTAAGAAGAGTTGTTGATTTGTCAGTTTGTTCATCTTTTTACTTGTTGTCGGGATGGAGTGGCGACTTCCAAGCCCTTTATACTCAGAACTGGAAGCTCGAAGTTGTAACTGCCTTCTTTGTTCAAGATTAAGTTGCTTTATGGATGAGACAGCCAGTTTTCCACATTATGTTTCTTTTTAATCTTTGCAAGTGTTGTATATGAAAAGCAGTTATCTTGTTTTATTTGACTTTTTTTTTTCTATTGGGGTATTTGTATTTTAACTTAATTTTGTAAGGTTTTTATGTTATGGAAATATATTGATCTTTATATGTTTTAGGCTTTAATGTGTGTATGAGCTTCCTAGGTTGCCAGAGCAAATTACCACAGGCATGCCTAAAACAACAGAAATTTATTTCCTCACAGTTATGGAGGCCAAAAGTCTGAAATCAAGGTGTTAGCAGGGTGATTCTCCCTCCTAAGGCTCTTAGAGGAGAATCCTTCCTGGTTCTCCCGGCTTCTGCTGGCTCCTGGTGTTCCTTGGCTTGTAGCAGCAGCACTCACATCTCTCTCTGTGTGTTCACGTGGCCTTGTCCTCTGTGTCTTTGTCTAAAATTTTCTTCTCTTGTCTGTGATACAGACATTGGTCATTGTGATTAGGGTCCCTAAATCCAGGATGGTCTTATCTCAAGATCCTTAAGTTAATTACATCCGTAAAGACCTTGTTTCAGAATAATATCGCAATTTATAGTTACCAGGCTTAGGACTTGGATATATCTTTTTGAGGGGAAACAATTCAAGACATCAGAGTGTTACACTTAGAAGATGTTATCCACTGAAGAATATAAGACAATCATCTGTATTTTTTCCTAGTACTCTTATATCTAAATCTTTAAGTCATCTGGAATTTATTTTGATGTTTGTTTATTTATTTTATTTATTTATTTTTGAGACGAAGTCTCACTCTTGTCCCCCAGGCTGGAGTGCAATGGCGGGTTCTTGGCTCACTGCAACCTCCGCCTCCCAGGTTCAAGTGATTCTCTTGCCTCAGCCTCCCGAGTAGCTGGGATTACAGGTGCCCGCCACCACGCCCGGCTAATTTTTGTATTTTTAGTAGAGATGGGGTTTCACCATGTTGGCCAGGGTGGTCTCGAACCCCTGACCTCAGGTGATCCGTCCGCCTCGGCCTCCCAAAGTGCTGGGATTACAGGTGTGAGCTACTGCGCCTGGCCTTGATGTTTATTTTTATATAATAATGTTGGCAAAGCACCCAGTTAATAAATGGTGGCACTAGGATTTGAACCTATGTCTTTCTTATTCGAAAGTTATCATTTATTTAGAACGACCTCCTTTTAGTGTTGTAACTTTCAGAAACTGTGCCTTACCAGGTTGTTCTTATTGCTTGTCTTACTATAGCAGAAAGGACTGCTGTTAATAAGTTTCATTGGCATGTGATACCATGGTGGCAGCCAAATGTCCACTAACAGTACTGAAGACACTTGAGCCCCTTTTCAGCAGTTGTTATTTTAGGAAGGAATAAGAAGTGCCACTTGGAAAAATGTTTTGGAGAGCATAGTTTGAAGGCACTGGATTAATTTGCTGTGTCTGATACAAATTTTACTGGACTGGCCAGGGCCATTTGTAGTATAAACTGCCTTACTCCTATTAAAAGATATTAATATCTAGGGCTGTTTATCCATATTAATTTTATGAGGCTAGTCACACTAATAGGCTTACCATGTTTGTGGAGACTTTTATTGGTAATGATAAAAGTTGGGCTGACAACATTTCTATCATCCTGTAATGTAATGCACACACAGAGCTCACTTTTGGTATGTAAATCTCTTGATGTGTTTCCTATGACCACATCACAAAGTCTGGTTTTGGTAAGTTGCTTATCATTGGTTCATATATTCACATATAGTCTAGAATACAGCGAATACTGTGTGTTCTCTTCTTTCATATAATAAACATTTTATATCAACTATATAATTTTTCCCATAAATTTTAAAATAAGTTATAAAAAACAAGACTTACTGTTGCTCTGTTAAAAAATCTGATTTTTTGTTTTAAAGGAATGTGCAAGTAAAGATGTTCTGGTGAAGACCCTCAGGGCTATTGATGTGAAACTTAACTCTGATAATTTTCATGATGCAAATGCCAATAGAGGTGGTTTTGATCTGACTGACCCTGTAAAACAGGGGGCAGAGTGTCCTCACCAAAATAAGACAGTTTTGCACATGGATGGATGTTTAGACACTGAGACTCCTACGGTGTCCATTCAAGAAAATGTGGATGTAGCCTCTTTGAAGCCCATTAGTGACAGTGGAATTAATTTCACTGATGCCATTTGGTCACCAACTTGTGAAAGGCGAACATGTGAATGTCACGAGTCCATCGAAAAGAATAAAGACAGTAAGTGGACTTTTTAAAAAATAGAGTGAAAGAAATAGATGTTCATACATTTTGAATAGGACATATTTTCATGTGAAATGTGCCAGTCTTTCCTGTTGAAATATTTTAGTGTTTTATAGTTTAAACAAAATTTTAAATCTACTTGTACAGGGAGGATTGCTCAGAAATGGTATCTTTTCTCACAGATCTAGTGAAAATGTACCTTTCTAGCTAACTCTTAGCATTCTTTCTTTATTCCTCATTCTCCATTATAGACTTTTTTGTGAGTAAGGCTGGCTTGCTTTCTATCAAAGAGATACTTTTCTTTTGGGGAAATGGGTTTTCCTTTTTCTAACTAGCTTTGGCAAACTTCAGTACTGTTGATAACTAAGGTAGTCATCTGAATTTAAAAAAAATTGAGAATGTTTTGTCATTTTAGTTGTTACATGTGTCATTTGATATTTTGGGAATTTTATTTTTTAGAAACAGATCTCCCACAGAGTGTGGTCTATCAAAATGAAGAGGGTAGGTGGGTCACAGACCTTGCCTATTACACATCTTTTAATAGCAAACAAAATTTAAATGTGTCTCTAAGTGATGAGATGAATGAAGACTTCAGATCTGGTTGTAAGTATATGGATAAACATTTATTATAACATTTTCACTGTTTCTGATCTTTCTAAGATTACTGTGTATATGTTGGTCAGCCACATCAGATCCCTTCTGGACTATCACTGTATTCTGGAAGCACTTCACTTGTTTTTATAGGACCCAAGGTTTTAGTTAGCCAGTCTTAATCATTGTAGAATGAGCCAAGCCATTTCCTTAAGCAAAGCCAATGAGTGAGAATAGCATTTGTATACTACCGTGTAGACCCCATAGTATTGCAGGGCTGGAAGGGACTTTAGGTTTTGCTTGTCCCTTTAAAATTTGTGACCTGAGCAAAGGAAATGTCCTGATAAATCAGCAGTTACAAAAACCAGTCCATGAAAGGTAGAAAGTGTGGTAGAAATGATGGAAGAAAAGTAACCAAAAATACAGTGAAATCTCAAGGGATAAAAGCGTGAAAAGAAACAGGTTGTTGATTAGCATCATCCCCGACAGTGAATATAGAAACTGGTTTAGGTCTACACAATGCCAGGTCACGAGATTTTGAGCTGGAGACTGTGAAGATGCTATGCTGCAACCCTCAGGGCTGAGCTCTTCTGTAACTGGAAGGAGCCACGCTGCTCAGGGGCCTGTCAAGCCTGGCCTTATTGTTGTTTTTTTTTTTTTTTTTTTTTTGAGACAGAGTCTCGCTCTGTCGCCCAGGCTGGAGTGCAGTGGCGGGATCTCGGCTCACTGCAAGCTCCGCCTCCCGGGTTCACGCCATTCTCCTGCCTCAGCCTCCCAAGTAGCTGGGACTACAGGCACCTGCCACTACGCCCGGCTAATTTTTTGTATTTTTAGTAGAGACGGGGTTTCACCGTTTTAGCCGGGATGGTCTCGATCTCCTGACCTCGTGATCTGCCCGCCTCGGCCTCCCAAAGTGCTGGGATTACAGGCGTGAGCCACCGCGCCCGGCCACCTGGCCTTATTGTTAATAGGCTTGCGCCAGAGGAAGAAGTTATCCCATCTACTGCTTGTGCTAAGCTTCTTTAAGAAAGTCTTGTAATGTGGAATTACAGCAATAAATTAGGTAGTATGCCAGTCCTTAAGAAACTGTTTATCAGCCCAGAATGATGAGACAAGAATGCAGTACACAGTCATCGGCATCATGAGAAACTCAAACCAAAAGCACTGGAATTTAGAGAAGAAACAAATGTTGCACGAGTAGGTAGCAAAAGAATTTCACATAGGAAGCCACTTTTGAGGTAGAGTTTTCACAGGTAATCCTTTGGGGGCATGAGAAATTTCAAATGGAGAGAAAGCCCAGTTGGAAAGGAATGAGATGGTGAAGTGTGGGCATGTTTGAGAAGGTGCATGGTCCAGTGTGGCCAGCCTTTATGGCAGGATAAAGGGAGAGTGGCCGGAGGCTAGGAGGTGAAGCTGGAGAGGTCATTAGGGCCAGGGAGTGGATTGAGTTTTGACCACCATGCCCAAGATTGAGGCTTGTCTGGAAAGCGTCAGGACTCGTTGCTTGTGGAACTTGCTTGGTGAATCTTCTCCTGGTAGTTAGGGTTGTTTGGGATAGTTCTTAGGATGTTGTAGAAATCTAGATGTCCCAGTGAAAATGAAGAGAGTAGCTAGTGAAAGACGTAGAAGTAAAATGGTTAGGATTTGATGGCTGGATTTCAGGGGATAGTAGAGAGGCAGGAAGAGAGGAGGGTCTGTGGTCTGAGTTACTTGGGGCAATGGCGATACCATTACCTGAGGCGGGGAGTCAGAAGAAAGTGTAGATTTTGGGTGATTGTGGTTTGAGGCAGAAGTAGTCATTAGTGGAAATAGGGGTCAGAAGTGTGAAGCTGAGTTGCGGTTAGGACTTGCTCAATGATATCTTGATCTAAAAATGATGATGCAGACCGAATGGTGGATATTTATCACTTAAAAGATCATGGAATTCTCATGTGTTGCTGGTGGGAGTGTAAATTGGTACAGCCATTTTGGAAACCTGTTTGGCAGTGTCTTGTAAGGGTGAACTTTATGAACTTCATACTTAATGACCTAATAATTGTACACCTGAGTACATATGCAGCAGAATAGGGCGTATGTATTCACCAAAAGACATACTAAAATGTTTATAGCAGCACTAGTTGTATCAGCCCCAAATTCTCAAATTCCCATTAGCAGTGGAAGTTTCCAAGTCACTGCAGAATCACCCTCCCCTCCCTCAGCCATAGAATGGATTATGTTTATTCATACCCTGGAATATTAGGTTGCAATGAGAATGAGTGATGTGAAGTTACATGCAACAACATGGATGAATCTCAGGAACATGTGGAATGACGTAAAGCTGACTAAGAACACACACTCTATAGTTCTATTTGTATACAGCTGGGCAATGCACTCCTGCAGAGCCAGCCACAGGGCAGTGGCTACATGTGGATGGGCAGGTAGCATGGGAAGCAGGCTCGGGTGGTTTGGGTACTGGCAGTATTATGCTTCTTAATCTGTGCTGTTGGCTATGCAGATGTGTTCAGATTGTGAAAATTCCTTGAGCTGTACACTTCACCTCTCTATCGTAAAAAGTTTTTAAAAATTAGCAAACTGAGAATAAAAGATTTGCAATTCATATTACAGGTTTAAAGCCCATTCCCCTAATATATAAACAGTTCCAATAAACAATAAGAAAAAGACCAACTACCCCAAAATTGGAAACAATTTATAGAAAAAGAAATAAAAACGATCGTTAAATGTACAACAAAAAATGTTCATTTTTAATCATGGAAAGAAATGCAGTGTAAATCCACCCAGTCATAGTATTTTTCAGTTATTTCCTTGGTAGTGATCCAAAAGTTTGGTGATAAAACTGTCTTAGCAAAGATGTGAGGGACACAGGTATGCTAGTCCATTCTTGGCACCGCGTCTACCTATAATGACATTGCAGCATCTAGCAAAGTTACGCATGTACTATCCTGTAACCGAGCAGTTCTGCTTCTGGGAATTTATTCTTCAGATACACTTGCATAAATGATACATGGTGTATGTGCAGGCTCATTACTTGCAGCATTGTCTGTGATAACAACGTTAGAAGCAATGTAGATGGACAAAATAGGGTATAAATTAAGGTGCATCCATACAAGGAGGTACCCTGTGGCTATACAGAATGGTAAAGGAGCTCTTTAGTTACTCAAATGGAATGATCACTGGAATAAATTAAAGATAAAGTCCACCTCAAAGCACATAAAGTATTCTAACATTTGTGTAGAAAGGTAGGAGAGGGGAGGATGTACATACAGATATTTGTAAATACATACAATGGAAAGATAAAACAAGATACTGACTACAGGAATGTCTAGTTACTTGAACTCAGAAATCAAAAATTCAGATAGACATTTCAGAAATATTTTAGCTGTTGGTTGCTTCTGGGGGTGTGGGAAACTAGGGTCAGGGATGGGGAGATAGTTTTCAGTATATACCCTTGTAAGTCTTTGGTTAACTTTGAAAAGCTCTTTATTGTGGTGTCATAAATACACCTTTTAAATTTGAATTATTAGATGTATTACTATTAAAAAATAAAAAATGATAACGGAAAGATTGAATGAAACCATCCTTGTGCTTAGGGAATGAATACTAGTCTGGTTGGAAAGGATGACTAGCATGGGTGGGGAGGAAAGGGAAACGGGGAGATGGAAAGCTATTAAAAAGGTTGGTGGACAGAAAACCTGATGGGTGCTGGGAAGGATGGACTAGATCCAGGGAAATAGGGGTGGAGGTAGCATTAATGAAATGGGAGCCTTTTTACTGAAAAGGAGAAAGGAACTTTAAAAATGTAATAAAAGGAGATATTCAGAAAAGGAAGGTTGGAAAAAAGGGTGTAATCTTGTAACGTCCAAGTCATTTTAAATGAAAATTTGCCTACTTATAAACTTTATTCAGAACAGTTCCTTAAGAGAGCCTGCCTCGGCCGGGCGCAGTGGCTTACGCCTGTAATCCCAGCACTTTGGGAGGCCAAGGTGGGTGGATCACCAGGTCAGGAGATCGAGACCATCCTGGCTAACATGGTGAAACCCTGTCTCTACTAAAAAAAAAAAAAATACAAAAAATTAGCTGGGTGTGGTGGTGGGCACCTGTAGTCCCAGCTACTCAGGAGGGGGCTGAGGCAGGAGAATGGCGTGAACCCAGAAGGCAGAGCTTGCAGTGAGCCGAGATTGCACCACTGCCCTCCAGACTAGGCGACAGAGCAAAACTCTGTCTCATAAAAAAAAAAAAAAAAAAGCCTGCCTCCTCTTCTTCCCCATGCCTGCCTTCCTCCTTGCCGACAGCTCAGCTCCATCTATTCAAGGTGCTGCATTGCTGCCGCTTATGACCTGAGAGTTCGACAGTGGGGGAAACACAAATGGGCTGCTTCCACGTTTGGCCTCGGAAGCATTCAGTACAAGAGGATTGTTGTTTTAGGTATGCCAAAGAATTGGCATAGATTCTCATAAAAAGTGAAGTTCTGCTTTCTTATTGGCTGTGATTGATTTCTGATGAGTAGACAAGATAACAGTGTTAATATAGATGTTTCTTTGATGAATCCCTTATAGTTCAGAGAAAAAGCATTTAGGAATATAATAAATCCTATTTTGAGCTGTTCGGTCAATTATTTAAAAACCAGGTGATATTTAACTCCTCAAAGTAAATTAAGTTTCTTTTGGGTTACCTTCTGTATTAGTTTGTTTTTATGCTGCTGATAAAGACATACCCGAAACTGGGAACAAAAAGAGGTTTGCTTGGACTTACAGTTCCACGTGGCTAGGGAAGCCTCAGAATCATGGTGGGAGGCAAAAGGCACCTCTTACATGGCGGCAGCAAGAGAAAAAATGAGGAAGAAGCAAAAGTGGAAACCTCTGATAAACCCATCAGATCTCGTGAGACTTATTCACTATCATGAGAATAGCATGGGAAAGACCGGCCTCCATGTTTCAGTTATCTCCCCCTGGGTCCCTCCCACAACATTTGAGAATTCTGGGAGATAACAATTCAAGTTGAGATTTGGGTGGAGACACAGCCAAACCATATTACCCTCTTTTGGGCCGAGTTTCCTACTTCCCTTCTCTTGGCTGTCAGATTTGGTTGGTTGCTCCTTTCATCTTTTAGGGCAGTGGTTTTTAACTTAGCTTGAGTCATAGATTCCACAATGAATCTTCATAGAAATATATGGAATGTATGATTTTGCATGTAATTTTGAGGGCTTCATGGTTCTCCTGATGCTCATTCCTAGGTTCTGTGCTGTAGGTTAAGAATGTGTTTTTTCTTAGGCTGGGCATTTTGGCTTATGCCTGTAATCCTAGCCGTTTGGGAAGCCAAGGTGAGTGAATTGCTTGAGCCCAGGAGTTTGAGACCAGGATGGGCAACATGGCAAAACCCCATCTCTAGCAAAAAATACAAAAATTAGCTGAGGGTGGTGGCACACGCTTGTAGGCCCAGCTTTTGGGGAAGCTGAGGCAGGAGAATCGCTTGAGCCCAGGAGGTAGAGGTTGCAGTGAGCCAAGATTGTACCACTGCACCCCAGCCTGTGCAACAGAGCCAGACCTTGTCTCAAAAAAAAAAAAAGTGTTTTGTTTGTTTTTTTTAATAAGAAATGGTCACTTAACAAGGTAAAGAACTAGCACTGTTCTGACAGGTAGGAAGCCTCAGTGGGCTTTGGTGCTCTGCTTTTCCTGAACAGAAATATCCTGTGTCTGCTTTTCTTTTGTCTTAGGTTGTGAATGTGGGACACAGTCTAGGGTCGCAAAGGAGCAGTGTGGATCTGATTGGTCCCTCATGGACACATGATAGTGGGGAGCCTCCGTCATGTTTGGGCCATGAGTGGACTGTTCCCTCTGGCTCACCATTCACTTTTCTCCTTTCTGCTCCAACCCTGCAGTGCCAGGCAGAGGCCTAGAGTGCTACAGCCAGGCAGTCTAGCATCTGGCTGGCATACATTTCACCAACACATTTAAAGTTCTTGGCGATTCTGATGCCTCAAGCAGGGTCTTGGGCCTCCTAGTTTGCCACAAATCCACCACTCCCAGTTGTGTTTCTGGCCCTGGCCCTCTTTGCCCATTTGCCCCATCCCTCTGAGGCATTTTAGTGATGGCCTTTGGCCTGAGGTTGAGTGTGCTTAGGCTGGCGTTCCTTTCCCAGGGAGGGCTGAGGTGCTCGGCAGCAGCCTTGAGGGCAGACATTAGGGGACTCCCAGTCTTTGTCCGGACCGGGGTTTCCTGGGATGGGGGGCAAGCGGTCCTGGGGCACGCTTGTAGCCATCTTCATGACAAGCTTATAGAGGGCTTATCAGTCTGATGACTCCTGATGAAATTCCACCAGCATTCATGGATGAGTGCCTCAATGCAAGAGTGCCAAACTCTCCAAAGCAAACATTAATTTTAGAGAGAAAAAGCTTTCATTGTAAAGCCCCTGAGTAAATTGGGGTACGTTAGTGACAAAATAACTACAGCAAGGTGTTCTTTAGCAAAAGTTTGACAACCACAGACTTAAGCATTTAATACAGATGCATGAGTCATGAGTGCAAGCTTTTACATACTTGTTACAACTTTATTTCCTTAGTATTTCATTTTCCTAACTTGTATCTGTGTGCTAGTGTTTGTTTAGGCATTAGTGTAATGTATTTATATAAACATTCTTTTTTAAGCTGAAGCATTTGATTTGATTGCACAAGATGAAGAAGAATTTAATAAAGAGCATCAATTTATACAGGTTTGTAATTATTTGTTTTATCCAAAATTTAAAATTTTTCCTGTATTAGTGTAAGTGTAGGCACAGTGTTCATTTCTTTCTGAATATATGGTTAGTATAGAATTATTTCATATTTTTCTTATGGCTAGACAACTTCTGCTTTTTCCCTCATACTCTAAATAAAATACTCTAAATTATTAATTGAAGATCATTGACATACTGAAATATATCTTTAATTCACTTAGAATTGCTTTAATGGCATTAATGGATATTTCCATAGTTTATTTTTATTTTTTGAGACAGGACTTGCTGTGTCACCCAGGCTGGAGTGCAGTGGTGATCATAGTTCACTGCAGCCTCAAGCTTTTGGGCTCAAGTGATCCTCCTGTCTCAGCCTCCTGTGTAGCTGGGATTGCAGGCATGTGCTACCATGCCTAGCTATTTTTTTATTTTTTGTAGTGATGGAGGCTTGTTACGTTGCCTAGACTTGTCTGGAACTCCTGGGTTCAAGCAATCCTTCCATCTTGGCCTCCCAAAGTGCTGGGATTACAGGTGTGAGCCAGTGTACTGGGCTGTATTTCTATAGTTTTAAAATATGTTTTAAAGTGAGGTAATCCTGTTTGTTTTTTTATGAAGATTCTTATTTATGACAATCTTATTTCAATCTTATTTTGAAGATTCAAAATTTATGATAGTGTTTAATGAAGCAATAGATGAAGATAACATTCTTCTTATTATTTTTCAGATGGGGTCTCGCCATGTTGCTCAGGCTGGTCTTGAACTCCTGGGCTCACATGAGTCTCCCATCTTGGCCTCCCAGGTAGCTGGGATTACAGGAAAGCGCTGTCATGAGCAACTCATGATCGTGTGTATTATAACTCAAGTGTTCAAAAATACTCATTTTCCTTTTCTGGACTTCATTAGCTGTGGTAGCTGATGATGCTTCAGTTTGTCCAATTTTTTTTTTGTCTAGTTTTTCAAAATTACTTTTTAAATTTTCTTGGTAAGACTTTTTTAGTTTTTGTATATTAGAACAACAGAAAAGTGACTTGCTGGGGGAAAGAAACGAAACAATAACTTTCTCCCTAGGAAGAAAACATAGATGCTCATAATACTTCGGTTGCACTGGGCGATACGTCCTGGGGAGCTACAATTAATTACAGTCTGTTGAGGAAATCACGTAGCACATCAGATTTGGATAAAGATGATGCCAGTTATTTACGTCTGTCTTTAGGAGAGTTCTTTGCTCAAAGATCTGAAGCTCTTGGTTGCCTTGGTGGTGGTAACAATGTGAAAAGAGTAAGTATGGAATCTGTTGGAAGTGCTCACAGTCACCAGATTTTAGATTTTGAGTATTATGATGGCACAGTGACTTTAAAATGGAGATAGAATAGGATGGGACAGAAGAGTGGTAAAAAACTTAGGTTTCATCATCAGTCAGACCTTTACTGCAGTTCTAGCTCTGTCTTTTAGCTAATTCTGGGACATTGAGCAATTTAACTCCTCTGTGCCTGAATTTCCCGTTTCTTAACAGCACAGTTTTATAGGGCTTTGTAAGATTTAAATGTGACGGTTCATGTAAAGCATTTAGCACTAAACCAACATGTAATAAGTATTTAATAGTTGTTCATTGCTGTTGTTATTGTTGGTTGGTGTGAAGAATTCTAAAATTGCTTTTTAAAAACTATTGTCTAAAGAGATGTTTTGAAATATAGAAGTGTTTTGATTTAATTAAATGTAATGCATGTACAATTAAAAAGACAAGTTATTCAGATAGTGATAAGTCCTGTAAAGCATGAGTGAGGAGAAGGAGCTACTTTAGCTATGCTGGTCAGGCTGACATTTGGTGGAAGACATTGAGTTGGCATCTCAGTGATGAAAAGGAGGCAGCAGGGCCAGCGCAGTGGCTCACACCTGTAATCCCAGCACTTTGGGAGGCTGAGGTGGGCGGATCACTTGAGGTCAGGAGTTCGAGACCAACCGGCCAACATGGTGAAGCCCTGTCTCTACCAAAACTATAAAAAATTAGCCAGATATGGTGGTGCGTGGCTGTAATCCCAGCTACTTGGGAGGCTGAAGTAGGAGAATTGCTCGAACCCAGGAGGTGGAGAGTTGCAGTGAGCCGAGATCACGCCACTGCACTCCAGCCTGGGCAACAGAGCGAGACTCCATCTCAAAAAAAAAAAAAAAAGTGATTTTTTTCTTGTGAGAAGAAATAAGACTTTTCCCTCCATTAGTGACCTGGCCCTTGTCTGTGTGCAGGCCTGGAGGTAGGAACCAGGGTGGCATATTGGAGGAATGGAAAGCAGGCAGGCAGAGCTGCTCTGAGGAGCAGGGTAGGCAGGTATGAAGGGAGAATGGCAGATGATTCCAGGGGCCAAATCATGAGGGCTCCTGGTAGGAGGGGGGTTTTATCTCAGATGAACTGGGAGGAAGTGCTTAGAGGCACAGGGCAACTTTGTTGTGGTGCCAGCCCATCTCCAGGTGCAGCAGCCTGCCGCCATATGTCAGGTGCCCAGGTAGTGAAAGTCAGCAAAAGACAGAAGAGGGAAAGAAGCAGGCAAACACTTAGGAAATGGGAGAGATGTGATGAAGGCTGGGGACAAGGATGACCTAGTAGAAGCAGAGAAAAGGGCAAGAATTCAAGATTTATTCTATAGAGTCAAAGAATTTGTTGATAAATTCCACAGAGGGTATTAGGGTTATTGGAGGGATTGTTTAGCAAAACTGGATTTCATTAAGAGTATGATTTTGAAATAACAGATGTAGTGTTAGAAGTCACAGCTGATTCATAGAAGTTGAAGAGTAACTGAATTCCTTATTAATGGAATTATAGTAAGGAAAGATAAGGTGGGCAAAGCACTGGATCATGAAAAAAATGGATCTATTATTTGGAATTTTTGTTGTGGTATAAGTGATGACGTTTTATTTGCATTCAAGTTACTGAATCAAGGGAAGAAATTAAGATATTAATCACAATTAATAAATTAATCACTTGGGAAAGTGAAGACCAATAAAAAATTGAGTGTATTTAATGAGTTCACATTTTAGTTCTGTCATGTGACTGCTGTATAAGAAAGACAAGTGGAAACTGCCTACCCTTTAGCAAGCTCCTTGAATGCAGACCTTCCAGAAACTTTCATGCAAATTGGTAGGAGCGTCCCTAATCTTAATACACATTTTTCAAGGATGTGTTTATTCTATAAAATAAAGTACCTTTATATTGTAATTTCCAGGAAGCAGGAGTTTTTATCTGCTGCAGGTGTGAGCCACTGCGCTTGGCCTCATTTCTGTTGTTTTAATTTGAATTTCTTAGTAAGGGCAATTTATTTGACAATGTGAGTTCTAATGGTTAAAAGGTAGCTAGTATTAAGGAAATGAAAGGTTCTACCTGGACCTTTGAAGGTCATCTCTAGTAATTTGAGGTTAAGTGGGAAGAACAGTTTTTTGATGTCATTTAGCTGTTTTACCACTATTAGATAAAACAGTCTAGAATTTCTCAAAGCAGTTGAAAATCAAAGAAATAATTTACCTTTAATTATTTTGTAGCCATCATTTGGCTATTTTATTAGATCACCAGAGAAGAGAGAACCTATTGCCTTAATAAGAAAATCTGATGTATCAAGAGGTAATTTGGAAAAAGAAATGGCTCATCTTAACCATGATCTATATTCAGGTAATGGATTCAATGAAGGGGCTTTTAGGAATCTTTTTTTTCTTAAATGCGTAACTTAGGGGTTAAATGGGTGACCGTGTTCTTTATGAGTGAAAATGTATATAACACTTTGTAGTTTCTCAGTGTTGGTTATAGATTTGATTCATATGTAACCCCATATATCCTTTTCAATCTAAAGTGGAAACAAGTCAGCCAAAATCTACCTAAATTTGTAAAAACCACAGTAAATGAAATAATTTCAGATGGGCTAGTTAATGTTGGCTATTGAATTATTGAGTTAATTAATCGTAGATATAATTTATTATTTAGGATGACTTTTAAAGAGATGTTTTGAGATTTAGACTATGATAATCTATGATAATTTTTATGATAAATATAATATTTTTAATCAAATATTCTTGGTCAGCTTGGAATTATCATGCAGCTACTTTTTGTTAGTACAATGTCTTGTGCTACATATCATATAAAGTTGTATAAGATATGCTGCATTCCTTAAAGAGCCTGTATTCTAGTAGGGGAGTTGGGACAAAGGGTCCATGTATACAGAGTCAGCTCATTTTCCATTTCTCTAAAGATGCACCCACTTATTTCTTTCTTTTCTTCTCTTTTTTTTTGAGACAGTCTCTTTTTTTTTTTTTTGAGACAGAGTCTCTCTCTGTCACACAGTGGCGTGATCTCGGCTCACTGCAATCTCCACCTCCTGGGTCAAGCGATTCTCCCACCTCAGCCTCCCGAGTAGCTGGAATCACGGGCTCACGCCACCATGCTCAGCTAATTTTTTGTATTTTTGGTAGAGATAAGGTTTCCCCATGTTGGCCAGGCTGGTCTCAAACTCCTGACCTCAAGTGATCCGCCCACCTCAGACTCCCAAAGTGCTGGGATCACAGGCATGAGCCACCGCACCCGACCAAGAAGTACTCAGTTTTAAATTCAACTTATTGTATGTTTGTGAAATGTTTCAAGCTGAAAAATATTGAATGAGTTTATGTGTGTATTTGCAAGGGAAAGATTAAAATCCACAATCCTCCTTCAAAGTTTGGACTCTGCAGCATTGAGCCAAATTAACTATGTTGTTGTTCTCTGTCCAAGTGACTATACGTTTAAACCATTATAGTGAAGGCAACTGACATTTGGGGTACAAAGACATCTTCCTTGGTAAATTAGTCATTTTGCCTGGTCCTTATTCCACAGACTGTGTTTGTCAAATAGTGTATACTTATAAGTTGAATATTATATATTTCCTGCAGGAGATTTAAATGAACAGTCCCAGGCACAGCTAAGTGAAGGATCAATTACACTTCAGGTTGAAGCAGTAGAGAGTACTTCACAAGTGGATGAAAATGATGTGACGTTAACGGCTGATAAAGGCAAAACAGAGGTAGCTTCAGCCTTTCGTAAGGAAATCTAAGATTATCTTGTTGTAGTTCTTATCTAGGATCAAGACGAGATCACCTGTGAAAAATTTATGCCGTTTAACATCTTTTCTTTCCTGGCTTCAGATTTCTTGCAAGTGTCCTTTAAATTTTTCTTTTTAAGTTTTTGTGGCGATATAATATACACACAGATGAGTTTATAAAACAGATTTGTAGTCAATGAATGAATTATCACAAGTCATACACTTGTGTATACCTCAGATCAAGAAAGAGAACATTGCCAACAGCTCAGAAACAAGTTTTTTTGCCGCCTCCAGTTACCTGACCTTTAACCCTGTATTAATTTTATCTGATTCTAAACTTCACTTAAAAGAAACCATGTGGCATGTATTCCTTTTCTTTGGCTTTTTTCACCTCACCTTACATTTGTTAGATGAGTATAATATAAACTTATTTTTATTACTGTATGGTATTCTGTTATATGAATATTCTATTGCTTTTATATCCATTTGTATTGTTGATGAAATTTGGGATATTTCCACTGCTGGACAATTATAAAACAATGCTCCATGAACAGCCTAGTACCTGGGAAGTGTGCAAACGTTCATATGAGGTGTGTATGTCGTAGGGTTTGCATACTTTCATTTCAGTGGTTTTGACAGTTTTCCAGAGTGGTTGTACCATGTAGATTTGTTCAAGAGTGTGTGCTTCCTGTCACCGCATGTCCTCGCCAGCACCTGGCATTACTCGTTATTCTGGTGGGTGTACAGTGGGGTCTTCTTGTCTTCATGTACATTTCCCTGATTACTAATAAAGCTGGTTCTTGCTCATGTTTGCTGGTCATTAGGAGGCTTATTTTATGAAGTGCTGTCCAAGTCTGTTGCTCATTTTTCCAATGGACAGTTCGTTTTATTTGATTTGTAGGTGTTGTTTACATTGGATAGGAGCCTTTTGTCAGTTATGAGTGTTCCATGTGTCTTCTCCCAGTCTGTGGCTTGCCTTTTCACTTTTTTAATGGTATTTTTATTTGTTGATTAGGCCATGCTTTCATTATTTCTCTAATGTGCTAACTTTGTCATAAATCAAATACCATGACATCGTGGGTATATTTCTAGAGTCTCTCTTGTGCTTCTTCGGTCTGTTTATCTATCTTGTGTCAAGATGACACTTGAATATTGTAACTTTATTATAATAAGTCTTGATATCTGGAAGAGTAAATCCTCTTGTATTTTTCTTTAAAAGTATCTTGGCTATTCTTGGCCCTTTATATTTCCATGTGTGCTTTACAGTCACATGGTCAGCTTCTACACACCAACCACTAACCACCAACAACCCTGTTGGACTTTTTTGGGGATTAAATTTAATTTATGGAGCAGTAAAATTGACATCTTTATAATATTGAGTCTTCTAATCCGTGAAACTAACATATCACTTCATTTATATGTTTTAATTTCCCTTTGTATTTTATGAGTTTTGTGCAGATTTTTCACATCATCTTGTTAGATTTCTTCCTAAGTTGTTGAAACTTTTATTTTTAATTTTTGTGGGTACATAGTAGTTGTATATATTTATGGGGTACATGAGATGTTTTGGTACAGGCATGCAATGTGTAATAATCACATCATGGGAAGTGGGGTATCCATCCCCTCAAGCATTTATCCTCTGTGTTATGAACAATCCAATTATATACTCTTAGTTATTTGTAAATGTACAATTAAATTATTTTGACCCTGTTGTGCTATCAAATGAAACATTAATATTATGTTTCTTAACTTTATTTTCTGTTTGTTTTGGCTAAACAAATACACAATTGTATTTGTTTTTTAAATATACTCACCTTATATCCAGCAAATTTACTTATTAACTCTAATTATCTATCAACTCTTTGGATTTCCTGCATACATAGTTTTGTCATCTGAGAATAAAAGTTTTATTTCTTCATTTTTAATTTTTATACCTTTGTTTCTTTGTCTTGCCTTCCTTGACTGGATGGACCTCAAAAGAGTATTGATGTCATGATGTTGGGTTTCCCTCATTCATTGGGAACTCTTTTTGGTATTTCATCTTTCAATTTGATGCATGGTGTAAGGTTTTTGTTTTGTTTTGTTTTAAATTACTGGATCAACAACGTGGTCTTCTAATCTTTGTTCACTAGTTTTTTGTTCTGTTTTGGATTTGGTTTTCACCTTGTAAGAGGATTGAATCTTGCCGAGTGCTTCTCTAGATCTGTTAAGAACATGAGCTTGCTCTGTTTTGTTGATGTGATGAATTTTGTCAAATGATTTTTGAATATTAAACTATTCTTTTATACTTGAAATAAACCTCACTAGGGTTGTAATGTGTTATCTTTTGATATATCATTGGATTTGGCGTGTGCTAATAGTTTGCTTAGAATTTTGCATTTTTGTGAGTGAGATGAATGCTCTTTCTTATAATGTTCTTGTCTGGTTTTGGTATCAAGGTTTTACTGGTCTCATTTTTTCTGTTTTCAGGAAGAGTTTTTGTAAGATTGGTGCTTTTTTAAAGATTTTGGTAGAATACATTGGTGAAATCACCTGAGTCTGGTATATTCTTTATCTAATGCCTTTACTTGCAGATTCAATTTCTTTAATAGTTGTAGTACTATTCTGATGTTTTAATTTTTTATGTCAGTTTTAGTACATTGTAATTTAGATTGTAATCTTCCTCTACACTTGAAAATTTATTTTACTATCATGCTGACCATAATATCCTCTTGTGATTAATATCTTAGGTTGTTAAGCTATGTCTCTTTTGTTCATTCTATAATTGACTGTTTTCCCTCTCTTTTTCTTAATCTCACCAGATACTTTCAATTTTGTTAATTTGACAATTTTATTTATTCTCAATTCTGTTTGTCTTTCTATTTCCTATTTTCTGGTCTTCATTTCTTTCCTTCTACTTTCTATGGATTTAATGTGTTGTTTTTCTAACTTTTTGAGATGGATGCTTAGTGTGCTTATTTTTCTGCCTTCCTGCTTTTTCAGCGGTGTAAGTGCATGGGATACGTGTAGGAGATTTTCTGGTTTTTGAAATAATTGATTTAGGCCAAATGTACTGTAGTCAGAGAATTTTTAGTTTTAGGCCTTTGAAATTTGTTTAAATATGATACATAGCTCAGCATTTGTTCAATTTTTGAAAATATTTTCTGTACGCTTGTAGGGAATGTCTGTTATGTGACTTAATGTCTGCTTCACTTAGGTGAGATTTAAATCGGAATGCTCAAGCTGCCTGCATTCTTAAAATTATTGTGCTGTTTTAAAATCTCCCACCATGATTGTGGGTTTGTTAATCATTATAGGTATATCAACATTTGCTTTAAACATTTGAAGCTATATTTTTAGGTGCATACAAATTGTGCATAAAATTTGTTGCATTAAATTCTTCATAAAATTGTTTTGGTGCATAAAAATTGTTCTTGCTAACAAATCAAATCCTTTATTGAGCATGTCTCTCCTCAGTGTGTAGTAATGCTTTTTTCCTAAATCTAGTCTGAGATTAACAATGTCAATACCAGCTTTCTTTGGTTAGTGTTAGCATGTTATATTTTTTGCCATTATTTTACTTTTAATCTTTCTGTATCTTTATATTTCAGATGTTATAGGGACATACTGTTGGATTTTGCTTTTCAACCAGTCTGACAGTCTGTATTAGCCTGTTTCTTGCATTGCTATCAAGAAATACCTGAGACTGGGTAATTTATAAAGAAAAGAGGTTTAACGGGCCCATAGTTCTGCAGGCTGTATAGGAAGTGTGGTGTGGGCATCTGCTTGGCTTCTGGGGGGGCCTCAGGAAGCTTGCAATCATGGCAGAAGGCGAAGCGGGAGCAGGCATGTCACATGGCCAAAGCAGGGATGGGGAAGGTGCCACACACTTCAAACAACCAGGTCTTAGGAGAGCTCACTCACTACCGCAAGATAACACCAAGCCATGAGGGGTTCACCGCTATGACCCAAACACCTCCCACCTGGCCTCACCTCCAACACTGGGGATTACATCTCAACATAAGATTTGGAGGGGCATCCAACTATATCACAGTCTTTCTACTTACACTTAATGGAATTTCCAGCATGGGGGTTTGAATCTGCCCACTTTATTTGCTTTTTATTTGTTTCACCTAGACTTTGTTCTTTTTCTTTTGGCATTCTTAGAGATCGTTTAAGAGTTTTATATGATTCCAATTTTCTCCTCTGTTGATTTGGTAATTATATATATTTATATTATTTTAATGATTACCCAAATAATTATAACCTGTCTCTTGGCTTACTGATGTTTAGTAAAAATTCTTTGTTTTCTTTTAAATGTCTTATTTGGCATTCCAAGGATCACAAAATACTCAATTTACTCCATACTTAAAAAGCTTTTCTTGTTTTATGTTTTATTTCTATATTTAACCCAATAAGACATGATGATGATTTATAAATAACCAGTATTTCTGATCTTTCATCTGAGATTAGTTTTCTTCTTAAAGAATATCCTTACTTTTTTTTTTTTTTTTTTGTAAGGGACTGCTGATAATGAATTTTGTTTGTTGTCTCTCTACAATGTCTTTATCTCCCTGTTACTCTTGATATGTATTTTTGCTTGCTATAGAATTGTTAGCAGCAACTTTTAGCACTTTGAATGTATTTTTTCATGTCATTTCATTTTAAAAGTTGGCTGTCAGTCTTTTGTTATTTTTCTCTTTGGTTTTTATCCATCTTACTGTGATGTGGTTGGGTAGCTTTTGTTTTACCCTACAGTTTAGAGGAAAAATCGTTGAAATAATTTGAGGCTAAGGGAGATGATATCTTCCAGACTGGATTTATGTCTGCTTCTGACAGGGAGCAAGGAACACTGGCAATTGCAGATCACTTTCATTCGTTTATTGGAATTGAGCTGATTGGAGCTGAGCCTCATCCTTATGAGAACCAGTTGGATGCTGGTTTACCTTTACTGCTGGGGTGTATCCCTTTGTGGTCTCATCCCAAAGCATGGATGTTTTACTGTGGTATCTTTCTCTCCCTCAAACATACACACACACACACACACCTCCTAACCCCCCAATGCCAGTCATTCATTGGCAGATTCAGTTTTTATACCTGCACTCCCACAAGAACAACTTTGCTTAGCCTTTTCTTGAAGCAGCAGATATGCTTAGGGAACAGCATCCCCAGTGTTGGGCTTACCTCTCTGGGTTACTTTCTTCTCTTAGATTTTGGCCCCATAAATTTACACTGCTTTTTAAGCTTGCTGGTGCTTTCAAAGATAAGTTTTTGAGTATGCTATTCAGTTCTAATTGTTCTTAGCGAGAGGTTGGTTTGCTTTACCTAGTCTGCTGTTACTGGAGGCAGAAGTCTTAACATGTATTTTTTGTTGTTGTTGTTGTTAAATAGTTTATGTTTCTTAACTGTTGGGCCTATTTCAGTTTTTTACTCATGGTTCCTATTTATGTCTTTCTTATAAGTAATTCTAACAGTTGAATGAAATTACCAAGAATTATACTTGCAATCACAATGACTCAGTGGCTTTTCAATCTCAATATCTTAAGTTTTTGGTTTTAAATTATTATCTGATTCAATTTTACCATGTCTTTCATTCCTGATGATTTTTAAAAAACAAATGATAATCAATTTTGTAAATAACCTGGTACTATATAATTAAAGTTGATAGCAGCTGTCTTTTTCATTAGGATATTTAACTGGTATGCCCTTAATTTTTTTGTTGCCATTAGATCCTACATCATGCTTATAAAGATCAAACTAATACAGTAGCCTGCTCTTTTCCACAGTTTTGCCTCCTTCAGTTTTAGTTACCCATGGTCAACTGAGGTGCAAAAATATTCAGTGGAAAATTCCAGAAATAGTTCATAAGTTTTAAATTATATGTCTTTCTTAGTAGCGTGATGAAATCTTCCCACCAATTTGCTCCATCCTGGTAGGATGTGAGTCTTTCTTTTGTCCAGCTTCTCCACCCGTCTTCACTTGTTGCCCGTTAGTCACTTAGTAGTGTTTGGTGATCAGATCGACTCTAGGGATGTTGCAGTGCTTGTGTTAAAGTCACTCTTATTTCGTAATGGCCCCAAAGTGCAAGAGTAGTGTTGCCTGCAATTTGGATACACCAGAGAGGAGCTATCAAGTGCTTCCTTCAAGTGAAAAGAGGAAGGTTCTCGACTTAATAAGGAAAGAAAAAATAATGCTGAAGTTTCTGAGGTCTGTGGTAAGAATGATCTTTTTTATGTGTAATTACAAAGAAGGACAGAGAAATTCATGCTTTGCACTCCAAACTTCAAACGTTCCAGCCACAGTGAGTGATAAGTGCTTAGTTAAGATGGAAAAGGCACTACATTTGTGGGTGGGGAAGATAGGAACAGAAACATGCTCTGATTTATGGCAGTCGGATTTGGTACTATCTGAGGTTTCAGGTATCCACTTGGAGGTTTTGAAACGCATCTCCCAATGATAATGGGGGACTAATGAATGTTCATGAAACTGGGGTAAATTTATCTGATGTTTAATTTTCTCACTTCTAGGACACTTTCTTCATGAGCAACAAACCCCAAAGATACAAAGACAAGCTACCAGATAGTGGTGATTCTATGCTTAGGATCAGCACCATTGCTTCAGCCATTGCAGAGGCATCAGTTAATACTGATCCTTCCCAACTTGCTGCAATGATCAAGGCACTTTCAAATAAAACCAGAGACAAGACTTTTCAGGAAGATGAGAAACAAAAGGACTATTCTCATGTGCGTCATTTCTTACCTAATGATTTAGAAAAAAGTAATGGATCCAATGCACTTGATATGGAGAAATACCTTAAAAAAACAGAAGTTAGTAGATATGAAAGTGCATTGGAAAACTTTTCAAGGGCTAGTATGTCTGATACTTGGGATTTATCTTTGCCCAAAGAACAAACTACTCAAGACATTCATCCGGTGGACTTAAGTGCTACTAGTGTAAGTGTGAGGGCACCAGAAGAAAACACAGCAGCTATTGTTTATGTTGAAAATGGAGAGAGTGAGAATCAAGAGTCATTTAGAACCATAAACTCCTCAAATTCAGTTACAAATAGAGAGAATAACAGTGCAGTAGTTGATGTGAAGACATGTTCCATTGACAACAAATTACAAGATGTTGGTAACGATGAAAAAGCTACCTCAATTTCCACTCCATCTGATAGTTATTCATCAGTGAGGAACCCCAGAATAACATCCCTTTGTCTGTTAAAAGACTGTGAAGAAATACGAGATAACAGAGAAAATCAGAGGCAAAATGAGTGTGTCAGTGAAATAAGCAACAGTGAGAAGCATGTGACTTTTGAAAACCATCGCATAGTCTCACCTAAAAATAGTGGTAAGTGTCTGAGTCGTTGGTCACATTCATAAAATTACAAAGTTTATTTTCTCTTCTTACTGGAAAATACCCCTTTCTGATAGATTTGAAAAATACCTCTCCTGAGCATGGTGGACGTGGCTCAGAGGATGAGCAGGAGAGCTTCAGACCTTCCACGTCACCACTGAGTCATTCTTCTCCTAGTGAAATTTCTGGAACGAGTTCATCAGGGTAAGTGTGTACCTTCTTTTTTAAAAAATAAAAATATGCGTTCAGTATAGGAACTGGGAAAAAAATGTGTAAAGAAGAAAAATTATCTGTGCATTCGTCTCTCAAAGGTAACTCTTGTAAGCTGTGAATTTCTTTCCAGCTATTTTTCTGTGCAAACTTTTGTATATTGCTTTTTTTTTTACTCTTTATAACAATCATTCTCTGAATTTAAAAGAAAACTAGTAATGTTACAGACTGCATAATGGATCTGTCATGGTTCACTTGATACTTCTGGTGAAGACTTTGTATCTTAACTGTTTTGCTATATAAATGATATTGGGATGAATAACTTTGTTCATAAAATTTTAATTTTATGAATGTCTTTTGTGGCTTTATAAAAGATCTTTAATATGTTTATTGAAAGAGTCTAATAAATGGAAAAACTTGCCTAACCAGCAAAATTATCAAAAATGTTAAATGTAGTTTTGATTTGTTTCAAAATATTGGATTTCAAAGATACCTATTAACTATTTACCAAGCTGCCATTAAAGTTTTTCATGTTCATCTGAAGCAACATGGTACGGTTCAGCTAGTGCTCAATGTCAATGGAGAGCTTAGTTCCTTCTATGACTCCTTATGGATGCCTCAGTTTGAAACACTTTCATATACATATACACAGTCACTTCTTATTTAATAGTTAATTGCTTTTTTTTTTTTCTTTTTTTTTCCGACAGAGTCTCGCTCTGTGGGCCAGGCTGGAGTGCAGTGGTGTGATCTTGGCTCACTACAACCTCTGCCTCCTGGGTTCCAGCGATTCTCCTGCCTCGGTCTCCCGAGTAGCTGGAACCACAGGCACGTGCCACCATGCCTGGCTAATTTTTGTATTTTTAGTAGAGATGGGGTTTCACCATGTTGGCCAGGCTGGTTTTGAACTCCTGACCTCAGGTAATCCACCTGCCTCGGCCTCCCAACGTGCTGGGATTACAGGCATGAGCCACTGTGCTTGGCCTGCATATTTTAACAGATGTATTACCAGTCATCCAGCCCAAAGCAAATTTGAAGATCATCTGGCTGTGACATGGTGTAGTATGTTTACAGTCTTTGGCTTACACGTTTTTTCCCTTATGTTTCTTATAGGTATTGCTTTACTGTCCCTATGGAAGACTAGAGGGATATCTGAGACTAGCCTGATTCTTTTTGCCTTTGAATTGACTTGATGTTTTTGCCAAAATTCTTTATTTTTCTAGTCTAATAATTGCATTAGGGTATATCTCTGTTTGATTCTTCATTGTTACTTTGCTCTGTCATACAGTATACCCTTTCGGTATGTCTTCCCTTTTATTTTGCCTGTGTTCTTGCAGTTCAGTTTTCATTATTTGAGATAATTTCACCTAAAAGCATTTGTTCTTGTTAACCAAAGGAGTCAAACTAATACAACACATCATCCAGTGACTCAGAACATTTTCCGTGCTGTATCATACTGTGTGTATGTGTTTGTGTGTGTGTGTGTGCGTGTGTGCGGGAGTGCATGTGGATACAGAAACCCATGTAGGTTCATGTCATGCGGGAGCTAAAGAAGGCCTGAAGCAATTTGGTTAGTAATACTTTGTTGCTGTTGGTTAGAAACTTACTAACTGGTATTTTGACAATACCGTCTTGATTTGGGACTTTTTATTTATTTTTTATTTTTTTTGAGACAGAGTCTCTCTCTCGCCCAGGCTGGAGTGCAGTGGTGCAATCTCGGCTCACTGCAAGCGCCGCCTCCCAGGTTCACGCCATTCTCCTGCCTCATCCTCCCGAGTAGCTGGGACTACAGGTGCCCGCCACCATGCCCAACTAATTTTTTGTATTTTTAGTAGAGACGGGATTTCACCGTGTTAAACGGGATGGTCTTGATCTCCTGACCTCTTGATCCACCCTCCTCGGCCTCCCAAAGTGCTGGGATTACAGGCGTGAGCCAACGCACCCAGCCAATTTGGGACTTTTTAAAAGTTCAGAATTCAAATTTGAATTTTCTGTGTACGTCCATTGCCTAGCTGAGTATTCTGAACTTTGTACAAAAAAGAAAGATGGTGGAATCCATCCAAGTGAAGGGCTGAATTCAAGCTAACTGGCAGAGCATAGGTGTGGAGACTGTTTCCAAATGTGGCTTGACACTTATTTCCTATCCCCTGTGCTCTTTTGCACTGTGACTTTGCCGCTTCCCCTCAAGAGGTGCAGTCCGTTTCCTGCTCCTTGCATCTCGGCTGGCAGCCCTGTGAAAGGTGCTTAATGAACAGAATAATGAGGAAGTAACCCTGGTGTTTGTGCAGATAGATGTGAGACTCACTATTTGTCACTTCCTGATCTTTTCATTTTACGTTGTGTAGCAGGGACATCTTTCTGAACCAAGGCTAGAACAGCATGCTTTTGAATGGCTGCATAGTGTTGTATTGCATGTTTGTGCTCTAATTTCTGTAGCTCAGTTCCTCCTGTCTGATTTAAGCTTTCCTACTTTTTGTCCACAGTGATGTGGACATGTCCTTTTTGTGAAGTCTTTATATTTATCATTAATTTTTTTTCTCAGGATAAATTCCTAAATGTAGAATATCTGAGTCAAGAGGCCTTTGATATGTACTGCTTAATTGCTCAACCAAAAGTTGTACCACTTGATAGTCCCACAGTGGTGTGTGACTGTTCCCATTTCTTTGCACTTATCTGCATGATTTTTTTTCCTCTTTGCTCGTTGAGGGTTGGAATCTTCTGTTCATTTCTCTATATCAGATACTTAGCAGATTTTTATAGCATGAATAGCTAATTGCTAATAATGAATTGCTGTGTGTCTTTATATGGTATTTATTAATGAAAATGCCACAATACATTTTACACTAGTTTAACAGATGCTTCATTCAATGGGAATATTCTTTACAATTTTAGATAATTAAGTGTAAACATTGAATTTGTGGTTGAGTCATTTGCAAGATTGTAGGCCCATAGGAATGGTTTTTTGCTAATGTAGATAGTTGAAGGACTGGAGAACTCCAGGTGTGAGCTACTCTTCTCTTTCAGGTGTGCGTTAGAGTCCTTTGGTTCAGCAGCTCAGCAGCAGCAGCCTCCCTGTGAGCAGGAGTTGTCTCCCTTGGTGTGCTCGCCTGCTGGGGTGAGCAGGCTGACGTATGTGTCTGAACCAGAGAGCTCCTATCCTACCACAGCCACAGATGATGCCCTGGAGGACCGCAAGGTGGGCAGCCACTTGGATTATTTATTACTAAGGCTTTCAACTCTTAAAAGTGTTAACAGATGTTTGATTCAGACTACAGTTCAAGCCTATATAACTTCAGTGTTGCTCTTTTATCTTTAAAATGATTTTTGTATTTGTGTGCACATATTAAATACCTACTCATGCTGGTAGACACAGAGGTACAAACATTTTAGGATCTGCCCTTGAAGAGCTCTGTCTGGTGAGGCACGCTGTGTAATGAAGTGCATCATGCTGCGCGCATACTATGGGGACTCAGAAGGTGGTGGTTGGAAGTCTGACTGCCTTTGCTTCAGCAAAGGTTTCTGCAGGGATAAATACACTGAAGCCACACCGTGCAGGACTGCTAGGAGTTAGGCAGCGGGGAAGCAGAGTTAACACATGGGGAGGTGGAGAGTTGTAAGATACAAACTGCATCTGGGCACTCCAGGAAGTTTAGAACGGCCACAGTGAATCATGTCAATAGGGAGAAGTGTATGAGGCTAGAAGAGGGGGGACCAAACCGGGAAGGGTGCTGGGTTTAAAATACGGGAGTTTGAAGGCTTTTTAGCAGGTCACTGTCATGATCTGTTTTGATTTTGTTTTGTTTTTGTATTTTTTAGAGACGATCTCGCTCTGTCACCCAGGCTGGAGTATGGTGGCACGATCACAGCTCACTACAGCCTGGGACCGCTGGTCTCAAGGGATCCTCCTGCCTCAGCCTCCCAAGTAGCTGGGACTACAGGTGTGCACTACCACACCTGGCTAATTTTTCATTTTTTTTTGTAGAAACAGCTTCTTGCCATGTTGCTCAGGCTGGTCTTGTACTCCTGGGCTCAGGTGTTCCTTCTGCCTCGGCCTCTCAAGTAGCTGGGACTACAGGTGCCTACCACCACATCTGGCTAATTAAAACAAATTTTTTTAGAGATGGGGTCTTGCTATGTTGCCAGAGCTGGTCTTGAACTCCTGGCCTCAAGCGATCTTCCTGCCTTGGCCTCCCAAAGTGGTGGGATTACAGGCATGAGCCACCAAGCCCAGGCTGGTTTGATGTTTTAAAAGCTCACTCCAACAGCAATGAGGAAGGAGGGAACAGTAGGAGCAAAATTAAAATAGGAGATTTGACATGAGGCCACTGTAGTGGTTCAGGCAAGAGACAGTGCACGCTTGGGCCAAGACAGTAGCAGTGGGAATAGAATAGAAGATCAGAGAGATTTATGTGGGAGAAGCTAGTATTAGCTATTTTCGTGTGTGGACGTTGTGGATGTGACAGTGTGCAGTTTTTTGATGAGCTAACTGTGACTGCTGTGGGGATGCTGCATAGTCTTCCTCCACCAAGCCACTGAAGAGTTACTGAATACACAGCGTAGTGTGAGAGCATTACACCCCTTTCTTTGAAAGCTGTCTTTTTCATGTTGTTGTTAGATACTGAGTCTGCATGTTCTTAGCATAGTGGTTGAGAGCTGGGTTATGGTGTCAGATAACTTATCTTCTGCTGCCTCCTCAGACAGATTACTAAACCTCCCTCAACCTGTTTCTTCATCTGTAAGGAGGAATAGTATGTGAGGGCAGTGCTTGTCACCTAGTAAGTCACCACTGGATACATATTATTTGTTATTATTAATTGGCAAATAATATAGTCTTTGTTTCTTAGTGTCTTTATTTCTGAAGCTTTGGCCAGGAGAAATTTATAAACCAAGTACCAAAGCAATCAGTGAAGGTTACGTCTATCTAGTCTGTAAATTTCAGCTGGTCCATCCTGCAGAGCTGCAGATGTCACTCCTCAGATTATGCATTATGTACAAACAAATGAGTGTGGACATTTACCAGGACTGTTAACTTCATGCTTCATAGAGCCACACAAGTTTAGAAATGGGAGAGGGCTTAGAACACATAAAAGTTAACATCTTTGGCCGGGTGTGGTGGCTCATACCTGTAATCCCAGCACTTTGGGAGGCTGAGGCAGGCGGATCACCTGAGGTCAGGAGTTTAAGACCAGCCTGGCCAACATGGTGAAACCCTGTCTCTACTAAAAATACAAAAAATTAGCTGGGCATGATAGCGGGTGCCTGTAATCCCAGCTACTTGGGAGGCTGAGGCAGGAAAATGGCTTGAACCAGGGAGGCGAAGGTTGCAGTGAGCCGAGATTGCGCCATTGCACTCCAACCTGGGCAACAAGAGCGAGACTCTGTCTCAAAAAAAAAAAAAAAAAGTTAACGTCTTTGAATCTTCAAGCCCAGGCAGTAGCATGGACAGATGGTGGGGTGGGGCCCTGCCAGCCTGCTGAGCCGCCGCCTGACCTCAAAGTTGTTACCGTTTCAAGCTTGCTCAGCCCCCACTCCTTCGTTACTAATTTATTTGGATTTTTTTGTAAAGTTTACAGAAATCCCTTAAATCTTCAAAAAGTTACTAGACTCTGGTCGTTTATCTGTGCAAAATTTTCAGATATTCTTAGTGTATACCTCCTATTTATTTTCCTCATGGTATAATTCTTTTTACAAAACAACAAGCACAAATTTTCTAATTTAAGTCTGCATTTCACAACTGCAAGACTACTATTTTTGTGTAAACCAATTTTTTTTCAAAGAGACACCTCATGCACATCTCTTTGTTACTTGAGCTTTTGCCAGCATGTTTCAATTTGTTATATTAAGTTTATCTGTGGATTATTAAAAACAAATTTTGTTGCACTCAGAGTGATATCACCAGCGAGTTGAGTACCACAATTATTCAAGGCAGTCCAGCCGCATTGGAGGAACGGGCTATGGAAAAATTGAGAGAAAAAGTTCCATTTCAGAATAGAGGAAAAGGAACATTATCATCTATTATCCAGAATAACTCTGATACAAGAAAAGCAACTGAAACTACTTCTCTGAGTAGCAAGCCTGAATATGTAAAACCTGACTTTAGATGGAGTAAAGATCCTTCCTCCAAAAGTGGAAATCTGTTGGAAACCAGTGAGGTAGGTTGGACATCAAACCCTGAGGAATTGGACCCGATCAGGCTGGCTCTCCTGGGCAAGTCAGGTCTGAGCTGTCAGGTGGGGTCAGCCACATCACACCCTGTGTCCTGCCAGGAGCCTATAGATGAAGATCAAAGAATAAGTCCTAAAGATAAGTCAACTGCTGGCCGTGAGTTCAGTGGCCAGGTTTCTCATCAGACCACCTCTGAAAACCAGTGTACTCCTATTCCCAGCAGCACAGTTCACAGCTCTGTGGCTGACATGCAGAACATGCCTGCTGCTGTGCACGCACTCTTGACACAACCCTCTCTCAGCGCTGCTCCTTTTGCTCAGCGGTATTTGGGAACACTCCCTTCAACTGGAAGCACCACCTTGCCTCAGTGCCATGCTGGCAATGCCACAGTCTGTGGCTTCTCAGGAGGCCTTCCCTATCCAGCTGTTGCAGGAGAGCCTGTGCAGAACTCTGTGGCTGTGGGAATTTGTCTAGGATCAAATATCGGCTCTGGATGGATGGGTACCTCTTCCCTCTGTAACCCATATTCTAATACCTTAAATCAGAACCTGCTAAGCACAACAAAACCTTTTCCTGTGCCGTCTGTTGGTACAAACTGTGGAATTGAACCATGGGATTCAGGAGTGACATCAGGATTGGGTAAGATGCTTTTTCTCTATTATTATTACTTGCTATTATTTTCTCAAATGACACCACAAAGCTAGTTTGTTTCAAGGAGTTACTGGTTAGCATTAATTCCTTGTAAGTTTTGTGCTTCTTCCTAAACTGAGAACACCGTGTATTTCTGTGCAAGCGTCCCTAAAGTTGGCTTAGAAAAACGCTACACTTATGCAGGTGACAGGCTGCCTATGGCTCTGTCTTCCTTATCTCTCTTTTGCTCTGCCATTCCAGTTTTGTGATTATTTCCCCTAGGAAATGTCCAGTTTAGAATTGAATCCCAGAATGAGTGAGTGCCTCCACCTTGTGAGTCTCTGGGTGGCTGCTGTGGTGGAGAGGCAGCACTCTCGGGTGCATTTGTGGGGCAGCTTCTCTCTGGGAGCTGTGCTTTTACTGACATGGTGCACACGGCCACTGGGGTGCTGTCTTCTCTGCCCTCCGGAGCAACTGCATGAGGATGTTGGAACATAGGTGGTGGTATTAAAATCTGATACGTGTCCACATCTGGAAAGTTAAAGCCTCTGGAGGTTTTTTTTGTTTGTTTTTTTTTTTAGGATAAGAATGACTTACAATTTATGAGAGAAAAGGAGATTACTTACAGGCAGTAACCTCAAAGAATTGATTAGCCGTAATTGTGAGTTTGATCCAATTTTAATTTTTCTTTTCCTGCGCTGGATGGAAGCAGGAAAAAATTGTTGGCAGGCCTCTGAGGCTCATGCAACATCAAGGACTCCTTCATCTGGAGCACTTTGACTCTAGCTCTGTGTAAACAGGCCATCTTATAAACTCATTGCCATTTAACAGATTTGGCTTATAATCAGGGGTTTGCTGTAACTTGCATTTTTGACTGTGCCTTATTCTCACCCAGGGAGTGTCCGAGTGCCCGAGGAGTTGAAGCTTCCTCATGCTTGCTGTGTCGGGATCGCTTCCCAGACCCTCCTCAGTGTGCTTAATCCAACTGACCGCTGGCTGCAAGTCAGCATTGGGGTCCTCAGCATTAGTGTTAATGGTGAAAAGGTAGCTTTCTATGTCTTTCTCATTTAACCTAACAGTTGCATTGTGATTAGGTGCTTGATTTCCCCCATCTCTAGTGCTAGGTTCTCCCTTCACGCCTTTATTAATGCACACAGTCATTGCCATGGTATCTTTCTCTCAGACCCCTTTTGTTGTAGTGCTTGTAGAGTGTAAAGTGAAACAGTTTTGCATTTTCCATCATTTATTATTTATATTTTATTGTTATTTATTGGTAAATTCCTATAAATTTGCTTTTAGTGCTATTATTTAAATCATCAAAAGTTCTGAGTTTCTTGTTTCTACTTGTCAGTTTTGTTAAAGGTGATTGAATATAAGTAACCATGACTTGTAAAAAAAAAAAAAGAAAGCAGTTACTCTTGGAGCTTATGCCTTCATTTGGCAAGGGAAGTCTTTTTAACTAGTTTATCTGATGATTTTCTTACATGAGCTTTTGAAATACCTGGAAATGCAGTTTTAATATGAACTTTTAAGACAGATGTCTCTTACATGATCAATTACAGTTGCTATAATTCTAGACTCTAAATCTTCTCTCCTGGTTACAGTGACCATTTGAACATTGGTGAGTGGAGAGGGGGGATATATGGTCAGCAGCTGTTTTGAAATGTCCCAGTTTTACGACTGTTACTTGTGAATCAGTATTGGTGGATGCTTCCCTCGTGCCTCTTAGTGGCCATCGTCTGCCTGGTAAAATAAGATCGCCTCCCCCTACGCCGTCTTGGCTTTTCCCCTCTACTTCCAGTCCTTAGGTTAGATGAAAAGTAGGTGATTGAAGGAGAGGATTGAGGGTGGAAGGTGGGCTGTGAAGACTTTTTGGGGGCATCCTGGAGTCTGTGAATGAAGCAGTGTTGTCTATGGAAGTGGGGAGTAGAAAAGAAGATCCCCATTGACAGTGAGGAGGGAGGGTGGCTGGAGTTGTCACTGCAGTCGAGGCGGAGTCAGGGCTGTGGGACCTCAGCGGTTAGCCTGACTCTTCTTCCCCCCAGCCCCCACCCACTGCTGTGTTGTGTGTGCTAGAGAGACTTACAGGGCTGTGAAAGAGTGACCTTTGTCAGTGTCCTTTTTAAGACAAGTGAGTGTAAGGGTCAATGTGCTTGCTTGGAGGTGGACTGGGGAGACAGCCTTGGTGCAGCAAGAACATTCAACTCAGGAAGCATTTGACTCGTTGTACTTCAGAGACCATAAATGACAAGGTTTTGACATTTTTGAAGAGATAATAAATGTTTTAATTTGGCAGTTTGAGTGATTGGGAAAAGGAATCTTAAACTAGGTGATTCTACTTGATTTTCAGTGTGAAGCCATTAATAACGAACTTTATGGCTCTTTTTTGAAGGTGGATCTTTCAACATATCGTTGTTTAGTTTTCAAGAATAAAGCCATCATAAGACCTCATGCCACAGAAGAGATAAAAGTGCTTTTTATACCATCCAGTCCTGGGGTTTTCAGATGCACATTCAGTGTTGCTTCTTGGCCATGTTCGACAGATGCTGAGACCATCGTACAGGCAGAAGCTTTGGCCAGCACCGTCACTCTCACTGCCATTGCCGAGAGTCCTGTTATTGAGGTACCTGTTTGAAAATGAATCTTTGTCATACCTGGCATTTTAAAGAAGACTGTTTAACCTTAGAAGTAAAATTTGGGAAAAAGAAATTTGTGGACGAAGGTGCCACAAAATTAGTTTCAAGCTGAACTTTGGTTCTTAATATCTTTTTATTTCAAAATTTAAAATTATTTTTAGTTTTACAGTAACACAAGTATACTTGCTTAGATATCTATAAAGCAGAGTATAAGGTTAAACACTATTTTCCACTGATTTCCATTGTATTATTAGATGTGCACTTAGCAACATGCCAGTGGTTCATATTCTTTTTATATTTCTGTACCTGGAGATTATTTGTCAGCTAGAAAAGTTTCCCTTCTCTAGTCACCTATTTTCTGGAAGCCAAAGAAATTAGGTCTGGCCAAGTTGGGATAATAAGTGGTCATTGGATTATATGCTCATTTAGGATGATGACTCTCAACCATGGCTGCACATTGGAATAACACTGGGGGCTTCTAAATGTACCCCAATACCTGAGTCCCACTTAGACTGACTAAATCAGAGCGAGGGAGGGTGTGGCTGCCTCTCGGTAATTTTCAAATCTTCCCAGATGATTACAAATCATAGCCTTAGTTAACAACCACTGCTTTACAAGAGCTATCTCCTCTTAGTTGATAGTGAAATCAGAACTAACATTGAAAAAAATTAAGGAATGTGAGAGGGAGAGATGGGAGGGTGCAGAATAGAGGAAAAGCAGAACAGGTCTTGATACAGTCCTGAGTCGCTTAACAATAGGGATATGCCCTGAGAAATGTGTCCTTAGGCAATTTTGTCATTGTGTGAATATCACGGAGTGTACTTACACAAACCTAGATGGCACAGCCTTCTGCACGCCTAGACCTTATGGGATAGTCCATTGTTCCTAGGCTATGTACCATTGTTCCCATACAGCTTGTTACTGTACTTAATACTGTAGGGCAGTTGTAACACCATGATAAGTGTTTCTATAGCTAAACATAGAAAAGGTACAGAAAAAATACATTATAAAAGATTTAAAAAATGGTACATTTTATAGGGCACTTACCAGAGGACTCGAAGTTGCTCTCTGTGAGTCAGTGGTAAAGGCCTAGGACATTACTGTACACACTTGGAGACATTATAAACACTGTACATTTAGGCTACACCAAATTCATAAAAGAAATTATACTATGATGTTATGATGGCTATATCACAAGGTGTTAGGAATTTTCCATCTCCATTATAATCTTATGGGATCACTGTCCTGTATACAGTCCATCATTGACCAAAACATCATTATGTAGCATGTGACTTTAATTAAAAATTAGTTGATTTCACCTGGGCACTGGCACACACCTGTAATCCCAGCACTTTGAGAGGTCAAGGTGGGTGGATTGCTTGAGCCCAGGAGTTCGAGACCAGCCTGGACAACATAGTGAGACCATGTCTCTACACAAAATTTTAAAAATCAGCTGGGTGTGGTGGTGCATGCTTGTGATCCCAACTACTCAAGAAGCTAAGGTGAGAGGATCACTAGAGCTCAGGAGTTTGAGGCTATAGTGAACTATGATCACATCACTACACTCCAGCCTGGGCAACAGAGCGAGACCCAGTCTTAAAAGGAAAAAAAAAAAATGAACTAATTTCCTAATATGTGAATTGAACTTAACATATTTAGCTAACCACACTTAACAGATGTTACTGATTTCCTCCTAAAGTTAATTAGTTGTTTCAGGCCAGATGTGGTGTCTCATGCCTGTAATCCCAGCACTTTAGGAGGCCGAGGCGGGCAGATCACCTGAGGTCAGGAGTTAGCAACCAGCCTGGCCAACATGGCAAAACCCTGTCTCTAGTAAAAATATAAAAATTAGCCAGGTGTGGTGGCGGGCGCCTGTAATCCCAGCTACTCAGGTGGCTGATGCAGGAGAATTGCTTGAACCTGAGAGGCGGAGGTTACAGTGAGCTGAAGTCACGCTATTGCACTCCAGCCTGGACAACAGAGCAAGTCTCTGCCTGAAAAAAAATAAAGTTAATTAGTTTTTTCATTCCACAAAGCTGTAACTGTGACTTGCAGTTTAGAGGTAGGTGTTGGGGATGAGACACAGGGCAGCCACTCTGGGAGACAGGTGAGAATCACCAGTGTTTTCCCCACAGTACACGTTCTCTAGGGGAATGCTTAGTAACCTAGCTCAACGACTTTATTTTCTAGGGCATGGAGGAGGAATTTGATTGGAAATGTTCTTTATAAAGTTTTTTTTCCATGTTTTTGTGTTCCTGTGTTCTTATGTTGATATTTGCACATATTATAAACTTTTAGTGATCTTTTTCTTTTTGGCTAAGTGCCATTTTATATACTTCTCAGTCAGCTCTGCTCTGCTTGCTTTTCTTTAGGTCAAGGATTTTTAGCATTAACACTACTGCCATTTTGGGCTAGAAGATTTTTTGAGGGTGGGAAAGGCTGTCTTGTGCAGTGTAGGATGTTTAGCAGCGGCCCTGGCCTCTACCCACTGGGTGTCAGTAATACCCTTTTCCCCACTGTGATAACCAGTAACGTCTCCAAACATGGTCAAGCCATCCCTGGTAGGAACCACTGAGAACTGGTGTTATTAACCTCCTGCATTTAAATACATTTCACTATATCAGACTGTTGAGCCTACCTTTAAGCAGTTTACCTTTCTGTAGCAGACATGATAAATCACATTTATGCAATATTTGGCATTGCTGTGTCCCGAGCGGCTCACATATATCAGTGGTGTTTGGTAGTAGAAGGCAGTGGTTCCCTACTGGTGTGCTCATTGGAATCACCTGATGAACTTCAAAAACTACTGATGTCTGTGTCTGAGCTTTGAGTCCAACAAACAGACAAGTTTGGGAACCACTGGTGTAGGGAATAGTTCAGTGTTAAGCCAGTTAAAAGCTGCCTTCTTGGAGGAGTGGAACTAGAGGAATTAGGCCCTGATGGTTCAGTAGGATTTGACTAGAGAACAACATTCCCTGTGAGAGAGCATTCAGGAATTTTATATAGAGGCCACATGCATAGAAACTGTTAGATTACTTTCTCAACGTGATAAAGCGTCTCCCAGGTACATAATACAAATGTTACAGTTTAAAGTATATGCACCTTTATTTTGGCTAGATATTGCCAATTTGCTCTCTAACTTACATTCCTAGAAGAAATGTGTGCAGGTTCCTGTTATTGCTAACATTTGGTACTGTTAGATTTTTTTTTTTTTTAATCATTCTGGAGTGGTATGGAATTTTTTTTAATTTAAAATTTTTCTTTTATTTAAAAAATTTTTTGTGGGTACCTAAATAGGTGTATATATTTATGGGGTACATGAGATGTTTTGTTTCAGACATGCAGTGTGAAATAAGCACATCATGGAGAATAGCTTATCCCCTCAAGCATTTATCCTTTGAGTTACAAATAATCCAGTTACATACTTTAAGTTATTTTAAAATGCACAATTATTATTGGCTATAGTCATCCTATTGTGCTGTCAAATAGTAGGTCTTAATTCATTCTTTCTATTTGTTTAGTACCCATTAACCATCCCCACCTCACCCCCAACCCCTACCCTTCTGAGCCTTTCATAACCATCTTTCTATTCTCTATGTCTGTAAGTTCAATTGATTTGATTTTTAGAAACCAGAAATAAGTGAGAACGTGATGTTTGTCTTTCTGTGCCTGGCTTATTTCACTTAACATAATGATCTCCAGTTCCATCCATGTTGTTGCAAATGACTGGATCTCATTCTTCCTATGGCTGAATCGTACTCCATTGTGTATATGTACCACGTTTTCTTTATCCATTCATCTCTTGATGAACACTTAGGTTGCTTCCAAATCTTAGCTGTTGTAAACAGTGCTGCAATAAACATATCTCTTTAATATACTGATTTCCTTTCTTTTGGGTATCTACCCAGCAGTGGAATAGCTGGATCACATGGTAGCTCAATTATTAGTTTTTTGAGGAACCTCCAAACTGTTCTCCATAGTGGTTGTACTAATTCACATTCTCATCAACAGTGTACGAGGGTTCCCTTTTCTCCACATCCTCACCAGCATTTGTTATTGCCCGTCTTTTGGATATAAGCCATTTTAACTGGGGTAAGATGATATTTCATTGTAGTTTTGATTTGCATTTCTCTGATGATCAGTGATGTCGAGCACCTTTTCATATGCCCATTTGATATTTGTATGTCTTCCTTTGAGAAATGTCTATTCAAATATTTTGCCCAGTTTTTGATTGGATTATTAGATTTTTTCCCATAGAGTTGTTTGAGCCCCTTATATATTCTGGTTATGAATCCCTTGTCAGATGGGTAGTTTGCAAATATTTTCTCTCATTCTGTGGGTTGTCTTTTCACTTTGTTGATTGCATCCTTTGCTGGGTAGAAGCTTTTTAGCTTGATGTGATCCCATTTGTCCATGTTTGTTTTGGTTGCCTTCGTTTGTGGGGTATTGCTCAAGAAGTCTTTGCCCAGATCAATGTCCTGGAGATTTTCCCCAATTTTTTTTTTTTTTTTTTGAAATGGAGTCTCGCTCTGTCACCCAGGCTAGATTGCAGTGGCGTGATCTCGGCTCACTGCAACCTCTGCCTCCCGGGTTCAAGCTGTTCTCCTGCCTCAGCCTCCCGAGTAGCTGGGATTACAGGCATGCACCACCACGCCTGGCTAATTTTTGTATTTTTAATAGAGATGGGGTTTCACCATATTGGCCAGGCTGGTCTTGATCTCCTGACCTTGTGATCCCTCCACCTCAGCCTCCCAAAGTGCTGGGATTACAGGCGTGAGCCACTGTGCCTGGCCCCAGTGTTTTCTTGTAGTAGTTTCATAGTTTGAGCTGTTAGGTTTAAGTTTTTAATCCATTTTGATTTGATTTTTATATATGGCAAGAGACAGGAGTCTAGTTTCACTCTTCTGCATATGGATATCCAGTTTTCCCAGCGCCATTTATTCAAGGGACAGTCTTTTCCCAAGTGTATGTTCTTGGCACCTTTGTCAAAAATGAGTTCACTGTAGGCCGGGCACGGTGGCTCATGCCTGTAATCCCAGCACTTTGAGAGGCCAAGGCAGGTGGATCACGAGGTCAGGAGATTGAGACCATCCTGGCTAACACAGTTGAACCCCGTCTCTACTAAAAATACAAAAAATTAGCCAGGCGTGGTGGCGGGCACCTGTAGTCCCAGCTACTTGGGAGGCTGAGGCAGGAGAATGACGTGAACCCGGGAGGCGGAGCTTGCAGTGAGCCGAGATTGTGCCACTGCACTCCAGCCTGGGCGACAGAGTGAGACTCCATCTCAAAAAAAAAAAAAAAAAAAGAGTTGACTGTAGGTGTGTGGATTTGTGTTTGGGTCCTCTATTCTGTTCCTTTGGTCTGTGTATCTGGTTTTATGCCAGTACCATGCTGTTTTGGTTACTGTGGCTCTGTAGTATAATTTGAAGTTAGGTAATGTGATTCCTCCAGTTTTATTCTTTTTGCTTGGGATAGCTTGTCTATTCTAGGTCTTTTGTGGTTCCATGTAAATTTTAAGATTTTGTTTTTCTATTTCTGTGAGGTAGTATGGACGTTTTAACAATGTTGATTGTTCCAGTCTGTAAACATGGAATGTTTTTCTATTTTTTTGTGTCCTCTTCAATTTTCTTCATCAGTGTTTTATACTTTTCATTATAGAGGTCTTTTACTTCTTTGATTAAGTTAATTCCTGGGTATTTAATTCTATGTGTGGTATTGTAAATGGGATTACTTTTTAAATTTCTTTTTCACATAGTTCAGTGCTGGCATATAGAAATGCTACTGACTTTTATATGTTAATTTTGTATTCTGTAATTTTACTGAAAGTTTTTTAATCAGTTCTAATAGTTGTTTTTTTTTTTTAAACATGGTCACTTACTTTAATAACAATACATATACCATGTTATCACCATGGGATGTAAATTCAGGTTAGACAAGATAATTTCCCAAGTGTAATAGCATTCTGTGGTATATAAAAGTTTGTGTATGTTCTCCAGCCAAACCAACTTGCTCAGAGGTCATTAATCGCTTCCATTATAGGTAATTTGTTTAGTTTAATGTTTACAGTTCTTAGGGAGAAAATAACACACATTTAAAAATTGTTCATTTTTTCCATGAGTGCTTAAAATACATATTTCTATTTCATGATGACATTTAAAACTTATTCTAATATAACAACAGCAAAAATATAGTCTGCAGTTACAAAAGAACTAAACTAGAATCCATAAGTTATGCTCATGTGTACAATTGTGATTCTTTAATCAATACTATTCCTATGCAGCTCTATTGTAAGCTTTTGAGATTTGGTTTAAGCACACACACATACATACTGGCAGTTGTGGGAGGCTTTACAAGTTATATTCCATGCACTCTTTGGACAGAGTTCTAAAAGAGCCAGCCAGTCCACAAGACAGGCAGAAAAAAGTTAAATTAACTGGGGCAAATAGGACTCTTATATAACATCCAAAACATGAGATTCTGCAACAAACTGGGGGTACTACAGGGTTGGCCTGGTGTCTTCTCTAGAACTAATCTCATCACACAGTTTAAGATGGACATTTCAACACCATCAAGTGCATTTAGGTGACATGTTTCTTTTATGTTAACTCGACGTCCTTGAATGGCCTAGTTAGTAAACTAGTCACTAGTAATTCGGTCACCAGGCAAATCAAGCCTGCAAGAAAGGAAGTCAATATTCAAAATGCCATGTTACCGTCTGAACTCAAATAGTTTACTTTCAACATTAATATGTAACTTCAATAATGAGATGTCTAACTAAAGCAAACTCCTTCAACTAGATAAAGACAGCATCTCATTTAAATGCTCATCTTTTCCTTCCATATTACCTTTGACTAATGTTTTAGTTCTAAACAGTTTTTACAGTCCCAACATTAACATTGTTAACAGATTTATCAAGCTATTTATACATCTTTTTGCTAACCATTGCTTCATGAATCTCTTGCTTTTCCCTTTGTTACGGACTCTGTTATCTACATTTAAAGTGAATTTACTTCAAAGTTTATTTCATGTTTCTAGTTCTTGGGTTACTAACGCTTCTACTAGTTACTTTTGCTGAGTCTTCCTGATTTTCTTCTAGTGGCTTCTGATTTTTTGATATTTAAAAATTTTTAATGTGAGCTCACATTCATTGAGGCTGCTTTTTGCTTTAGGAATCCAATGATGTGTCCTAGTCTTTGGAAGCGTCCCTTGAGAGTACTTTTGCAGAAATGTTTGAGGTGTTAAAAGCCTTTGTGATTTTTTTCAGCTTGGGGCTCCCATGTCCCATGTGGCCTAGGCGTAGGCTTTCATGTTCTTGCAAATAATCTTCTATGCCACCCCTCTCTGGACAGGTTCCTTGTTGACTCCATAGACATGTGGACAGTTTTTTCAGTTCATTCCTTTGAGTTTCTGGGCTTTATATGCAGATTTCAAATTCCATTCGAGCCTCACCCTGCTCACAACAAGCTTGAAGTCACATCTTCTGTTCTCTGGAACATATTAAAGCTCTACCACCTTGAGCGCAAGTCTGGAACCCAGACCTTTCTGGGCCACCATGGAAATCAGCTCCTACTTACTGGTCTGCCTTTGATCTCTACTTATTTTGTGTTTGGCTAGAGCAAAACAAAATGTGAGCACGTCTGTGTGTGTGTGTGTGTGTGTGTGTGTGTGTGTGTGCCTGTATAATACAGTCTGTCTTCTGTATCTGTGGATTCTGCATTCTTGTGTTTTACTAACCTTGGATCAGAAATATTCAGAATAATAAAAGGGGTAGTTGCATCTGTATTGAACATGTACAGACATTTTTTTCTTGTCATTATTCTCTAACAATAAAGTATAATGGCTATTTACATAGCATTTACATTATATTAGGTACATTATGTTAGGTGTTTGAAGTATACAGGAGGATGTGCCTAGGCTATATGCAAATACTATGACATTTCCTATCGGGGACATCCACGAGTTTTGATATCCGGTGGGGGTTCCTGTACTGTCAAACATTTCCACATGTGGGTGTGTGAGGGGTCTGAGTTTGGTTGGTTTCCCGCATTTAGGGAAGTGAGTCTGTCATGATCATAGGCACTTGTTTTAAACTTTTGATATGTCTGTTTTGATACCATTTTAACATTTGCAGATTAAATCTGAAAATGCCAAGATATTCATGATCTTTTTAAAAGGAATTGAGAAGTTGTTATTCTAATAATAGAACCCATTGAAAAGGGGTCTATAATTTTATAAAATTATCAGTTCATCTTAAGATACAGTCTTTTCAAAGTAACAGCAGCTGAATTCTGTAGTATATTTGGGTACATAGACTACCTCAAAAGAAGAATTTAACATTTATTTTTGTAGAAAATAAGCAATTGTTAAATAGCCTGGGAAAATGTAGGTAAGTTTTACTTACTGCTGACTCATAATTTGTGGCTAGAAATGGCAGTGATATGAACATACATGTTGTGCTATTAATATATTGCTTTTCATAAATCATTCCCTTTTTTTGATAATTAGGTAGAAACAGAAAAGAAAGACGTTCTTGATTTTGGTGACTTGACTTATGGAGGCTGGAAAGCCCTCCCACTAAAATTGATAAACCGAACGCATGCCACTGTGCCAATTAGACTGATTATTAATGCTGTAAGTATGAACATACAGTAAGAAACCATTTACAGAATGCACTGATCTTATGAAAGTACATTTTTTTAAGGATTTTGTTAGCAAACTTAGCATTACACTGTTGGCTTTACTGAACTGATTCTTGTATTTCTAAACAGAACGCTGTAGCCTGGCGCTGTTTCACGTTTTCCAAGGAATCCGTCCGAGCTCCTGTGGAAGTTGCTCCTTGCGCTGATGTGGTCACTCGGCTAGCAGGCCCTTCTGTGGTCAACCACATGATGCCTGCTAGTTATGATGGACAGGTGGGAGAGAACTGGCTTAGAATTAAAGAGGAAATTAAGCTTCTAAACCTCTTTTCTTTCATTAAGATAGTAATATTAATACCAGTTTACATTAAGACAAATTTTTCTTTTAATTTTATAGGATCCAGAATTTCTGATGATTTGGGTTCTTTTCCATAGTCCAAAGAAACAGATCAGCTCTTCAGGTATCATGTTTACACTGTGTGGGAATTGCTTTAATCTGTAGCTAGATAAACTACAAATTTGAGATGTATTTCCTTTGTCAATAAATGTCAGTACTTCGAAATCTGTCAACTATTTTATGTTTTTTTGAAATTGAGGCAGATGGCATGCTGTTTTGGGTCAATCCTGTGTAAGTGTGGGTAACTCCTGCAGATAGCACTGAAAACCTTTTAGAATATTTTCTGTTAATTGATCTTATCACATTTACCAGTTGGATGTTTTCTTTCTTTTATCACCTTTCTCTTCACTCATTTCTATTCTTTTAACTCTTTAAAAAATCTGCTTGCCTAAATTTTCTTATTGCCCCTAAGGGCACTGTGTGGGACTGCTGATGGCATTTAGAATTAAATAACTCTCTGGTCTCCAAGCTAAAAGAATGAACTTTTTTTTAGATATTCTGGACTCAGCAGAAGAATTCTCGGCAAAAGTTGATATCGAAGTTGACAGCCCAAACCCTACGCCCGTTCTTAGAAGTGTGAGTCTCCGAGCAAGAGCAGGAATAGCTAGGATCCATGCTCCCAGGGACTTGCAGGTAGCCTCAGTCCTCCTTTCTGCCGTTACTGCTTTCATTCATGCTGATTTCACTTTGTGACAGTTCGTTGAAATGTCTGTCTTGCCCCATCCTCCAGACGATGCATTTCTTGGCCAAAGTGGCTTCCTCAAGAAAGCAGCACTTACCTTTGAAAAATGCTGGGAACATTGAAGTTTATTTGGATATCAAGGTATGCACTTCCATGAGAGTGCCATAAGATAGTCTTTCCTCAGACTGTGAGAGCTCCTTGCTTTCTGCAGGCTGTTGTGCTCTTCCTGGCCCAACAGAGTGCCCTGAACCTCAGATGAAAGAATCGCTGAGAGTTTTTAAAAACTGGGTGTTATATAGCATAAAATATATGCTGTGGTGCTTTTTAAGTTTAAAGTTCAGTGTCTTGAATATGAGAACCAAGTTCTTAGATTAGTTCCTGAAAAACATGCATGTCACCCTTTGGTTAGAGTTGGTGAAGAATGATCCGCACACGTTGACATCATTTCTGAGACCTGAGGGTGAATGAGAGGGGGTTAGTGATCCAAAATTGTGGGTGAGGTGGAAGATAAGGTTTGTTGTAGAAGAGAAAGAAATATCCTTTCCAAGAGAATAGGACAAGTTGAGACCGTGACAGACAAGAAGGGGACAAACAACCTGTCCTGGTAAATGAGAAACGCACGTAAGGCAGGAGCCACTGAGCGAAAACTGCGTTTTTGTAAGTCGGCATTCAATTATGATTATGTAACTATATTTAGGTCCCAGAACAAGGAAGTCACTTTTCAGTGGATCCAAAGAATCTACTCCTTAAACCTGGAGAAGAACATGAGGTTATTGTTTCATTTACTCCAAAGGATCCTGAAGCCTGCGAGGAAAGGTAATATAAAAATGTTATAATGGACCGGGCACAGTGGCTCATGCCTGTAATCCCAGCACTTTGGGAGGCCGAGGTGGGTGGATTACCTGAGGTCAGGAGTTCGAGACCAGCTTGGGCAACATGGCGAAATCCTGTCTCTACTAAAAATACAAAAATTAGCAGGGCTTGGTGGTGTGCACCTGTAGTTTCAGCTACTCAGGAGGCTGAGGCAGGAGAGTCGCTTGAACCCAGGAGGCGGAGGTTGCAGTGAGCCAAGATCACACCTCTGCACTCCAGGCTGGGCGACAGAGAGTCCGTCTCAAAAAAAAAAAAGTTTTAATGACAAAGTTTTACTTGTCTCTCAAAACAGCCACTCACATGTGCTTCAAAATTCCACAGCCTGAATGACAAAGTCCGTATATTTCTTACCTAATACATGGTGTGACTCTGTTTAATCTCCTTTCATTTAGGTTCAGATTGTCTTCTCTTTTTTTGACTAAAAATCTTCTTTTAAACCAGCTGAATCGAAATGAATAAATTACTATTTTCAAGTATATTCTGACAAAAGTAAATAATAAAAGATCAATTTGATGTTTCTCACTTTTTCTCCTGAAACTATTAGTTGACCTTGTCAGCTATTAAGATATCTTTCTCCATTTCTTCTCCAAGCCCATGACTTCTTGGCACCCAAATCATAAGTGAATATCAACTTAGAGTCAGAGCCCCACTGTCGTGAGTACTGAGCTTGCTTGCGTAACCCTAGCTTAAAGTACACTCTCCTCTGAGACACACATGGCTTATCCCCCTGCCTGGGTTATAGAACACTTTATCGTGTGCTCAGTCTGTTCTTGTGACCTTACAGAAGAGGAGAGTCAGGCCTGCACCAGTGTGAATGCCTCTGCCTGGAATGCTAGCCCTCAACCTCCCTGGGCTGGCGCCTTCTGGGAGACTTTCCTCCACTCCTCCCAAATGTCTCATAAATAGCATTCCCAAAGCACGATGGCTTCTCACACCCCCCTGTGCAGATGCCATTGTGATCATCTCTCTTCTTGTCTGTATTCTCTGCAGCACAAGCTCTAAGGGTGGGAATATCATTGTATCCCCAGCACCCAGTTCAGTCTTTTGGACAATGGAAACATATAGGAAATAGTTGCGAAAAGAATTGAATACAGGACCTTCAACTTAGAATTCTTTCTTTCTTAGGATCTTGAAAATATTTGTGCAGCCATTTGGACCTCAGTATGAGGTAGTGTTAAAAGGCGAAGTCATTTCTTCAGGAAGTAAACCTCTGTCACCTGGACCTTGCTTAGATATTCCATCGATTTTGTCCAACAAACAATTTCTGGCTTGGGGAGGAGTCCCTCTAGGTAGAACACAGTAAGTGTCAAAGACTGACAAATCGTCCACTATTTATACATATTTTGGAGCAGACTACAAATTAATGTTTGCAGGAAAATTTTGTCATAATAGACACTCTTCAGGCTCAATTGTGCAGAACTGGAAAAACCTAGATGGGCACGTGTCCTGATTCAGCTTTTCTTTAACATATATTCCAGTCCTGCAAAGAGCACCTGACGCATGACCAACAATACAGTTACTGCTGAGGAGGGAGTATCCCCTTAAATTCACTGCCACTCTGTATTTTTCAAAAGCCAGCTGAGAGAGAGATTTATGGAGAGCTGCATAGAGAATATGCAGTACATCCATTCTTCTAAATGATCTAAATTTCTCAGTCAACAACCACATAGTTTTAGCAAAACCCATGAAAGTGTTTTTAATGCACCAGACTTGGGTGTCATACTTCCCGACCACACCGAATGGAGCACCGAAGGGAGAGGGGTACCTTAGGAAATGGGAGGTAGTATTTACTGTAAAATTGTTTGTTGTTGTTTTTTTTTGAGACTCCCTGTATTGTACAGGTTTATCTTTAAAAGTATCTCTGGAAGAAACATCTCTCAGAAGCCTATGGCAGAAACAGTTACACTTCACTCAAGCAATAACTGGCTTGTTCTTGACTTTTGAGTACATTTAACTGATGATATGACTCTATGGAAACCTAGCCTCTCCCATCCCACCTGATAACTAACTCTATACTTGAAAATGATAACCACAGTGCTTTACAAATTATTAAATAAATACATGAGAATGAAAACTTTACAAAATAATGTTTCTTTCACGTAATTCTTCCCCAGTCATTGTACCTGTGGAAGGCTTTTCCTGGAGATGTCAATAGCCAAAGTTGTCTGCGTTTCTCTTAACACAAGGTGGATGAGACGTAGACCTCAGCTGCTGATTTATTAGCTGCTGATCTTCCCCAAATTTGAGTAAAACAGAGATTTACTCATGTATTCTCTGTTCTCCAATGAAGACAGCATTCACATAGTTTCCACAATTGAAGTGTTTTTATCAGTCAGGTGCTATTTTATGTCCATTCTTTTGCATTGTAGCTTCTTTAAAAGTAGAGTTAATTCAATATACTGTGTAAAAGACTACTTTGTGCAAATGAGCCTCTTAGCCTAGGACCCCTTGTTTCCCTGAAAGCTCGCTTGGTTGAGCCAGGTATTCCAGGTAGGTGTGATATTGACTTAATGACTCGATGAATTTCTTCACCTGGATTTTCATTGATTGATGTTTTATATGACAGATAATACCTATACACATAGTATTAATAATAAGGTCAGCTGCAGAGCTATAACTGGAGAGAGATTAAACCAAAAAGCCTCTATAAGGTGAGTCTTGAGCCTACAATTTCAGAAACGTAGAGCCTAGGACTGTGGGGAGACAATTCCAGGCTACTGAAATGGCTTGTATAGTTAGTCCATCTCTAGACATTGTGGTTGGTTTTAATTGGCTTTATTCTTATAATGGTAGCAATATCCATGGAGAAAAACCATATTTAAAATGTCTAATTGTTTTTAGGCTTCAGAAACTAGCTTTAAGAAATAATTCTGCATCTACAACTCAACATTTACGACTGCTTATTAGAGGACAAGATCAGGACTGCTTTCAGGTTCGTAGAGTACGTGGATTCTTGTTATGTCTTCTGTCTGGGTCTGGAACACTTGCATATGCAGACCTTTTTGTGTTATTTAGCTTTTAAGAATCTGTGTTAATGGTATGTTTTATTTGTGCTACTGCTTTGTTTTATGCATTTAACTGTTTTTAAATTGTAGCTTCAGAACACTTTTGGTTCAGAACAGCGATTGACCAGTAACTGTGAGATCAGAATTCACCCAAAGGAAGACATTTTCATCTCTGTATTATTTGCACCTACTCGATTATCTTGCATGTTGGCTAGACTAGAAATCAAACAACTTGGAAATCGATCACAACCAGGCATTAAGTTCACAGTAAGATCATTTTATTGCCTTTCCCTTCCCCTGGAGTTTATGCCATTTTATAACTATTGGTTTAATGTTGTAAATTATACAGTCTGCCTTTTATAAGTGAAACTATGTAATTATCTAGACTTACAAACAAGTTAGGGAGTAATTTATATGCTTTGTAGAATTGGCAAGTTATAATAGCAGCCAGCGTAGTATTCCTATAAGTATTAGTCTTTCTAATGCTTTTAAGTTTCATTTTAATTTGGAGATTTTAAAATGTACCCAGCTTTTTAGGAACACATCTTTGGGTAAATCCATGTGGAGCTGTTTAAGATATTAACTTTCCCATTAAATTTTATTTTCTCAATTATCAGCAAAAATACTGTCTCTGTCTGTTCAGTCGGCTATAACTAAATACCACTGAGTAATTTATAATAAACAACAGAAATTTATTGCTCACAGTTCTGGAGGTTGGGAAGCCCAAGATTAGAGCACCAGCAGATGCGGCATCTGGTGAGGGTTGCCCTCTGCCTTTTTGTCCCCACTCATCGTGAGAAGGACGAGAGTGCTGCCTCCAGTCTCTTTTATAAGGGCACCAAGCCCGTGCATGGGGCTGGAGCCCTCATGGCTTAATCACTTCCCCAAAGGCCCCACCTCTTAGTACTGTCACATTGGGGACTAGGTTTCAACATGTGAATTTGCGGGGGGACATCACCGTTTAGACCATACCAAATACCCATTGACTGAATTTGCCAGCTCCAAGACAAGAGTTTTTATGCTTTTTAATTGCCAGCATAATATGTAAAAAGGATTTGAAGCCATTTGTACAGACACATTCAAAGCAATTAGAGATAAAAGTGATAAATCATAGAGGAAAGGAAGCAACGGCAAGGCAGTCAGAAGAAACTCCAGCTACATGGTTGTGCATGCTTTATAACTGCACAGGTGTTTGGCAGTGGGGCTGGGGCTCAAATTTTTGTTCTATATCCTAGTGTTAAAGAGGGGATGTGATAAATTACAAGATTAACAATATCTAAAAGTTTTTAGAATTAGGTATGTATGACAAATACAGCTTTGACGCTGGAGCTTGAGCTCTGTGTCCTGTGGGGTCACTTGATTGGCCCCATGAGATGGGGTGGGCAAAGCTGTTTAAAGATGTTAGTGGTCATTTTAAAAACTGGCGTCCTTCCATGTGCACCCAGGGGATACTGCCAGAGCCTTTAAGCTCTCTGACGATCTGATTTTGTGTGAGGATAATGCTTGGTTTGTGGAGAGGACTAAATGGGCTGTATTTTTCAGACTTCTTGAATATATTCTGATTTGTTTAGGTTTACTAGCCATGATTTTGAGGTTGTTCTCAAGGAAGAATCTCTAGTAAGTCTCTGGTGATTTAGGGCAGAACCTTTGATTTAATAATCAACCAAGCAGGGGTTTGACATCCTTTGAAGACAAATCGGATCCTGGTGGGATTCCTACCCATATAGATGGCTGCCCTGTCCTCTCACAGAGGTGGGCTGGATGGGGTTTGCCTGTGGGCTATGGATAAATATGGCTATTATTTCACAAGAAGACTCAGAGTATTAACATTGCTGTGCCTTTGTAAAGATAAAGTAGCCTGCAGAGTGGCGGAAGAGCTGTTAACATGACAGGAGAACCCAGGGAGCCAGCCCTGTCTCTGTTACTTACCTCTCTCATCTCATCAGAAGCTACTTGCTGTCCCAACTTACCAATTTGGTTGTGAGGAACAAATGAAATGATCTGTGTTTTGAATACCATAAAGCATGATAGGACTGCAATAAAAATGTATTGATTATTCCATGTTGATTGTATTCTGGGCACTACCCTCAATCACTAAGTGGATGCTGTAATCTGAATGTGTCTCCCAAATTTCTGTATTGGAAACTTACTCTGCAGTACAACAGTGTTGGGAGATGGATCCCTTTGGGAGGTGTTTAGGTCATGAGGCTCTGCCCTCGGGAATGGATTAATGCTGTTATAAAAAGGCCTGAGGGAGGGAGTTTGGCCTTTTTGCCCTTCTGCCTTCTGCCATGCGAGGACACAGCATTTCTTCCCTCTGGAACATGCAGGATTCAAGGTGAGATCTTAGAAGCAGAGAGCAGCCCGGCCGGGTGCGGTGGCTCTATGCCTGTAATCCCAGCAGTTTGGGAGGCTGAGGCAGGTGGATCACGAGGTCAAGAGATCAAGACAATCCTGACCAACATGGTGAAACCCCATCTCTACTAAACATACAAAAATTAGCTGGGCATGGTGGCACACACCTGTAGTCCCAGCTACTCGGGAGGCTGAGGCAGGAGAATCGCTTGAACCCGGGAGGCGGAGGTTGCAGTGAGCCGAGATTGCGCCACTGCACTCCAGCCTGGTGACAGAGCGAGACTCCATCTCAAACAAAAAGAAGCAGAGAGCAGCCCTCACCAGAAACCGGCACCTTGATCTTGGACTTCCAGCCTCCAGAACTGTGAAGAATAAATTTCTGTTCTTTATGAATTACCCAGTCTATAGTTACTGTTATAGCAACACAAACAGACTAAGATGGTGGATTGTCACATTTTTATCTTCAAAACAACCATTCGAGATACTACTACTCTTGCCATTTTGCACATGTGTAAACTGAGGCTGAGAGAGATACGTGGCCGTGATCGTGCATCTTACTTGCTGGTCAGTGGTAGACACAAGGTTCAAATTCAGTCTGGGTGAATGCAGAGCCCACGTTTATGTATTGTGCAGTCTCTAGGGTGCTAATAACAGCTCTGTGTATTGTCATCTGGAGCAGTGGTTCTCAACCAGAGCTTGTGTTACCCCCAGGGGACATTGGCAGAGTCTGGAGTTACTTTTCGTTTGTCATAACTGGGGGCAGGACAAGAGTGCTACTGGCACCAACTGGGTAGAAGCCAGGGAGGCTGCTGAACATCCGAGAAAGCCCAAGACAGTTCCCACCACAAAGAATCATACAGCTCAACATTTCAGTAGCACTGAGGTTAGGAGCAATAGTTTTTCCTGTTTAATCTGTGGATTTACGGTGTTAGATTTGTTTCATTTAATCATTCTTTTTTCTTTTCTTTTTTTTGAGATGGAGTCTTGCTCCATCGCCAGGCGGGAGTGCAGTGGCATCTCGGCTCACTGCAACCTCTGCCCCCCAGGTTCAAGCAGTTCTCTTGCCTCAGCCTCCCGAGTAGCTGGGACTACAGGCGCGTGCCACCACACCCAGCTGATTTTTGTGTTTTTAGTAGAGATGGGATTGTTGGTCAGGATGGTCTTGATCTCTTGACCTCGTGATCCACCAGCCTCAGCCTCCCAAAGTGCTGGGATTACAGGCGTGAGCCACGCACCCGGCCAATCATTCTTTTTTCTTAACCTTGTTACTCTGTAGTAATTTGTGATTTCTTAGGCTTTGAAAATATAGGCAGAATACTTATAATGAGTGTTTTCAAAGGTACCTTTTCCCTTGTTTTTTGCTATTTAGTTTCGTTGATAAAATTTACTCGTACGTTTCTATGGAAAAAGAAAAATTAGAAACATTTTTGCTGTTGAAACTACCAGAGGTCACTTTGAGTGAGGGAGGATTTGTAGGAGCTTCCAATCTGAAACCCTTTTAAATGCTGTTTATTTATTTATTTATTTTGAGACATCATCTCACTCTGTCGCCCAGCCTGGAGTGCAGTGGCGTGATCTCGGCTCACTGCAACTTCCACCTCCCAGGTTCAAGCGATTCTCCTGCCTCAGCGTCTCGAGTAGCTGGGATTACAGGCACCCGTCACCACACCCGGCTAATTTTTGTATTTTTAGTAGAGATGGGGTTGTGCCAGTTGGCCAAGCTTGTCTCAAACTCCTGACCTCAAGTAATCCGCCTGCCTTGGCCTCCAAAAGTGCTGAGATTACGGGCGTGAGCCACTGTGCCAAGCCTGAAATGCTGTTTACTTGTACTAAAAGTCAAGATAGTACAAACTGATGAGGTGCCTGAAACTACTTTTTCAAAATGTTATTTTAGTTAAGTACATAACAACTCGGAATAAGTTATGATGGTTTCAAGTTTGCAAGGAAGTATTTGCAACCTATTTTAGTACAGATTGAGTATCCCTAATCTGAAAATTCAAACTCCACAATGCTCCAGAATCAGAAACTTTTTGAGTGCCAACATGATGCTCAAAGGAAATGCTCTTTGGAGCATTTTGGATTTTGGATTTTTGAATTAGGGATGTTCAGCCAGTATAATGCAGATATTCCCAAATCTAGAACACCTCTGGTCCCAAGCACTTTGAATAAGGGATACTCAACATGTAATTAGGAATGAAAGATAATTTTTAAAGGTGTGCATTTCAAAGAGTATGGAAAGTTTCCAGCAGGGTGAATATTTTCCTTACATTCGAATTTATGGGATGTATTCTGTGAAGGCTTGCTTCCTGCAAGGGTTGAGCCCTGTGGAAGCAGCAGCAGATGGATCCCCAAGCCTGACTCTAGTGTGCTGCTTCCTCCGTTGACAATGTGTCTGTCCTTGAAAAGTTGTTTGAGTTCTTATCTTTAGCTTAGTCCCTTTTGCATGCTTTTCTCTGACACTGGCTAGACTGCACACTAAGAGGATTATAAATACAGTTTTCCCCAAAAACATTTTATTATGAAAAGGTTCAGAATTACTGAGAAGTTGAAAGGATTATACAGTAAACAGTCACATACACTATCACTTAGATTCTATAGTTAACATTTTGCTATATTTCTTCTCCCACATATCCATCCATCAGCTCATCTTTTTAAAATTAATTAATTAATTTTTATTATACTTTTAAGTTCTGGGATACGTGTGCAGAATGTACAGGTTTGTTACACAGGTATACACGTGCCATGGTGGTTTGCTGCACACATCTACCCGTCATCTACATTAGGTATTTCTCCTAATGCTATTCCTCCCCTAGTCCCTCACCCCCTGACAGGCCCCAGTGTGTTATGTTCCCTTCCCTGTGTCCATGTGTTCTTGTTGTTCAACTCCCATTTATGAGTGAGAACATGTGGTGTCTGGTTTTCTGTTCCTGTGTTAGTTTGCTGAGAATGGTTTCTAGCTTCATCCATGTCCCTGCAAAGGACATGAACTTATCCTTTTTTATGGCTGTATAGTATTCTATGGTGTATATGTGCCACATTTTCTTTATCCAGTCTATCATTGATGGGCATTTGGATTGGTTCCAAGTCTTTGCTATTGTGAACAGTGCTGCAATAAACATATGTGTGCATGTGTCTTTATAGCAGCATGATTTATAATCCTTTGGGTATATACCAAGTAATGGGATTGCTGGGTCAAATGATATTTCTAGTTCCAGATCCTTGAGGAATCGCCACACTGTCTTCCACAATGGTTGAACTAATTTACACTCCCACCAACAGTGTAAAAGCGTTCCTATTTCTCCATATCCTCTCCAGCATCTGTTGTTTCCTGACTTTTTAATGATCGCCATTCTTTTGTTGTTGTTGTTGTTGTTGTTATACTTTAAGTTCTAGGGTACATGTTCACAACGTGCAGGTTTGTTACATATGTATACATGTGCCTTGTTGGTTTACTGCACCCATTAACTCGTCATTTACGTTAGGTATATCTCCTAATGCTATCCCTTCCCCTGCCCCCCATCCCACAACAGGCCCCCATGTGTGTGATGTTTCCCACCCAGTGTCCAAGTGTTCTCATTGTTCAATTCCCACCTATGAGTGAGAACATGCGGTGTTTGGTTTTCTGACCTTGTGATAGTTTGCTGAGAATGATGGTTTCCAGCTTCATCCATCTTCCTGCAAAGGACGTGAACTCATCCTTTATTATGGCTGCATAGTATTCCATGGTGTATATATGCCACATTTTCTTAATCCAGTCTATCACTGACGGACATTTGGGTTGGTTCCAAGTCTTTGCTATTGTGAATAGTGCCGCAATAAACATATGTGTGCATGTGTCTTTATAGTAGCATGAATTATAATCCTTTGGGTATATACCCAGTAATGGGATTGCTGCGTCAAATGTATTTCTAATTCTAGATCCTTGAGGAATTGCCACACTCTCTTCCACAATGATTGAACTAGTTTACACTCCCACCAACAGTGTAAAAGTTTTCCTATTTCTCCACATCCTCTCCAGCACCTGTTGTTTCCTGACTTTTTAATGATCACCATTCTGACTGGTGTGAGATGATATCTCATTGTGGTTTTGATTTGCATTTCTCTGATGACCAGTGATGATGAGCATTTTTTTCATGTGTCTGTTGGCTGCATAAATGTCTTCTTTTGAGAAGTGTCTGTTCATATCCTTTGCCCACTTTTTGATGGGGTTGTTTGTTTTTTTCTTGTAAATTTGTTCAAGTTCTTTGTAGATTCTGGATATTAGCCCTTTGACAGATGGGTAGATTAAAAAATTTTCTCCCATTCTGTAGGTTGCCTGTTCACTCTGATGGTAACTTCTTTCGCTGTGCAGAAGCTCTTTAGTTTAATTAGATCCCATTTGTCTATTTTGGCTTTTGTTGCCATTGCTTTTGGTGTTTCAGTCATGAAGTCCTTGCCCATACCTATGTCCTAAATGGTATTGCCTAGGTTTTCTTCTAGGGTTTTTATGGTTTTAAGTCTAACATTTAAGTATTTAATCCATCTTGAATTAATTTTTGAATCAGGTTTAAGGAAGGGATCCAGTTTCAGCTTTCTACATATGGCTAGCCAGTTTTCCCAGCACCATTTATTAAATAGGGAATCCTTTCCCCATTTCTTTTTTTGTCAGGTTTGTCAGAGATCAGATGGTTGTAGATGTGTGGTGTTATTTCTGAGGCCTCTGTTCTGTTCCACTGGTCTGTATATCTGTTTTGGTACCAGTACCATGCTGTTTTGGTTACTGTAGGCTTGTAGTATAGTTTGAAGTCAGGTAGCATGATGCCTCCAGCTTTGTTCTTTTGGCTTAGGATTGTCTTGGCAGTGCAGTCTCTTTTTTTGGTTCCATATGAACTTTAAAGTAGTTTTTTCCAATTCTGTGAAGAAAGTCACTGGTAGCTTGATGGGGATGGCATTGAATCTCTAAATTACCTTGGGCAGTGTGGCCATTTTCACGATATTGATTCTTCCTATCCATGAGCATGGAATGTTCTTCCATTTGTTTGTGTCCTCTTTTATTTCGTTGAGCAGTGGTTTGTAGTTCTCCTTGAAGAGTTCCTTCACATCCCTTGTAAGTTGGATTCCTAGATATTTCATTCTCTTTGTAGCAATTGTGAATGGGAGTTCACTCATGATTTGGCTCTCTGTTTGTCTGTTATTGGTGTATAGGAATGCTTGTGATTTTTGCACACTGATTTTGTATCCTGAGACTTTGCTGAAGTTGCTTATCAGCTTAAGGAGATTTTGGGCTGAGACGATGGGGTTTTCTAGATATACAATCATGTCATCTGCAAACAGGGACAATTTGACTTCCTCTTTTCCTAATTGAATACCCTTTATTTCTTTCTCTTGCCTGATTGCCCTGGCCAGAACTTCCACCACTATGTTGAATAGAAATGGTGAGAGAGGGCATCCCTGTCTTGTGCCAGTTTTCAAAGGGAATGCTTCCAGTTTTTGCCCATTCACTATGATATTGGCTGTGGGTTTGTCATAAATAGCTCTTATTATTTTGAGATATATTCCATCAATACCTAGTTTATTGAGAGTTTTTAGCATGAAGGGCTGTTGAATTTTGTCAAAGGCCTTTTCTGCATCTATTGATATAATTATGTGATTTTTGTCGTTGGTTCTGTTTATGTGATGGATTACATTTATTGATTTGCATATGTTGAACCAGCCTTGCATTCCAGGGATGAAGCCAACTTGATCATGGTGGATAAGCTTTTTGATGTGCTGCTGGATTTGGTTTGCCAGTATTTTATTGAAGATTTTCCCATCGATGTTCATCAGAGATATTGGATTAAAATTCTCTTTTTTTGTTGTGTCTTTGCCAGGCTTTGGTATCAGGATGATGCTGGCCTCATAAAAAATGAGTTAGGGAGGATTCTCTTTTTTTCTATTGATTGGAATAGTTTCAGAAGAAATGGTACCAGCTCCTCTTTGTACCTCTGGTAGAATTCAGCTGTGAATCCGTCTGGTCCTGGAATTTTTTTGGTTGGTAGGCTATTATTGCCTTAATTTTAGAGCCTGTTATTGGTCTATTTAGAGATTCAACTTCTTCCTGGTTTAGTCTTGGGAGGATGTATGTGTCCAGGAATTTACCATTTCTTCTAGATTTTCTAGTTTATTTGTGTAGAGGTGTTTATATTATTCTCTGATGGTAGTTTGTATTTCTGTGGGATCGGTGGTGATATCCCCTTTACCATTGTTTATTGCATCTATTTGATTCTTCTCCCTTTTCTTCTTTGTTAGTCTTGCTAGCAGTCTATCAATTTTGTTGATCTTTTCAAAAAACCAGCTCCTGGATTCATTGATTTTTTTGAAGGTTTTTTTGTGTCTCTATCTCCTTCAGTTCTGCTCTGATCTTCAGTATTTCTTGCCTTCTGCTAGCTTTTGAATGTGTTTGCTCTTGCTCCTCTAGTTCTTTTAATTGTGATGTTAGGGTGGGCATTTAGTGGTATAAATTTCCCTCTACACACTGATTTAAATGTGTCCCAGAGATTCTGGTACGTTGTGTCTTTGTTCTCATTGGTTTCAAAGAACATCTTTATTTCTGCCTTCATTTTGTTATTTACCCAGTAGTCATTCAGGAGCAGGTTGTTCAGTTTCCATGTAGTTGTGCGGTTTTGAGTGAGTTTCTTAATCCCGAGTTCTAACTTGATTGCACTGTGGTGTGAGAGACAGTTTGTTGTGATTTCTGTTCTTTTACATTTGCTGAGGAGTGTTTTACTTCCAACTATGTGGTCAGTTTTGGAATAAGTGTGATGTGGTGCTGAGAAGAATGTATATTCTGTTGATTTGGGGTGGAGAGTTCTGTAGATGTCTATTAGGTCCTCTTGGTGCAGAGCTGAGTTCAAGTCCTGGATATCCTTGTTAACCTTCTGCCTTGTTGATGTGTCTAATATTGACAGTGGGGTGTTAAAGTCTCCAATTATTATTGTCTGGGAGTCTAAGTCTCTTTGTAGGTCTCTGAGGACTTGCTTTACGAATCTGGGTGCTCCTGTATTAGGTGCATATATATTTAGGATAGTTAGCTCTTCTCGTTGAATTGATCTCTTATGATTATATGATGGCTTTCTTGGTCTCTTTTGATCTTTGTTCGTTTAAAGTCTGTTTTATCAGAGACTAGGATTGCAACCCCTGCTTTTTTTTTTTTTTTTTTTTTTTTTGCTTTCCTTTTGCTTGGTAGATCTTCCTTCATCCCTTTATTTTGAGCCTATGTGTGTCTCTGCACGTGAGATGGGTCTCCTGAATAGAGCACACTGATGGTTCTTGACTCTTTATCCAATTTGCCAGTCTGTGTCTTTTAATTGGGGCATTTAGTCCATTTACATTTAAGGTTAATATTGTTATGTGTGAATTTGATCCTGTCATTATGATGTTAGCTGGTTATTTTGCCTGGTAGTTGATGTAGTTTCTTCCTAGCCTCGATGGTCTTTACAATTTGGCATGTTTTTGCAGTGGCTAGTACCAGTTGTTCCTTTCCATGTTTAGTGCTTCCTTCAGGAGCTCTTGTAAGGCAGGCCTGGTGGTGACAAAATCTCTCAGCGTTTGCTTGTCTGTAAAGGATTTTATTTCTCCTTCACTTATGAAGCTTCGTTTGGCTGGATATGAAATTCTGGGTTGAAAATTCTTTCCTTTAATATGTTGAATATTGGCCCCCACTCTGTTCTGGCTTGTAGAGTTTCTGCTGAGAGATCAGCTGTTAGTCTGATGTGCTTCCCTTTGTGGGTAACCCGACCTTTGTCTCTGGCTGCCCTTAACATTTTTTCCTTCATTCCAACCTTGGTGAATCTGACAATTATGTGCCTTGGGGTTGCTCTTCTCGAGGAGTATCTTTGTGGTGTTCTCTGTATTTCCTGAATTTGAATGTTGGCCTGCCTTGCTAGGTGGGGAAGTTCTCCTGGATAATATCCTGCAGTGTGTTTTCCAACTTGGTTCCATTCTTCCTGTCACTTTCAGGTACACCAATCAGATGTAGATTTGATGTTTTCACATAGTCCCATATTTCTTGGAGGCTTTGTTTCTTTTTACTTTTTGTCCTAAACTTCTCTTCTCACTTTATTTCATTCATTTGATCTTCAATCACTGATATCCTTTCGCCCACTTGATCGAGTTGGCTATTGAAGCTTGTGCATGCATCACGTAGTTCTTGTGCCATGTTTTTCAGCTCCATCAGGTCATTTGTGGTCTTCTCTGTGATGTTTATTCTAGTTAGCCATTCGTCTAATCTTTTTTCAAAGTTTTTAGCTTCCTTGCGATGGGTTCGAACATTCTCCTTTAGCTCGGAGAAGTTTGTTATTACCGACCTTCTGAAGCCTACTGCTGTCAGCTCATCAAAGTCATTGTCCATGCAGCTTTGTTCTGTTGCTGGTGAGGAGCTGCGATCTTTTGGAGGAGAAGAGGTGCTCTGGTTTTTAGAATTTTCAGCTTTTCTGCTCTGGTTTCTCCCCATCTTTGTGGTTTTATCTACCTTTGGTCTTTGATGCTGGTGACCTACAGATGGGGTTTTGGTGTGGATGTCCTTTTTGTTGATGTTGATGGTGTTCCTTTCTGTTTGTTAGTTTTCCTTCTAAGAGTCAGGTCCCTCAGCTACAGGTCTGTTGGAGTTTGCTGGAGGTACACTCCAGATCCTGTTTGCCTGGGTATCATCAGTGGAGGCTGCAGAACGGCAAATATTGCTGCCTGATCCTTCCTCTGGCAGCTTCGTCCCAGAGGGGCACCAGCCTGTATGAGGTGTCATTCGGCCCCTGCTGGGAGGTGTCTCCCAGCTAGGCTACACGGGGGTCAGGGACCCACTTGAGGAGGCAGTCTGTCTGTTCTCAGAGCTCAAACGTCATGCTGGGAGAACCACTGCTCTCTTCAGAGCTGTCAGACAGGGACGTTTAAGTCTGGAGAAGTTTCTGCTGCCTTTTTTTCAGCTATGCCCTGCCCCTAGAGGTGGGCTCTATAGAGGTTGTAGGCATTGCAGAGCTACGGTGGGCTCCACCCAGTTCGAGCTTCCCTGGCTGCTTTGTTTACCTACTCAAGCCTCAGCAATGGTGGATGCCCCTCCCCCCGTCAGGCTACTGCCTTACAGGTGGATCTCAGACTGCTGTGTTAGCAGTGAGCAAGGCTCTGTGGGCGTGGGACCTGCCAAGCCAAGCGCGGGATAAAATCTCCTGGTGTGCCGTTTGCTAAGAGTGTTGGAAAAGCACAGTATTTGGGCGGGATTGTCCCGATTTTCCAGGTACAGTCTGTCACAGCTTCCCTTGGCTAGGAAAGGGAAATCCCCCGACCCCTTGTGCTTCCCGGGTGAGGCAATGCCCCGCCCTGCTTCAGCTCACCCTCCGTGGGCTGCACCCACTGTCCAACCAGTCCCAGTGAGATGAACCAGGTACCTCAGTTGCAAATCCAGAAATCACCATCTTCTGTGTCAATCACGCTGGGAGCTGCAGACCGGAGCTGTTCTTATTCAGCCATCTTGAAACGGAGTCTCTAATGATCGCCATTCTCACGCATGAGATGGTATCTCATTGTGGTTTTGATTTCCTTTTTTTTTTTGAGACAGAGTCTTCCTCTGTTGCCCAGGCTGGAGTGCAGTGGTACAATCTCGGCTCACTGCAACCTCCGCCTCCCGGGTTCAAGCGATTCTCCTGCCTCTGAGCCTCCCAAGTAGCTGAGACTACAAGCGCATGCCACCACACCCAGCTAATTTTTTGGGTTTTTTTTTTTTTTAAGTAGAAAAGGGGTTTCACCATGTTAGCCAGGATGGTCTTGATCTCCTGATCTCGTGATCTGCCCACCTTTGCCTCCCAAAGTGCTGGGATTACAGGTGTGAGCCACCGTGCCTGGTCGATTTGCATTTCTCTAATAACCAGTAATGATGAGCTTTTTTTCACGTTTGTTGGCTGCATAAATGTCTTCTTTTGAGAAGTATCTGTTCATATCCTTTGCCCACTTTTTGATGGGATTTTTTTTTCTTGTAAATTTGTTCAAGTTCTTTGTAGATTCTGGATATCAGCCCTCAGCCCTCTGTCAGATGGATAGATAGCAAAAATGTTCTCCCATTCTATAGGTTACCTATTCACTCTGATAGTTTCTTTTGCTGTGCAGAAGCTCTTTAGTTTAATTAGATCCCATTTGTGAATTTTGGCTTTTGTTGCCATCGCTTTTGGTGTTTAGTCATGAAGTCTTTGCCCATGTCTGTGTCCTGAATGGTATTGCCTAGGTTTTCTTCCAGAGTTTTAATGGTTTTATGTCTTACGTTTAAGTCTTTAATCCATCTTGAGTTAATTTTTGTATAAGTTGTAAGGAAGGGCTCCAGTTTCAGTTTTCTGCATATGGCTAGCCAGTTTTCCTAACACCATTTATTAAATAGGGAATCCTTTCCCCATTTCTTGTTTTGTCAAGTTTGTCAAAGATCAGATGGTTGTAGATGTGTGGTGTTATTTTTGAGGCCTCTATTCTGTTCCATTTGTCTGTCTTTCTGTTTTGGTATCAGGACCATGCTGTTTTGGTTACTGTAACCTTGTAGTATAGTTTGAAGTCAGGTGGCGTGATGCCTCCAGCTTTGTTCATTTTGCCTAGGATTGTCTTGGCTATACGGGCTCTTTTTTGGTTCCATATGAACTTTAAAGTAGTTTTTTTTTTCTAATTCTGTGAAGAAAGTCAATGGTAGCTTGATGGGAACAGCATTGAATCTATAAATTACTTTGGGCAGTATGGCCATTTTCTCGATATTGAGTCCATGGAATGTTTTTCCATTTCTTTGTGTCTTCTCTTACTTCTTTGAGCAGTGGTTTGTAGTTCTCCTTGAAGAGGTCATTGACTTCCCTTGTAAGTTGTATTCCTAGGTTCTTTATTCTCTTTGTAGCAATTGTGAATGGGAGTTTACTCATGATTTGGCCCTGTTTGTCTATTATTGGTGTATAGGAATGCTTGTGATTTTCACACATTGACTTTGTGTCCTGAGACAGCTGCAGTTGCTTATCAGATTAAGGAGATTTTGGACTGAGACGATGGGGTTTTCTAAATATACAATCATGTCACCTGCAAAGAGAGACAATTTGACTTCCTCTCTTCCTATTTGAAGACGCTTTATTTCTTTGTCTTGCCTGATTGCCTTGGCCAAAACTTCCAATACTGTGTTGAATAGGAGTGGTGAGAGAGGGCATCCAACCCCTTGCACTTCCCAGGTAAGGCGACGCCCCACCCTGCTTCGGCTCACCCTCCATGGGCTGCATCCACTCTCTAACCAGTCCCAGTGAGATGAGCTGGGTACCTCAGTTGGAAATGCAGAAATCACCCGCCTTCAGTATTGATCTCGCTAGGAGCTGCAGACAGGATCTGTTCCTATTTGGCCACCTTGCCAGCCACCAGTTCATCTTTTTAGTGCATTTCAAAGTAAATTAAAAATATGTGAATATTTTACTCTATAAACTTCTTAATCAAGCATATCTGTACTAATCTTTATATTATTCCTGTGTCATCAAAGCTTGGCTTTTGAAATAGTTAATTCTTAGCCTATCAGAAGCCAGATACTTTTGCAGCTCTTTGGTTTGTTTTTTCCTTAAGACAAAGTCTTGAATATACTGCTGGACTGGAAATGGGGAACTACTACCCAAAGTACACAAACATTTAAATTTTTAATTGTATTAAATCTTTCTGAATTTTCTTCTCACTGTAATTCAGTGTTTCGCTTTCTGCTTAACATTAAAATAATTTTGGATATGTATATCTTTTTTAGATACCTTTGTCTGGATATGGAGGAACAAGCAATCTTATTTTGGAAGGCGTTAAAAAATTATCTGACAGTTACATGGTAACAGTGAATGGCTTAGTACCTGGCAAAGAAAGTAAAATTGTTTTTTCTGTCCGCAACACTGGCTCCCGAGCAGCTTTTGTTAAAGCAGTAGGTTTTAAGGATTCTCAGAAAAAAGTTTTGCTGGATCCTAAAGTATTGAGGATTTTTCCAGATAAATTTGTACTCAAGGAAAGAACACAAGAAGTAAGTACAAAAGTTTCTGTGCTAAAAACATCAACTCATTTTAAAATTGTTAATAATTATGTATTTTAAAGCCAAAAGCTAAAATAATACTTGAAAATAATGTAGGAATAGAAGTACTTATGTGATCTTGGAAATGCCATGCGTATGCACTTGTGTCTGTGTCGAATTTTTAGGCTCGTAAGATTGTTGAATCAGATTGAAATTACTTAAAAATATTTAATATTTACTCCTGATTTTTTTTTCTTGGCATCAGAATGTTACTTTAATATATAATCCATCAGACAGAGGAATCAATAATAAAACTGCAACAGAACTATCAACTGTATACTTATTTGGTGGAGATGAAATTTCAAGACAGCAGTATCGCAGGTAGATTACTTATCTTACACAATGTTGGGAACCATTCAGCAGAAATAATGAAGGCTTCTGTGGCTTGGGATTTGGAATTTTTAGAGTATTTCACTATTTATTAGTGAACTGGTAGATGAAAAATCTTGGTAGAATTTATGTGGATGATGAGCTACCACAATGTGAGGAAGAAATACCCGTAGGAAATTCATCTCCTGTATTTCCTTAGAATGTGCCTTCTTTTCTAGGTGAATGTATTGTGCCACTCTTCCCTTACTCAGTAGGTGCATCATACTTCATAATAGGACCATTTCCGTAATGTACTCTTGATGACATGTTAAGTGACAGTGTCAGTTTTATAAAAGATTTAAGAACTACTGAATGATTATATTGTATAAACACAGATGACTAGTTAGTAATATTTCTGGGAATGCTGTGAATTATTTGAAAGGATCAAGTTGAATTTTCGAAATGTGTAAGATGTTTAACTTGTAGATACTTAAAAAGTATGAACTACTATAAAATCTGATATATCTAATTTAAATATAGGGCGGGCTGTGTGGCTCATGCCCAGCACTTTGGGAGGCTGAGGTGGGAGGATTGCTTGAGGCCAGGAGTTCAAGACCAGCCTGGGCAACATAATGAGACCTTGTCTCTAGAAAAGAAATAGAAAATTTAGTTGGGTGTGATGGTGTGCACCTGTAGTCCTCACTACTTTGGAGGCTGAGGTGGGAAGATCACAATCCCAGGAGTTCAAGGCTGCAGTGAGCTATGATTGCACTCCAGCCTTGGTGACAGAGCCAGACCTCTCTCATAAATAAATAAATACATACATACATAAATAATTTAAACATAGTTTGATATGCTGAACTGTTGGAAAATTTAGGATGTTGATTTAAGTTTAGGCGTGATTTAAAGATATGAATTCTCTTATTGTAAAGTGTAGCTTCCTAGATTAAAGGACCTAAACATAGGATGAGTGCAGCTCATGGTGTGTCATCTGCTAATAAAAAATAATTAGAAAGGGGGTGTGGAGGAATACGCCTGTTTCCTTCTGACCCTTTGTGCTTGACTGTTTTTTATTCTAATACAGAATTTGGGAAATTGTTTTGTTTTTAATTTGTTGAGGGTCATTGGAATGTTTTACAAGAGGGAATTTAATGGCGACTTGCTACATGATGTTAGAACAGACCAAATACAAAGCTTGCCTTTGAACCTGGTTTTGTTTCTTAATTATTTTGGAAATAGAAACTGACATTTGGAGAAATCACATTATGAGGTATTCTGATGTTTTTTTTTCTCTCAATTGGGATATAGAAATCAGCGTATTGTTTTCAAACTCTTTGCCATAAAATTAACAGTAGTGAGATTTTTTTTGTGGACATCTGAGTATTATAGAGAAATCTACATTTCAGTTTTCTCACCTCAGATTCTCTGGAAGGAGCCAGATAAACATAGTTATATGGTAATTTAGGTATTCCCCTTCAAATGTTTCCATTTTTAGCATGTTCTTTTGTGTTCTGAGACAAATTTCTAGCTGTAACCAAATTATCACAAATAATGAAAATGTAGGACCTGAAAAGAATCTAATTTTACTCTTCTTTTAGGGAATTCTTGTTTGATGTTAATATTTAACTGAAACTGATAATTTTACTACCATGTGTAATTTTTCAAAGAACTTCCAAAACAGGTTTTTCTTTTAGGTGTAAGGTCTGTGTACTAATATATCAGTATTAGTGGGATTTGCCAAATGCATTAGTGAAAATCTAATTAAAGTTATTTTATATATAACGTCACTTTTAAATAATAAAAAAAAATCTCTCCTGGCAGGGCCCTGTTACATAAACCAGAGATGATAAAACAGATACTTCCAGAACATAGTGTGCTTCAAAACATTAATTTTGTTGAAGCATTTCAAGATGAGCTATTAGTAACTGAAGGTAAGAATTCCGGCGTGTCTTGATGTATTAAATCTTTTGGGTCATTTATAGTATTATCTATGTCCAATGATGTGATATAAGAAGGAAGTGTTAGTTTAGATGCAGTGTCAGGCAGAGTTTGAGCCACAGCCCTGCTGTATGAGTTTGAACAAATTACATCATTGAATGTCAGTTTCCTTATCTTGTAAATGGAAAGAAGAGCGACATCTAGCTCATCTAGCTTTTCATCCATACAGAGTTGTTATAAGTATTCGATGAAAGAGCTTTGCTGCTGTATAAATGTTACATGTTACTTTCTGCACTTATTCTCTAGGCACCCTTGTAAACAGGAAGAGGAAAATGGTCATTATTAAATCAAATTAATTGCTACTTAGATTTGATTGCAAACTTGCACTCATTTTGAGGTTACTGTGCTATCGTGCCTATTGTAAGATTTATGGAAGATGTAGTGGTGGCAAAAAAACTTCAAAATAGATAGTAATAAGGTGACACTAACCTAGATGGTTAGCCCTGTTTACACTAAACATTTCAAATATTTAACAATATTTATTATTCATACAAAATATAAATATATTGAGACATACAGACTGTGTTAAAATGTATATACAGATTTTCACCATAGTGTTGTTTATAATAGCAAGAAGCTAGAAGTAACCTTAATGCCCAAGAATAGGGAGTTATTTAATTATGTGGTAGAATATTTGAAGCCATTAGAACAATAATATGAATCTGTACTGAATGACATGGAAAGCTCTTCATTTATCACAAAACCTTTTTGAAGTTTGTATAGTAAGATCTCATTTTGCTAAAAATTATTACATATATATTTACATAAGTAAAATTACAGGCATATACACACCAAAATAATAAGTGGCTAGTTTTGGTGGTAAATTTCACGTGGTAGCTTTTCCCTGTTTTTATTTTCTAGTTTTTTAGTGATGGAATGTATTTTGCTTCTGAAATATGAAGTGATGAAAGGATATTTATGCCTTGGTGTAGGGGTGATGTTGAATAGTCTGTGAACTTTTCATTAAGTGGGGGTCTAGATCATCTGCTCAAAGGGAAGGCAAGGATGAGTTGGTTAAAAATGACAAAAAGACTTCAAATGGACTTGTCAGGAGTGTGCTAAGGGACCAGAGCAAAGGAAAAAAACCTTGGACTTGGAGTTGAAACTGAAGACCCATCTGTCCCACTACAGCCCCACCTCTTCCTCATAGGAAGGATCCAAATACGAGATAAGCTGAACTGTGCTATGGAGATGGAACACTAACACTTAGTAACATGGTGCAACTGTGGTGAAGATTGTAGGGAACCAGAGTTTGCAGTGGTTCAGAAGCTGGCATTGCCCCACCATATAGCAACAGTCCTCTCGTTGGATGGTGGATGCATCCTGAGAGGACAAGATGCCAGTAGGTCTATGGACACTGGATGCAGAGGTACTGGATGCAGTCCTTGTCCATGAGGGGCTTACAGACTCAGGGGAAGACAGATGACTTAGGTGTGATGTGAAAAGTGCTGTTACAGACAGAGCTGTGTTTACAAATCTGGGAGGGCACCTCACTTAGAATGAGATGATTCTTGAGGTATACTTGAAGAAAGAGGAGGAGTTGGCAAGGTGAAGATGAGACCAGAATGAGGAAGAATGCTCCAGGTACAGCTGCATGTCCAAAAATTAAGTACACATATTGTATTAAGAGTTGTGTTGACACAGCCAACCAAGAGCTCAAGTAGCCTGTCAAGATTGCCCATCTAAGGTGGGGTTGAGCTAGGACTCAGGCCAGGTCTTTGGGACACCAGAATTTCACCTCAAGGAATACTATATTCCTTGTGATTATAAGTTTATTGCCCAGAGGAATGGAGGAAACAGTTTCACTTTTTCATGTTGGTTGGTACCATAGATCACCTGGAGTATAATGCAGTTGAAGCTTTTATGTGATGAATTTCAGTAACATTTGCTTGAGCATGTTACTATTCCAAGGATTTGTAACAATCTTGCTTTTACAAAATGTGTAATTTGTGGCATGTATTTTTGTAGTTGATTTAAACTTTTTCAGTCAGGAGTCTTGCTTAAGTTATAAATTTAAATTTATAGTTACTGTGTTCTTTTAAAATTTCCATGTCAAAATATATGACTCAAAGACTATCTAATTTAACATTTCTTGTTTATACAAATTTGGGTGTCCTAATCTAGAGATGTTTATCTTGAACACTCTTTCATTAATCTATAAATATTTAATTAAATGAATAGTTCTAGTTTCTAGATTTACTTTAAATTGAATGTCTATGAGACTGCCACTTAAAAATCATGGACCCTTAATTTCTGTGCTTCAGATTTTTCCTCTTTGCAGTAGAGGTAATAGTACCTATCTCAAAGAATTGTTTTGAAAATTAACTAAATTAATATATATAAAGGGATTAGAACAATGTCCACATTAAGCTTCATATAAATGTTTGTTGCCGAATATATCTACAAAGGCATTCTTATTTTAATGCTCACAACCCCTGATACAGATCGTTACTCTATATTATAGTTGGGGAAACTAAGTTCAGGGAGGTTAAGTAACTTGCCAAAAGTCACAAAGTAAATGAGTGGCAAAGGTAGTTCAAATTCAGGTTCCAAGTCTGAGCTGTCAGCCACTGGTGCTGAATTGACTGTAATTTTGTGCCAGGTGGTATACTGCTAATCCAAATGTCACCTCCCCCAACCCAGGAAACTAATATTCTATAGCTATAAATATACAAATGTATCTGTTACTTTGTGGTATGCTTGTGTGAACATTCATGTATTTCAAACATTATTTTCTATTTCAGTATATGATCTTCCCCAACGACCTAATGATGTTCAGCTCTTTTATGGAAGCATGTGTAAAATTATACTTTCAGTAATTGGAGAATTCAGAGATTGCATTTCTAGCAGAGAATTCCTTCAGCCTTCTTCCAAAGCTAGCTTGGAATCTACAAGGTAAAATAAATGAACAGAAATCTTTCACCAGATTTCAGGATGATTCGATTCATAGCAAAGCTGATCTTTTTTCCTGTACTTCACTATTATTATTATTTTGTCTCAAAATTTTTATTTCACCTTTATTTTAAAATTTAAGTTGAAATAATTTCAAACTTTCAGGAAAGTTTAGAAATAGTGCAGAGAACTCCCATATACTCTGCACTCAGACTCACCGTTGTTAACAGTTTACCACCTTTACCTTATCATCCTCTATTTGTATGGAAGGTTTTTCTGGACCACGTAAGAGTAAGTTTCAGGCATGATAACCAATTAGCCCTAAATTTCCTAAAAACACTCTCCTACGGCCAGGTATGGTGGCTCTTGCATGTAATCCCAGCACTTTGGGAGGCCAAGGCAGGCGGATCACGAGGTCAGGAGATCGAGATCATCCTGGCTAACACAGTGAAACCCCGTCTCTACTAAAAATACAAAAAAAAAAGTTAGCCAGGCGTGGTGGTGGGCACCTGTAGTCCCAGCTACTGGGGAGGCTGAGGTAGGAGAATGGTGTGAACCCAGGAGGCAGAGCTTGCAGTGAGCCAAGATGGGGACATTGCATTCCAGCCTGGGCAATAGCAAGACTCTGTCTCAAAAACAAAACAAAACAAAAAAACACTCTCCTGCATAGCCATGGAAAACTCATCCAAATTAGGACATTTAATAGCAATACACTACAATCATTTAGTCCACAGGTTCCATCCACATGTTATTGTTTGTTCCAATAATGTCCTTTATGTTATAGTTAAATGACAAAACAACAACAAAAATAACCTTCCTCTTTGCTGCTTCCTCTCTGGTCCGGAGTGTAATCTAACATCACATGATGCATTTGGTTATCCTATCTGCTTACTCTCTTTCAGAATAGAGTTCCTTAGCCTTTCCTTATCTTTCCTGACTGAGATGATACAGAAGGTTCAATTATTGTATCAGATCCACAGAATCAAAGACTTCATCCAGAATTAAGCTTACTAGTAATTTTAGGTGAAGCCTGGAGAAGTCTGGGACTGGCAGTGGTGCTTCCTAGGTCCTTTTGGCAGCATTAATACTTGAGCTCTTGTTCAGATTTGACACAAGGTCTCTAAATTGTTCATGTGCTACATGGCTTACCCGAAATGAAGAGCTATATTGAGCATGAAAGTTCTGTTTTGTACTTTGGTAATTACATAACTTATGTGGTAATTTTTCAAATAACTGCATCCCATAAAATCGGAAGCTTCAGGTTTCTTTACCGCAAATAATTCTAGACAGAGCAGATACATCTTGCAAAAAGCATTCCATAGATAAGGACATTAGTGTGTGTGCTAGGAGATCTGTCATTAGCAAGATCACCGGGAGATTTCACCAAATCACCTTTCTTTTTTCTTGAGCATTCCCTGGTAAAAAGGAGAAAATAGATTGCAGGCCAATTGCTAACTCTTTCTTACCAATGACCTTGATGTTTTTATGGAGTCCAGGCCAGTTACTTTGTAAAATATCCCGCAATTTCAGTTTGCAGATTCAATTTTCACACTTTTGGTAGGAATGATGCTGTTTGTTTTCTTGGTGCATCTTCTCAGGCAGTGTACAGTGCTGATTTGTCCTATCACTAATACTATTTTCATCACTTAGTTAAAAATGGTGCCTGCCAGATTTCTCCACTGTAAAACTAATGAATATCTTAAGAGGGAGTTCTTTAAAGATCATGATTATCTTGTTCCTCATCAAACTGTGAGCATCCATTGATGCTTGTTGCCTGAATTATTTTCATCATGGTTACCAAAGGGTGATTTCTAATTCCATCTTTCTGCATTTATTAATTGGCTCTTTACTATGAGGAAGAGGTTTGCTTTTGGCCCTTTCATGTAATTATTCACTGATATTGGAGTGGACTCTGGGTGCAGTGTTGATCCTTCACTGTCGTTATTTGGTCCTGCATTGCATTCTGGCTTCTGATCCTTTTGATAGGTCCCCCGTCCTTCTTTGCGCACTTTCTTACCCATTGGCACAGCAGGATGTTTAGGCTCATCGTATACTTTCCCTGCCCCACCCTGGAATAACCATTTCTCTCCGAAGCTGAGAGTAGAGAATGGTGTTAGAAACCAGGGTGCAGGCACTAGGTGTGCTCATGCTGTTGAGGTATCCTTGCTTCTAGGCCCTCCCTGTGGACAAACCCAGGAAACGTGGACTAATGTACAAATCCACACACTTCTGTATTTACTTCTGTTTATAAATATGTTAAATGAGCTTACTGTGAAGCCTCCAATTCTAATCTAACACCACAGTGCCTTTCCACATTTATACCCTTTTCTCCAGTACTCGATCCCTAGCCCCATTATCTTCAATATATTTACATTTTTACTTAATCCCCCTATTTTTTAACTAATCTTCCCATTGCACGGCTGTCTCCCTGAGCCCAGTGCTGCTGACGCAGACTGGCTGAGTGTTCCCTGCAAGTCCCAGTGCCACCACCCACCCCTGTCACCCCTATACTTTACGTATTTTTTTAAAAGACAGGGTTTCATTGTGTAGCCCAGGTTGGACTCCTGGCCTCAAGTAATTCTCCTGCCTCGGCCTTCCTGGTAGCTGGGACTACAGACACCTGCCACCACTCCCAGCTAATTTTTCTTTTTTCTTTTTGTAGAGGTGGTGTCTTGCTATGTTGCCCAGGCTGTTCTCAAACTCCTAGCCTTAAGCAATCCTCCCGCCTCGGCCTCCCAAAGTGCTGGGATTATAGGCATGATCCACCACACCCAGCCTGTACACATTGTAAACTATACACAATATGAATAACTTTTATTCACTAAAAAATACCTGATAACTCACTTTTAACTTTGTCTTAATGTTTTTAGATTTATGAAGAATATAAAAATATGTGATACAATCTGGCCTTTTATCATTTTTAACTTCTCAGTCTCTTTCTTCATGTCTAACTTTTTCATTTTTAAATAATTTTTTAGCGACTTGGGAGCTTCTGGGAAACATGGTGGCAACGTCTCTTTGGATGTTTTACCAGTCAAAGGTCCTCAGGGTTCTCCTCTTCTCTCACGGGCGGCTCGCCCGCCTCTGGATCAGCTGGCCTCCGAAGAGCCGTGGACTGTCCTACCCGAGCACTTGATTCTGGTAGCTCCTTCTCCTTGTGAGTATGTCAACTGTGACACCTCAGAGGTGTGTTCCGGCGTCCGGGCCTGCACTCCCATTGTGCCCATGGCCTATCCAAGACACACATGGGCTCCTGCACATTGAGCTGTGACTTGCCCAGGCCCTGCTTCCACTGTTGGAGACCCCACTCAGACTTGCCTAGAGCAGAGTCCTTGTCCCAGGGCCACACTCCTCAATGAGGCTCCCAGTTCTCCAATGGCAGAGCCACACCTCTGCCCACAGAGATACAGCATTGGTTCAGAGTAGAGTGAATCTGCTACGTGGGTGTGTGCTTAAGTTAAGACCAAGCAGTGACGATTTCCAGGATTCCTTTTTCCTCTTTGTTTACTACCAAGGATTGGAAATTTCTGTAATTGAGCAGTTGAGAAAGCAGTAGCATACTTGTATATCTATTTAGGGTTCTGGTTTATTAGTTGTTAATATTTGTCTTTTTCACTGTTGTTAAATGTAAGTCACATTTTATGTATCTGACAAAATAGGTGACATGGCAAAAACTGGACGTTTCCAGATTGTGAATAACTCTGTGAGGTTACTGAGATTTGAGCTGTGCTGGCCAGCGCATTGCCTCACAGTCACGCCGCAGCATGGATGTGTCGCGCCAGAGTAAGTCTGACTTCTGTGTTGCTCTGCGTGTTACTTAGGTGCTGGCTTGGTGACTTTCTAAAGATCAAATAATATGTCATTGTAGTTTATCCAGTTGAATTTTGCACCGTGCTGACTCTGCACAAAGCATGTGCATGGTTCTGCAGGTCAGCTGTGAGTTCAAGTGGTAGGCGGTCTAGTGGAGCAGAGATCTGCACACAGCTGGTTATGCTGTCACCCAGGAGGGTAAAGGGACACACACATTTGAGGTGGAACAGAGTCCCTGGTATGGAAGACTTCAGAGCGTTTCCTTCTTAGGACTGCCCATGAAATCACAAAGCAAGGAATGCAACTGGACATGGGATGAGGGGTCGCGATGTGTCCCGAGCCCAAACACTTCTGCCATTTCTTACCTTGGTTTGGGTTGTGTGTTCTGCTGGCTTTTTCTGAATGATGTTTTTCAGACAAAGCTTCCTCAATTTTAGTATGTATGAGCCATAACCTTGCTTACTGTTTTCTATGTAGAATATTCTAGGACAGAAGGAAGTCTTTTGGGGCCGGCCATTTATACACAGCTGCCTGCCCTCTGTCCACAGCCTGGTTGTTGATAGGTGGGAAAGCCACAGTTCTGCAGCTTTTCAGGACTTCATCTGGCCAGCACATGACTCCCACATCTGCACGTTCCTTTATATCTGGGATTAGCAACTTTGCAGAAAGACAACATGAAGTTTATTTAGTTTTTGCAAAATGATATGCTAAAATTTTAGGAGAGTTTACTTGACTGAGACTTTTAGCTGAGGCATGGTCAGGGACACTCCAGAGAGCGTTGCTGGGACCAGAGCAGTCAGTTTGGCATGCAGCAAGTGTTTCTCATGTGCCACACACCCTTTCAGCTAATGGTAGAACAGGTTCCTCACAGCCCGCTTTTTCTGTAGCCCCATGGGTTTAGCAGGGGAAGACAATCTTGCCCTTTCATTTTTGACATGTGTACTGAAACAGCTTTTCAGTCTGGTGATTTCTTTAAAATCAAATCTGATCCCATTGTCCACTTATAAACTCTTCTCTGGCATCCCCTGGTTCTTGAAGAGAATATTGAGCCCAGAAAATATAAGCAGCCGGGTCATACGGAAACACGTTTTTTTCTTCATTTCTTCTCCATCTCCCCGACCCTTTTTTTTCCAGTTTCCTCTGCAACTGCTTCATTCTCCCCGTGCTGTACTTGCATTCTTCTTTATTCTCACGTGGCTCAGAGCTTTTGTAGTCTTGGTCTTTTGCTCTAGAAGTTTTTACCGTGAGTTGCTTTTAAAATGGTATTCCTAAGGCATGGTTTGTTTTCTTTTCTTTTTTTTTTTTTTAACTATTATTTTTTTTTTTTTTATTGATCATTCTTGGGTGTTTCTCGCAGAGGGGGATTTGGCAGGGTCATAGGACAATAGTGGAGGGAAGGTCAGCAGATAAACAAGTGAACAAAGGTCTCTGGTTTTCCTAGGCAGAGGACCCTGAGGCCTTCCGCAGTGTTTGTGTCCCTGGGTACTTGAGATTAGGGAGTGGCGATGACTCTTAACGAACATGCTGCCTTCAAGCATCTGTTTAGCAAAGCACATCTTGCACCACCCTTAATCCATTCAACCCTGAGTGGACACAGCACATGTTTCAGAGAACACAGGGTTGGGGGTAAGGTCATAGATCAACAGGATCCCAAGGCAGAAGAATTTTTCTTAGTACAGAACAAAATGAAAAGTCTCCCATGTCTACTTCTTTCTACACAGACACAGCAACCATCCGATTTCTCAATCTTTTCCCCACCTTTCCCCCTTTTCTATTCCACAAAACCGCCATTGTCATCATAGCCCGTTCTCGATGAGCTGTTGGGTACACCTCCCAGACGGGGTGGTGGCCAGGCAGACGGGCTCCTCACTTCCCAGTAGGGGCGGCCGGGCAGAGGCACCCCTCACCTCCCGGACGGGACGGCTGGCCAGGCGGGGGCTGACCCCCCACCTCCCTCCTGGATGGGGCGGCTGGCCTGGCGGGGGCTGACCCCCACCTCCCTCCCGGACAGGGTGGCTGCCAGGCGGAGACACTCCTCACTTCCCAGACGGGGCGGCTGCCGGGCGGAGGGGCTCCTCACTTCTCAGACGGGGCGGCTGCCGGGCGGAGGGTCTCCTCACTTCTCAGACGGGGCGGCTGGGCAGAGACGCTCCTCACCTCCCAGATGGGGTCGCGGCCGGGCAGAGGCGCTCCTCACATCCCAGACTGGGCGGCGGGGCAGAGGCGCTCCCCACATCTCAGACGATGGGCGGCCGGGCAGAGATGCTCCTCACTTCCTAGATGGGATGGCGGCCGGGAAGAGGCGCTCCTCCCTTCCTAGATGGAATGGCGGCCAGGCAGAGACGCTCCTCACTTTCCAGACTGGGCAGCCAGGCAGAGGGGCCCCTCACATCCCAGATGATGGGCGGCCAGGCAGAGACGCTCCTCACTTCCCAGACGGGGTGGCGGCCGGGCAGAGGCTGCAGTCTCGGCACTTTGAGAGGCCAAGGCAGGCGGCTGGGAGGTGGAGGTTGTAGCGAGCCGAAATCACGCCACTGCACTCCAGCCTGGGCACCATTGAGCACTGAGTGAACGAGACTCCGTCTACAATCCCGGCACCTCGGGAGGCTGAGGCTGGCAGATCACTTGTGTTTAGGAGCTGGAGACCAGCCTGGCCAACACAGCGAAACCCCGTCTCCACCAAAAAAATACGAAAACCAGTCAGGCGTGGCAGCGCGCGCCTGCAATCGCAGGCACTCGGCAGGCTGAGGCAGGAGAATCAGGCAGGGAGGTTGCAGTGAGCCGAGATGGCAGCAGTACAGTCCAGCTTCGGCTCGGCATCAGAGGGAGACCATGGGGAGAGGGAGGGGGAGGGGGAGGGGGAGAGGGAGAGGGAGAGGGCGGCATGGTTTGTTTTCGCATGAGTTTTGCCCTTGCGTCATGGGTTCATGCTGGTGAGTTCCTTGTAACCCGTTGAGTCGGGTGGAGGCGGGATGAACTTGTGGGAGCCATGTGGGAGCCGCATGGGAGTGAGCTCTGTTCTCTGCTCTTCCTGAGCAGTGAGGAAATGGCCATTGGCTGGTAGACAGTATTTATAACTCCTGTGATTACTGCTGTTAAAATGCAGGCTCTTTTTAATTTTCTTATTAATTTTTTTTAAAGGAGTAAACTACAAATTCTTGTGAGTCCTAATTCCTCCTTATCCACAAAACAGTCAATGTTCCCGTGGAGTGGTTTGATCTATATACACTGTGACGATGGACAGAAGGTACTTTTAAAAGTGGTTTGGTTTTTTTTTTGAGTGACAATTCTGTTTGTAGCTTCAGTTTTATAATCCTTATTAGCACTTAATTTCAGAAATCAAATGAAAGCGTACTTGACCCTTCATATTTGTGGGTTCCACTTCCAGGGATTCAACCAACCACAGATTGAAATTATTTGGGGAAAAAGTAATACAAATAAATACAGTATAACAAATGTTTGCATAGCATTTACACTGCATTAGCTATTATAAGTACCTTAGAGATGATCTAAAGTGTATGGGAGGATGTATGTAGATATGTGCAAATACTGTGTCACTTTATATACAGGACTTGAGCATTGAGGATTTTAGCATCCTTAGGGGATCCTGGAACTAATCTCCCCCATGGATACCGAGGCATGATTATCTGTATTCTGAGGCCAACTAGTTAGAGCATTGGTATAGAATTTTTCCATAGTGATCAGAACAATTCTCTTGGGGAATGGGTGTGGAGAGTGGAGCCTAGAAGTGATTACTGATTTTCGAAATTTGCTTTAAAAACAAAGGTAATGGGAGAGAGGAGATAGAGTCACAGATTTACCTTGAGATCTAAATAAACTTTAATTCCTAAATTTATTGATGTTTTGTTTGTTTGGCATTTCTTTTCTCTACCATGGTTTAAAAATGGAATTGTTTCGTTTAAAGTGATAGATACGTTTGTAGCTTATCCCTTTATTTGGCTCATTTCAGAAAATTGTGAAAGTTCAAATTCGAGAAGATTTAACTCAAGTGGAACTTTTAACTCGTTTGACCTCCAAACCATTTGGAATTCTTTCCCCAGTATCTGAGCCTTCAGTTAGTCATTTGGTCAAACCAATGACAAAACCGCCTTCCACAAAAGTTGAAATAAGAAACAAGAGTATTACTTTTCCTACAACAGAACCTGGTGAAACTTCAGGTATTGTATCACAAAATTATGTAATTCAAATGTCTGCTGATATATTGAGTCTAATGCTTTATTCTTAGCCATAAGTTGGTGATAAATATAAATTTCCTCCTACTTCAGGAGAAAAGTGGTCATTAGCAGTCATTTCAATGATGGGCTGGATTTGGGATCTGAACAATCTTAAAATGTGAAATCTTGGCATTTACTAACTCTGTGTATTCCGGGAATCCTAGGTTTTATTTGATGGTCAGAACCTTTCCTGTGCAACTGTCACCAGATCTTGACCAGAATTGTTAATAAGTTAGCAGATGAAGAAGACAGGACAGTGGGTGGAGCCTGGCTTCATCACTTACTCACGTGACATTGAGGCTCCAGACAGGTCCAATAGACTTGCTCAGTTTCCCCATTTGTAAAATGGCCTTTGGAATGAACTTCTTCCACAGAGGGCTTCAAGGATAAATTTAGTAATTCCTGTATGGGCAGACCCTGACTTACGGTGGCTTGACTTACCATTTTTTGACCTGGTGATGGTGTGAAAGCCACGTGCATTCAGTGAAAATCGTATTTTGATTTTTGACCTTGCCCTGGGTAGCGAGCGACACAGGGTGCTGCACCCTCTTGTGATTCTGGGCGGCGGCAGCCCTGAGCCACAGCTTCTAGTCAGCCGCAATCACAAGGGTGAACAGCTGATACTGTATTCTGCAGTGCACTGTCTTCAGTAAATGACATGAGATATTCAACCCCTTGTTATAAAATGAACTTTGTGTTAGAGGATTTGCTCAACTGTGGGCTCAGGTAGGTGTTCTCAGCACTTTTAAGGCAGGCTCGGCTTAGGGTAGGTTAGGTGGATTAAATGCATTTTCCACTTAGGGTAATTTCAACTTAGGATGGGTTTACTGGGACGTGAGGAGCATTCGTGTTCAGTAATGGTGATATATGTACAGCAGTTAGCATGGTGTTTGTTGTCTATTAGGCACTCTGTATTGCTCACATTCCTCGAGAGTCCTGCGATCATTTATTTTTGTCCCTGTCTGTCTCCCTCACTGCTGGCTCAGGCTAAATGAGCAGTGTTGTCGGGGGACCTGTTAGAGAGGATATGGGTGCATCTCTCACCTGCCCTCTAGCTCCTTGCCTCTCCATTGATTTTGTCTATCCCCAGCCTCAGCCTCCTGCTTCCATGGTCTCCCTCCTGGACCTTGTTGTTCAGCCCTGAAGCTCCCCGCTCTGAGCCTGGCACTTGCTGACTGTCGCCCATCTCTTCAGCTCACCCACTGAGGGCTCACAGCAGTTCTCTGGCCTCCCTGAGACCCCCTGCCTGCTGGCACTGCCTGTTTTGTGCTCTCTCCCAGCCCGCCCATGCCCCTCTCCTCTTGTCACTTCTGGACTCCTGAGTCTGTCCTTATAGTTGCTGTTTCACAGGCTTCCATGACTGCCGGGTGTTCCTCTCCCTCTCTGTTCCTGCCTGGCAAGATCCCAACCCTGGCTTGTCCCAGGAGCCTAGCTCCTCCTGCCTCCACCCTTGCAGTGAAACCACACTGGAAGGAGCTACTCCACCCTTCTGGGGGTTCCTGGTGCCCCTCCACATGAGGCTTTGCTGCCTCTGCTCCTCTGTGTGTGTCCTGCAGCTCCTGCCACCCCCCACAGCTGGGGGCCCTTCTTTCCTCTGGGAGCTCCTGCCACCTCCCCTGCTCCTGCTGTCACTCTTCCTAACTCTTGACTTTGCCTTACACGTGAAAAATAGACAGGCCCTGAGACTCAGTGAAAGGCTTCTGTTTCCATCACAGATGAACCCTCTGCCTGGAACCAGGCCTGTCCATTCTCGCCTCTCGGGGGGCTTCCTGTGGTCCCCTCTCGCTCCAGAGCCATCAGCTTCTCCCTCCTTGTTGATTCGTCTCCACCAGCACCCAGTACACTCCACCATCACCAGGTTAAGAAGCATCTTCCTCGGCCCCCACACCCTTTCCTTGTGGCTACCCCTGTCTCAGCAGCCCCCTGCCCTCACTTCCTTAGGCCATGGCTGCTGTCACCTCATGCCCGGAACCCCGTCCTGTGAAGGTCACTTAAGAGCTCCATGTGCCAAATCCAGGGTCCGTTTTGTGTCTTGGTTGACTTGATCTCCCAGCACTGTCGACTGCTCTTCCACTTTGGAGGACTTCTCCGTGCAGCTGCTATGCGCCAGGGCTCAAGTTTTCCTGCCTCACCTGCTCCTGCTCGGATCCCTTGCTGACTCCTCTCCCTGGTTTCTAAAGACTGGCAGGGTCCCGGCCCAGCCTGCCTGTGCCTTTCCTTCTCTCTGTGTTCTCCTGCGCGATGATGGCCTGTAGCCTGTGACTCTCATGACTTCCCGTGTGCTCGGGCCCAGGCATCACACCCTGGCGCCTGCTTGGCTTCCACATGTGGGCATCTCATGGGCACATCAGATGTGATATGCCCAAGAGAGGCCCTACGCCTCCTCCAGGCTCAGCCTCATGTCAGTAAGTGGCACCACTATCTGTTCATTGGTTGTTATTTCTGATTTATCTTCTTCCTCCCTCCTGCCACTCTGTCCATCAGCAAGTCCTTTGAAGCCTGTCTTCAAAGTAGAGGCCACACATGCGCATGTCTTTTTCTCCCCTTTGCCACTGTCCAAGCTGGAGGCAGTCACCCTGTGCATCATCTCATAGCCAAACTGCTGCAGCCCTGACTTACCTGGGCTTCCTCGTCCCCTTCAATGCCTTGCAGTCTCTTTTTTACAGAGCAGTCTGTAACGCTTTAAAAATGTAAATCATCTTATTGCTCCTCTGCATAAGCCCTTCGGTATTTTTGCATTATACTTGTAATAAAACCTAAAAGAGAATATCTGACATACCTGATTTTTAAAGAAAATACTGTGGTTCTTGTTGAACTCCTTTAGGGATCTAATGATTGGGGTTTTTTAACCCCAGTATGAGGTAGTTAGGCCTGTCACAGTCATCTGCTTGTTCTCCAGTCTCTCCGAGTTTGAGTTATGATATATGTGTTCCTTTTAGAGAGCTGTCTAGAACTCGAGAATCATGGCACCACAGACGTGAAATGGCATCTGTCATCTTTAGCGCCACCTTATGTCAAGGTCAGTCATGACTGCCTCAGATATAATCGTTTTAATGTTTAGACTTTATCCAGGATGTTCTAAAAACTGACTATGAGCATAGGTTGATATTACTGGTTATTTGCTTGTTTGTTTTCTGAGACAAAAAAGTCTTGCTCTGTCGCCCAGGCTGGAGTGCAGTGGTATGAACACTGCTCACTGCAGCCTCAACCTCCCAGGCTCAAGCAATCCCCTGCCTTAGCCTCCCATGTGGCTGGGACCACAGGTGTGCACCACCATGTCCAGCTAACTTTTTGTTTTTTTGTAGAGATGGAGCCTCACCACACTGCCCAGGCTGGTCTCGATCTCCTGACCTCAAGCAATCTTCCCACCTCAGCCTCCCAAAGTGCTGGGATTACAGGTGTGAGCTGCTGCACCTGGCCTTGCTGGTTATTTGTTCCACCAATTCATTTAGTTGGTTTTCTCTTTAGATGAGGATGATATATGCCTAGTCTTTTTCACAAGGTGGTTTTGAGAATCAAATTAGAGAATATGTGTGGAAATACATGTTTGCTCCATTTAATGCTGTCTCCTAGCCCTGATTTTATCTGAAATAACTTTATTTTGAGAAATATGTAAAAATTGTATTTCTGAGCATTGTATGTGCACATGCATGGCTTTTCCCCTCATGTTCTGAGTGCTGTCATATGTTCCCAGCCAGCGGTGCAGGAAACGGAGCTGAGCGCTCTTTGCCAGTGAGTCTAGCCTACTATCTATGGCAGTAGTCTCCACCAGGGTACCACCTGAATTCAGTGGGTGTGTCATTGGTGGTGTTTAGAACACTGTGGTCTCTCTGCCATGTATTTTGTGTGATAGTAACAGTTTTGAGCCATAATACTACCAAAATGTGTACAAAAAAGAGTTTCTGGACCTACTGTGAAAAAATTAAAAACTACTTGGGAGGCTGAGGTGGGAGGATCGCTTGAGCCCAGGAGGTCGAGGCTGCAGTGAGCTATGATTACGCCACTGCACACCAGCCTAGGCAACAGAGTCAGACCCTGTCTTAAAAAAATAAATAGATAAAAATTAAAAACTGGTATTGCATAAGTTATTAAAATGCACATTCAACAGGGTCTTCAGAGTCTTTGAGGAAAAGATAGTTGTTTGACATTATGAGCCTCACTATAAAGATCACTATAGCCAGGGAAGTGATAAAAATCACCTTGTGTGACCTCTCCTTTGGTGATGTGAGTCAGCATGATGGCCTTCTGCAGAGCTCAGTCAGGTAGCACTCCCATTTTGGGAATACCTTGTGTTCTTTTTGTCCACTGCTAAGTGTGTTGGTGTGTTCTCCGCAGCCATAGAGGTAATAGTGTCTCTGTGGGATTTATCCATTGGCTTTATGGTTTTTAATTTGTTTAAATGATTGCTTTGCAGGGAGTTGATGAAAGTGGAGATGTTTTTAGAGCTACCTATGCAGCATTCAGATGTTCTCCTATTTCTGGTCTGCTGGAAAGCCATGGGATCCAAAAAGTAGGTTTTGATATTTTTTTCCATAGGAACATCATGTAAATTGTCCAGGAGTGCCTCATTGGATTCCACCCATTTAGCTTGTTTCACCTGGAGCAGTGCTACTCACAGAGCCAGTCTGCACACGAGAGAAGAGTCTGCCTCACTTACAATGCGCTGTAGCAGATAGTCTTAGTGTGAAAAAGTGGTCAGCTAAACAAAACAGCACACTTAGCAGTAAAGACCACAGACTGCCAGTGCTTACAGTCATACTGCACTGATGGAGACGAGAGTTTTGTCTATCAGCTGTAGCCAGAAAAACCTGCCATTACTCAAAAACAGCTCGGTATTTGTGGCATAGTCAACAGTATATCTTCATGGGTGACAGATCCCTCCAGCTACTATGACCCTCTTAAATGTTAATTCATTTCTATACCTGACATATTCCCTTCAAATGTCTCCTAATAACACTAATCACTCACTTGGCCTCAGCAATATACTTTTTCATTCTAATTGCCGAAACTTACTGGCTCATTTATTAGACATTCAGACTTAAAGTAAGTTATAGAATGTAGCTGTGAACTCAGAACTGACCGTAAAAGAATCTTGAAATAGCTGTAGCAGTTGTTGCAAACTGTGCACTTTACTGGGTCTGTATAACAGGCTTTCAGAGGGTTTCTCACTTTTTTTGGAAAGACACACAGTTCTACAAGTGTAGTTTAGTTCATTCCCCAAACCACAACAGAAGCAAAGCAGAAGAACAGGGGATAAGCACATTGCTCAAATAAAGTTCAGTGTATGAGGCGGTATTGCAAAAAGAAGCCCAACAAGAAAGACATCCCATGTCAATTGATCAGAAGACTTAACCTTGTTAAGTCCCTAAATTGATCTACATATTCAGCACAGTCCCAATCAAAACCCCAGCTGGGCCCAAAGCAGTCTACAGTTAATGCTGTTCCTATCAAACTGCCAACGTCATTTTTCACAAAACTGGAAACAACTATGCTAAAATTCATATGAAGCTAAAAAACAGCCTGAATAACAAAAGCAATCCTAAGCAAAAAGAACAAATCTGGAGGCATCATGCTACCTGACTTTATACTATAGAATAATTACCTCTGCTCATATTTTTCCCACACCTCAACCAAATATATACAACTATGATCCCCCATTACTACTACCACTCATCACTACCATCACCGTCTCCCACACAACCTTCAACTACAACACCCCACACAACTACCACCACCACTACCACTCCCACTCACAACTACCATCATCTTCTGCACAATGTTCAGTGACAGCCACACCCCACACAGCTACCACCACCATCACCACCACTACTACCACTCACCACTGCCATCACCATTTCCCACACAACCCTCAATTACAACCACACCCCACAGAACTACCACCACCACTACCACTACTCACCACTGCCATCACCATTTCCTACCACCACCACCACCACCACCACCACCTCCCCCATCTCCCACACAACCCTCAATAACAACCACACCCCACACAGCTACCACCACCACCACTACCACTCACCACTGCTGTCACCATTTCCCACACAACCCTCAACTACAACCATACCCCACACAGGTACCACCACCACCGCCACCACTCCCACTTACAACTACGGTCATCTTCTGCACAATGTTCAATTACAACCACACCCCACACAGCTACCACCACCACCACCACCACTGACAACTACCATCATCATCTCCCACACAACCCTCAACTACAACCACACCCCACAAATTTTAGGGATCATATTGTATGATTGACTACGTTGCTTAAATATGACAAGATGTAGTTTAAAAACAGCTTATTATAAAACATCCACTGTAGCCAAAATTATCTGGGTTTCCTTTTCTTTGGATCTTTTCTGTCTGTCACTGAGAAAAATACACCAGCAAGACACAAGAAACTGTAATACTACTCCGATTAACAGTAATATTACCTACTGTATTATTAATGCAGTGTCTGCCATGTAACAGATGTTATGTGTGTGTGTGTGTACATATATAGATTTAATCTTCATAAAGGTACACATTCCCATTTTACAGGTAGTAAGGCTTAAACTAAGCGAGCATTTTGCCAAAGGTCATACAATCAGGTAGCAAAGTTGGATTTAAAATTAATTCCAGAGTTGGGTGCTGTGGCGCATGACTCTAGTCTTAGCTACTCAAGAGGCTGAGTCAGGAGGAACACTTAAGGTCAGGAGTTTGAGCCAGGCTGAGCAATACAGTGAGACCTTGTCTCAAAAAAATTTTTTTAATAAAATAAATAAGCAAATTCCTGTATTCAGTTTTCACAATCTCTCTAACATAGTCAAATCCACAACCTCATACTAAAGAATGTTTTTGGAAAGCACTTGATGTCCCTCTCTGGGCTGACAGTCTACTGACTGTCTAAATGAGACTCAGAAATCTGAAAGCTTGGTTTTCATTAGCTCCAAACTATCAGTTCCTAAAAAGGCTTAGAGGACATGGAAGACAAAAGTGGCTATCCTTTGCTAGGAATTATCAGAATAAGTACCTAAATTAATCTCTCCAGGATTTTTTGTTTTCTCTTCAGCATATGCCCAAGGTATGTATGATGTGAGCAGCCTGAAGCTATTCTGAATGACAAGGACTAGTTTTAGGTAACCTCCAATTGAATTGTTTTTATTTTTCCTATGGAGATCCAGAGACGTTTGTTTTCAAATGGAGCAAACAGCACTGTGATACTGACTTTGTTTATTAAAAAATAATTGTTTCCAAATTAATTTCAACTCATAATGAGTTAAAGCGATTAGAAATAAAGATAGTATCTCCAAAAAAAAAAAAAAAATACTATAAGGCTACAGTAACCATAACAGCATGGTAGCAAAACAAAAACAGACATATAAACCAATGGAACAGAATAGAGAACCCAGAAATAAAGCCACAAACCTACAGCCATCTGATCTTCAACAAAGTCAACAAAAATAAGCAATGGGGAAAGGACTCCTTATTCAATAAGTAGTACTGGAATAGCTGGCTAACCATATGGAGAGGAATGAAACTGGACCCCTGCCTTTCACCATGTATAAAAATTAACTCAAGGTGGATTAAATATTTGAACATAAGACCTCAAACTATAAGAATCCTAGAGGGAAACTTAGGAAACACCATTTTGGACATTATTCTTGGGAAAGAATGTATGACTAAATTCTCCAAAGCAATTGTAATAAAAAAACACAAAAATTGACAAATGGGACCTAATTAAACTAAAGAGCTTCTGCACAGCAAAGGAAACTATCAACAGAGTAAACAGACAACCTACAAAAGAGGAGAAAACATTCACAAACTATTCATCTGACAAAAGTCTAATACCCAGGATCTATAAGGAACTTAAAACAATTGAACAAGCCCAAAACAAACCACCCCATTAAAAATGAGCAAAAGACATGAACAGACACTTCTCAGAAGAAGACATACAAGCAGCCAACAAACCTGAAAAAATGCTCCACATCATTAATCATCAAGAAATGCAAATCAAAACCGCAATGAGATACCATCTCACAGCAGTCAGAATGGCTGTTATTAAAAAGTCAGCAGCCTGGGCAACATGGCGAAACTCTGTCTCTACAAAAAATACAGAAATTAGCTGGGCATGGTGACAAAAAATACAGAAATTAGCTGGGCATGGTGGCACGCACCTGTAGTTCTACCTACTTGGGAGGCTGAGGTGGAAGGATCACGTGAACCCAGGAGGCAGAAGTTGTAGTGAGCTGAGATTGTGCCACTGCACTCCAGCCTGTGTGACAGGGTGAGACACTGTCTCCAAAAAAATAAAACAAAAAGTCAAAAAACAATAGATGCTAGCAAGGCTGCAGAGAAAAAATGCTTATACACTTAGTGTGAATGTAAATTAGTTCAGCCACCATGGAGACCAGTTTGGAGATTTCTCAAAGAACTTAGAGCTACTATTCAACCCAGCAGTCCCACTACTGGATATATACCCAAAAGACAGCAGATTGTTCTACTAAAAAGATACATGCACTTGCACATTCATCACAGCACTATTCACAGTATCAGAGACATGGATCAATCCACCGTTGATCACCGGTGGATTGGATGAAGAAATGGTGGATTGGTACATGTATATCATGGAATACTGTGCAGCCGTAGAATCAAATCATGACCTTTGTAGCAACATGGATACAGCTGAAGGCGATTATCCTAAATGAATTAACATGGGAATAGAAAACCAAATACCACATTTTCTCACTTATAAGTTGGAGCTAAATATTGGGTACTCATGGATATAAAGATGACAGCAATAGAAACTGGGGACTACTGGAAGTGGGAAAAGGGCTGAAAAATTAACTATTGGGTACTATGCTCAGTACCTGGGTGATGGGATCATTCATACCTCAAACCTGAGCATCGTGCAGTATACCCAGGTAACAAACCTGCGCATGTACCCCCTGAATCTAAAATAAAAGTTGAAAAAGGAAAACGGAACAACAATAAGCCCATTTTCCATAGTGGTAAAGATACAGGTGTCATACATCTATTTTAAAAAGAAAAAAAATTGAAATTAATGAGCTAAGCAGTCATTTGAAGAATGGTGAAAATAATAAATCCAAAGAAAGAAGAAAAAAAAGTTCTAAAGCAAAACATAGTAAAATTAAAGAAATGAGAGAAGATTAACATCTCCAAAGCTGCTTTTTTGGAAAAAATAATAATAATAGACAAACCTTTGGCAAAATTGACCAAGGCAGGAAAGAGACAATTTTACACGAAAAGCATTTGTCAAGTGAGAATCTAGCAGAATGAGATTAGTTAAAAATTCAAAAAAACTTTAAAAGAATTAAAGGTAAATAAATGTGTTGCAAAAAGAATGACTTAAGTATCAAAGACTTCTAAAATGCCTCTTTCATGAACCCCTCGAATATGTTTTCCAAAATGGTCTTTATGGGTTGTCCTGAGAATTTATACACCTTATACCATTGTATAACTTTGTCCCCTGCCCTGCAAAAAAATTGCACCAAAATCTAAGCCCACTTTATTCTTTGTTCATTCTAAGATTTAGTGCACAGTTGTAATTAAAATCTAAATTTCGTTAAATAAAACAGAAAAACTAATTTAGAAATAAATCCAGCTGGGTTTTGTTTTAAAATTGAAAGGCTGATTCTGAAATTTATATAGATATACAAGAGACCTAGAATAATCAAACGATCTTGAAATAGAACAAAATTGGAGGATTCACACTCCCTGCTTTCAAAGCCTACTACAAAGCCACATTACACAAAACAGTGTGGTATTGACAGTTCCACAGAACTATGGAATAGGATTGAGAGTCCCAAAATAAACCCTAATATTTATAATCAATTGATTTTTTTTTTTTTTAATAAGGGCACCAAGACAGTTCAATGGGGAAAGAATATTTTTCAACAAATAGTGCCTGGGAGAACTGGATAGCCACATGCAAAAGAATTAGGGTAGACCCTTACTGTATTAGGGTTCTCCAGAGGGACAGAACTAATAGGATATATGTATATATGAAAGGGAGGTTATTAGGGAGAATTGACTCACATTATTAACAAGGCAAAGTCACACGATAGGCCATCTGCAGGCTGGGGAAGAAAGAAGCCAGTAGCAGCTGAGTCTGAGTCTAAAAGCCTCAAAAGAAGGAAGCCAACAGTGCAGCCTTCAGTCTGTGGCCAAACTGACTATCAGAGGGCCCCTGGCCAAACACTTATGTAAATCCCAGAGTGCAAAGGCTGAAGAACTTGGAGTCTGATTTCCAAGGGCAGGAGGAACGGAAGGAAGCATCCAGCACGGGATAAAAATGAAAGCCAAGAGACTCAGCAAGCAAGGTTATCCCACCTTCTTCCACCTGCCTCTTCTAGCCTGCTGGCAGCTGATTGGATGTGCTCACCCACATTAGGGTGGGCCTTCCTCTCCCAGTTCACAGACTCAAATGTCAGTCTCCTCTGGCAACACCCTCATAGACACACCCAGAAACAATACTGAGCAGCCATCTAGGCCTCCTTTGATCCAATTGAGTTGACACCTAATATTTGTGGGGTTTTGTTGTTGTTTTGAGATGGAGTCTTACTCTGTTGCCCAGGCTGGAGTGCAGTGGTTCAATCTCGTCTCACTGCAACCTCTGCCTCCTGGGTTCAAGTGATTCTCCTGTCTCAGCCTCCCGAGTAGCTGGGACTACAGGTGCCCACCACCACGCCTGGCTAATTTTTTGTATTTTTAGTAGAGATGGGGGTTTCACCATGTTAGCCAGGATGGTCTCGATCTCCTGACCTTGTGATCCACCTGCCTTGGCCTCCCAAAGTGCTGGGATTGCAGGCGTGAGCCACCGTGCCCGGCCTGAGTTGACACCTAATATTAACCATCACACTTACCTAGTACCATATACAGAGATTCACCGAAAATCAACCATAGACCATAAACATTAGACCTAAAGCTATAAAACCTCTAAAAGACAACATAGGAATAAATCTTCATGACCTTAGGTTAAGCATTGGTTTCTTAGATTTGACACCAGTAAAGCACAAGCCACAAAAGAGAAAATAGGTGAATTATCAAAATCAAAAAGATCTGTGCTTCAAACAACACCATCAAGACAATGAAAGACAGAGAATAGGGACAAAAATTTGCAAATGATGTATTTGACAAAGGACTTGTATCCAGAATACGTAAAGAACTCTTACAACCCAGTAAAAAGAAATGGCCCAATTTTTTAAGTGAGCAGAGGATTTGAATAGACATTTTCCCAAAGAAAACATACAAGTGGTCAATAAACATGTGAGAAGATGCTTAGAATTCCTAGTCATTAGCAAAATGCAATCAAAACGAGAAATGAAGTATCACTTAATACCCACTAAGATGGCTGTGAGTTTTAAAAAAACAGAAAATAACAGGTGTTGGTGAGGATGTGGGGAAATTGGAACCCTGATGCATTGCTGGAGGGTATGTGAAATGGTACAGCCGCTATGGAAAATAATTTGGCAGTTTCTCAATAAGCCAAACATAGAATTACTGCATGACCCAGCAGTTCCACTTCTGGATATACACTAGAAAAGTTGAAGCAGATTTTCAAACAAAAACTTGTTCACAAGTGTTCACAGCAGTGTTATTCACAATAGACAAAAAAGTGGGAATCACCCAAATGTCTGATGGGTCGATAAACAAAATCTGGTATATCTGTAAAATGAAATATTATTTGGCAGTGAAAAGGAATGGAGTTACTGCTACATGCTATATCCAGATGGGTGAACCTTGAAAACATTATGCTAAGTGAAAGAAGCCAGTCACAGAAGCCCACAGATGTGTGATTCTATCTATGTGAAATGTCTAGGACAGGCAGATCTATAGAGAGAAAGTAGAGCCTGCTTTCCAGGGGATTAGCTGAGATACTGAATGTTAAAGTTCCCAGTATGTGCCTAGGGTGTAACATGCAGTAATACTAGTTTTCCCCTCCTGTGTTATGTTGTGTTTTTGGTATTTGAAGGGGTATAGTTAGGATTTTATAGTCCCGTAGTCCCCAGTGGTGGTTTTTACCCATTCCTTTGTTTTTCACCCTTTCCTTCCTTCATCTTCTTAGTGTCCAAGCCCCTGGTGGTGTAATTCTCTAGTCAGATGCTCTCCTCTCCCTGACCAGTCCTGCTTTTGCCTCCAGGCTCTCAAAAGCCTTGAGCTCAGGCTGGCTGGGTTATTATGTTTAAGGTTCTGCGTGGGCAGAAATTAGGCCACCTATGTGTTTTAATGTTTAAGTCCAGACTCAGGAATACTGATTTGTTGTTAACCTGATTCATTGTTAACTGATTCATTGTTAAGTGATCAGTATTATCAACACTAAATTATTTGATAAAGCTAAGGCTCTTAATATTGGTAATTGTTATAAAATGCTGTTTTTAAACATTACAGTTTTCTCATGATTGAGCTTTTTACAGGTTGTACACATGCAGGGTGTTTATCACTGAGCTATGTGCCCAGGGTCACTGGCTGACTGACATTTGGAAGCTAATCATAATGCGAGCTGCCACTGTGGAGCGTCTGGCGCTTGTCTTGTTCTGCCTCCTGTAGCCGCCGCCCCCCTCACTGTTGTCAGTCCTCTACAGCTCCTGGCCGCTGTGAGGCCCTTGTCCTGGTACTGCTTGGCCAGCAGAGGGTTCCATAAGCACACAAGGGAAGACAATTGCGGGTCTGTGGTTGGACCTTCCTCGTGTAGGTGTTGTGCTTCACAGCTTTAGTGCTTTCTGATAACATTTCCCCCCACAGTAAAGCATTTATTGTACATTTTAAGAAATATGTTATATAAAGCCTTAAGCAAAAATGTGTTTTGGATCTGGTATAGTAACCCGCTAGAAATGAAATTGTCCAAATTCTTTCAATTAATGGCAAAACTAGCCAGTGCAAAAGCATTTGTTCCTTTAATTTTTTTCATACCAAATCTTTGAACTGGTGATCTAGCTAACACTGTGTTTAATGATCAGTGTCTAAATTTCTCTTCTGTATGTATTTCGTAGGTCTCCATCACATTTTTGCCCAGAGGTAGGGGGGATTATGCCCAGTTTTGGGATGTTGAATGTCACCCTCTTAAGGAGCCTCACATGAAACACACGTTGAGATTCCAACTCTCTGGACAAGTGAGTAGTACACTGAATTTAAGTAAATTATTGTATGTATTTTAAAAACAGAAAGGGAAATTAATAAGAAAAGTTGGCCTGAAAATGCAGAATATAGCCCCATAATCTTAATTTTCTTGTTTGTCTTTATTAATTGGCATGTTTGAGGACTGGATTTGGCTGTATTGTTCATACAGCCCATGAAACCCATGTTTGACTTAGTTATATAAGAAACTCTGTGCGTGTGCATCATGTATGCACATGGGCACATGAGAGAGAGGAACCAGGCAGGACAGAGTACAGAGCTTGCAATTTAGGGGATTTAAAAATCTTAAATTGCCTTTTAAAAATTTTTAAAGGAAATGATAGAATTCAAATAAGTAAATGTCCATATATTTTCTTAGTTTTTATTTCTTCTCCGTTACCCTGTGATTTTTCTGTATAGAGCATCGAAGCAGAAAATGAGCCTGAAAACGCATGCCTTTCCACGGATTCCCTCATTAAAATAGATCATTTAGTTAAGCCCCGAAGACAAGCTGTGTCAGAGGCTTCTGCTCGCATACCTGAGTATGTTGTTTTTGTCATTCTTATGAGTTTTTTCCCAGTACTTTATTGAGGAATAGAGTCAGTAAAATGCTCGATGACTTTACCTGAGTTCACATGTGTTACCAGCACTCCAACCAAGATACAGAATATTCCTCTCGCCCAGAAAGTTCTTACGTGTCCCTTTGCAGTCAAGATTTGTCCTGTTCTGATTTCTGTCATCATAGATTCATTTTGCTTGAACTTCATATATATACATATGTATGTATATATTCTTTGTGTCTGGCTTCTTTTTCTCAACATACTATTTTTAAAAATCCATTCATGTTATTGAATGTACCTATAGTTCATTCCTTTTTATTGTTTAGTATTCCATTAAATGAACGTATCACAGTTTATTCATTTTCCTGTTGACTTTTGGATGTCTTATAATTTGGAATGATTATTAATTAAGGTGCTATGAATATTACTGTATGTGCATTTCTAAAGATGACATACATTTTCGTTACTTTTTAGTAAAAATACCTACTTTTACCCACAATTGCGAGGTCACATGATAACCATGTGTTGAACTTTAAAATAAACTGCCAAATAGTTTTCCCTAAATAGTTGTACCATTTTATGTTCCCATAAGCAGCATATGAAAGTAGATTCTTAAAAAGCTTTAAAATGTAAAACTTATACCAGCCGCATATATAGCTTTAATGAGAATATTATTTAGTATTCTACCTTATGAAAATATTTCTTATAATCCTTAATTAACTAGTAATTAGGTCTAATTAAGTTCTTGAGGAGGATGCCTGGAAGGACAATATATGTTAAATATCTGCTGAATTTAATATAAATTTAGTCATTTATTTTTTAATGGGAGCCAATAATGCATTTGGAAGAAATTAGAGCCCTTTAATGAATGCATGTTCTTGGCACACTCCCTCCAGGCTGTTATCCCTTGCTTCTCTCTTGCTCTCTGAGCCCCGCGCCTCCACAGCTCCCTTCTGGAGACACAGCCTCGCCAACCCAGAGCCCACACGGGCTGCGGGGAAACAAACGAGAAACTGGGAGAAGTGACAGAGGCAGCTTGGTCTGTGAAACCTGGGAAGGAGTTCCCTGAAAGGGGACATTTAAGTTGAGGAGGATGAGTGGAAACGGCCTAGGTGAGGAGGGTCGGAGAAGTTCCCAGGAGAAGTTCAGTGTGAAAGGGGAGTGGTGGGGGGCAAGGCCAGAGCTGGGCCTAGGAGGTGTTTGCTTTTCTGGAGAGCTGGGAAGCCAGGGAGTGACATGATCAGGTATGCGTGTGTAGGACAATCCCCTAGCTGTGGTATGACTGATAAGAAGGAGGTGAGGAGGGGCTATTTTAAAGGAGTCCAGGAGTAAAATAGTGTCAAGGAATAGGAAGAGAACAGGCAGACTGGAGATAGGAGGGCCTCTGCAATGGACTGGATAAAGGGGATGGCTGTGAGAGGGTCGGCTCCCAGATACCATTCAGCAAACACAAGTGGAGGATCAGGTTTGAGGACAAAAATCACAAGTTCATTTTTGTATTTGTGGAGACTGAAGGTGTTTGAGCTATCCTGAGGGACCATTGTGTAGTGACTGAATAGATAGGGCTGCTGGGGGGTGCCGAGCTAGGTGTGAGGGGAAGGTCAGATGTGCAGAGAGTTGGGGGTGGAGGGGAGCCTGCAGAGACCCGGGAGTGGCCGGAGAAAGGGGAGGCAGCTGTGCAGGGTTTGGGAAGCCCAGGCAAGAGCCAGTGCCACCACCAGCAAACATTGCCTGGAGGCCACACCTGCATCAGGCACTTGGAGCAGCCTGTGTCCCTGTGATAGTGAAGTACAGTCGGTACTGCAGCGTGACGGGGCCAAGCGAAATGAACTGAGGTAAAGGGCCACCTTCATACAAACTGGGCTTCTGGCAGGTAGAGACCCAGGCTGTGAGGAGAGTGAGGCCTATCCAGCACCCTTTATGAGAGGATTCCTGCTGTCATCCTCTTCACATAAATTAGATAAGTCGTCATTACAAAACTTATATTTGAAAATAAATCACCAGGAAAACATAAATTAATGCAATACTACATAATTTTAATATATAAAAACAGTTTAAGTTACTGTGGATTTCAGATTCTTAACTTTTACACCTATTCCCAAAGCAGGCAGCTTGATGTGACTGCTCGTGGAGTTTATGCCCCAGAGGATGTGTACAGGTTCCGGCCGACTAGTGTGGGGGAATCACGGACACTTAAAGTCAATCTGCGAAATAATTCTTTTATTACACACTCAGTAAGTTGGAAATATTACTATGGGTTTTGGAAAAATACATGCATTCAACTCTGATAACAAACATTTTCCTGATGATTCTGTAGACTATATTTAAGTTGTAAGAATGAGGTAATTTTTCTTTTTTTGGAGATGGAGTCTCGCTGTCGCCCAGGCTGAAGTGCAGTGGTGCGATCTCGGCTCACTGCAAGCTCCACCTCCCGGGTTCATGCCATTCTCCTGCCTCAGCCTCCTGAGTAGCTGGGACTACAGGTGCCCGCCACCACGCCTGGCTAATTTTTTGTATTTTTAGTAGAGACGGGGTTTCACCGTGTTAGCCAGGATAGTCTTGATTTCCTGACCTCATGATCTGCCTGCCTCGGCCTCCCAAAGTGCTGGGATTACAGGCGTGTGCCACCACGCCCGGCCATAATGAAGTAATTTTTAAAAATGCAATATAAGGCCAGGTGCAGTGACTCACACCTGTAATTCAGGACTTTGGGAGGCCAAGGCAGGAGGATTGTTTGAGCCCAGGAGTTTGAGACCAACCTGGGCAATATAGTGAGACTCCATCTCTACCAAAAAAAAAAAAAAATTAACCGGGCATGGTGGCAGGTACCTGTAGTTCCAGCTACTTGTGGGGGCTGAGCTGAGAGGATCGCTTTAGGCTGGGAGGTTGAGGCTGCAGTGAGCCATGATTGTGCCACTGCACTTCAGCCAGGGTGACAGAGCAAGACCCTGCCCCCATCCGCCCAGAAATTCCTTAGTATTTTATTTGAACATAAACTCACTGGAAGTTTATAACCCTTTACTTGAAAATCAAAAATTTGTTTTATATTTTAATTTTTAACTTTTTCTTTTTCTTCTGTACTATTATACACACATATTTCTGGACAACCTTTACTTTAGTTAAAACTAGATTAAATTCATGTTAAAATTTTCTTAAATATGTTTTCATTACATTAGCATTTATTGTACTACCTAATTTTGTGGCAATACCTAAATTTACAAAATGTATCTGTAATAAATAAATGCTTGGTATGCTTATATATGCTAAAAGATCTAATTTTCATAACTTTATAAAGTGTCTTCTATTAAATTCCAGCTGAAGTTTTTGAGTCCCAGAGAGCCATTCTATGTCAAACATTCCAAGTACTCTTTGAGGTAAGTTTATCGCAGATCACAGTGTTCTCATCAGCGATGCAGGACTTTCGTCTCTTGGGAGTTGGGGCTTGTGAGGTCTCCTCTGCTGCAGGTCCTCCATATTCCTCACCAGCACCAAACAGCATTAGGCAGAGTCTCCGCAAGTAGAAGCAGAGAAAAGGAGCCTGCAGGGGGACAGCTCCTGACCGTCCGTGGTGCACTCAGCGGTGCCACAGTGCACAGCATTTGGGCTGGTGTGACTCCTCCCACCCAGGATTTGCAGCCACATAAATCTTAGAGCTGTAATTATCTTAAGATTGACTTTTAGAGTAGTTCCTCTTTCAAATGTTATTTGCACTGGTATGCTGAGAGTCAAGGACTTAGATTTTCATTAACTGGGACAAAAACCTTTCCGAGTTAATTGGGAAAACTTTTATTGTGGTGTTTTCCAGTTGCCATTCTTTAGACACTCCTTACTGTTCTTAATCAGGGCCTCATTTTCTTGTCGCTCTTGCTAATTTTCTTTTCTATATGATGCACATTTAGGTTGAACCTCGAACTGGGTTGTCACTGTTATTTAGAACTTAATAGTTAGGGTTCTGTTGGGCTTAATGCTGAAGAATAATTTTAATTTCATCTTTGAATCTTTAAGTCATTTAATTATTGTAAAGTCTCTCATTTTAGCATTAGGAGACTATTCCAGAAACGTGTTCTATTCTATGAAAATTTGGACCACTCTGCAAACATTCTAGGCCTGCCATTTATGCACTTACTAAGACCAGCGGTGCTGTACAGTTGAAGCTCACAGCCCTGGATACTGGAAAGATGGCTCGATTGAGGACTGTTCCTTCCACCTTACTCTTTCTTTTTATTCGTTTATCTCTCACACCACCTCTTCCTTCTCCTATGGACTATAAAATGTTTTAATATGCTTGAGGGCTAAACCCTTCCTTTCCCTCCCAGGAGACTGACCTAAAGGCACAAACTATAGATTTTAGTTCTGAAAATTCAACAATGAATACATCTAAAAATTATCATAAACTTGATAAACTCTTTGGCCTCAATTTCCTTATTTGTAAAATGGAGATGCCAGTGCTAGCTACTGACAGCATAGAATTGTGAGGAATGTAAGAGACGTGGTAATAATGCCCAGACATAGCAAGCGTCAGGTGTTAACATCATCATCATCATCATCATTAAATCTCCCCTGTAGGTGACCTTGGCTGGCAGGATGCATCAACACTCACTCTACAGATTTTGATAGAACCTCATTTTATTATCAGTGTGTCTTCATTTAATCCCTATGACAACTACATAGAAGAGAAAGGCCCAAGTTTAAAAATCAGCCAAATCCAAGTTTTCCAACTTCTGTTCTCCAAGTTCTCCTCTCATAGTAGTCTGTGGATCTCCAGTTATTGTAGGCTGCCCCAATTGATTTGAGACTAGTGATGCTCTAGTGTGCGTAATAATAGGTTGGAACTACTAAAATACATGGTAGCACAACTGCAGAGGCAATTAGTTTATTCAGAAAAAGATCATTTAAATTTCTAATTGTTGTAACTGTTTTTAGTAACTGAGTACAAATAGATACTGAATAAATTATCCTGAACACTGTTATTATCTAAACTCAAATTTTATCATAACTGCATTATTCATTCTGCTTCCTCAGATTGGTTCACATCCCACATCTTCACCAGCTTTTTGCAGGGTATATTTTTAAACATGCAGTGGATCAATGGAATACTTCTGTTCAAACTGGCATACATCTGTCACAAATTGGAGGGACTTTAGATTTTTATTTCAAGGAGCTCTTCTTACCTTAAAAAATATATTTTTTAGGCTGGGTGTGGTGGCTCACACCTGTAATCCCAGCACTTTGGGAGGCCGAGGTGGGCGGATCATGTGAGGTCAGGAGTTTGGACCAGCCTGGCCAACATTATGAAACCCCATCTCCACTAAAACTGCAAAAATTAGCCACGCATGGTGGCAGGCGCCTGTAATCCCAGCTACTTGGGAGACTGAGGCAGGAGAATCCCTTGAACCTGGGAGGCAGTTGTAGTGAGCTGAGATCACACCACTGTACTCCAGCCTGGGCAACAAGAGTGAAATTCTGTCTCAAAAATAAATAAGTAAATAAATAAAATATTTTTAAAAGCTTCTAAACAAAGTTTCATTTAAAAAAATTATCTTGAAGAGTCTAGTACCAACTTTAAAAAAACAATATTTACCTATACCTCATCCTCATCTGTAGTTTTGATAAAGCATCATTATTTAAAATAAACGTGTCAAATTATGGCTTTATGTCACTGTTCTCCATTTTATGGCTAGGTATGAGGCAGTCAAAACTTTCCTGCAGTTAAACAGTCATTTTCCAACTTTCATTATTGAATACGTTGTCATTTCAAATTCTTTTTTGATGTTATATTCTTTGCTTAATTTGCCTTCACAGATTTTTTTTAAAGAATTGCATTTCTGCCAAAATTTGTGGGCCAATTCAGATTTGACTCTTTCCAGAGAAAGAACCTAAACCTATTTCATCACAATAGTGCTACAGATGGCAGAGTCTATTTCTGATATGGAGTGTAGGGACAAGACCAACTGAGTGGAAATCAGATAAGGGGATTTTTGAAAGATGCCTAAAACATTTTTAATGAGAAACTCAAATTTTATAAATGAGATGACATTTTGCTTAGCTTCAACTTGTGTTCTATAAACCACTTTTGAGATATGAAATGTGTTCCTTGCTGGTCATGTAAAAGTAGACATTTTTGTGGACGTTAACTTGTAGACTTGCCGCTCCAGTGCTTGAAATTAAGAGTCATAAATTACAGCCCTGCATTCCTGTGCAGCCTGTGTCACATTAATGGCATCTGAAGGAACTTAGAAACGTGAGAAAATATTTTTAAATTAAGCAAAATTTGGACAGTTCAATTAAGTTAGCATTTAAAATAGTATTGCAAGGTGCATAGTTTATACTCTGAACATATTTAAATCTTTTAAAACTTTAATGCTTTGAAGATAAATTTGAATGAAATAATTTTATACTCTATTAGTGGCGGACACTTAAGTTATTCTGATTATGGTGAGTTTCCAGAAAGTCTGCATCGATATTAACTATCACTATAGGACTACAGGGTAAATGCATAATAGTACTGATTTCAGCAATAGCTTTAATAGCAGCAGTTCATTGTAAATTTGGTAAAGTATGAGTAAGAAAATCATGTGTATAAAGCACTAATTCTGTGATCTGTTTAACTAAATGAACTAAACTCTGGGTTATAGGAAACTTTATTTTACGCAAAGAAAGGTGGAAACACTGGCTCCTTTGTAACAGAGAATGACCTGTGTTGACCTTGGAGAAGCAGCAGGACAGTAGAGGCAGATACCACAGGAACCCCAGTGACAGTTCTTACCACAGAACTGAAGTCATGGGGACTTACGGCATTGTGTGCTATTGTATTTGTCCCAGACACGAGACACTGTGACTTTAGACAAAGGTTCACAATACATAATTGCCAGATGAGAGCAGCAGTTAGCTTGCCTTGGCAGTGCAACAAAATCTGTGTTCTTAAAGCCCTGAGAAGCAATTCCCAGCCTTTAGTTAATCACATTTTTCATTTGTTAGATCACTGTGTGCTCTATGACACCATTAACTACACATTTCCAAAGCAATAATAGGATTGTAGTCATCTGTAGGGTACAGGAGATGATTACTTACAAATATGCACTTTTTCCAAGGCCACCGGAAGGCCTGGTGGGGCTGCTCTCCGAAAGCTCCAGCACTAGCACAGGAAAGTGGCTGCTCCTTACAGGCTGTAAGCTGATTCTAGCTTAAGGAGGCAGAAGAGTTCCCCCAAGAAGGTACAGGGGTTTTGCTCAGTGCAGAGGTGGGTGAACACGAATGTATGATAGATTATAAGTAAGGTTATAGGGAAAAGGAAACATTACTAACAGGTTTTCTTGTAAAGGTTCTTTTTTGAGGGTTCTGAGAGATCATCTCTTTCTTATATCTTTTTTAAAAGAATTTATGTTTCTACTTAGTCCCCAAAAGCATCTTTCTCTTAACCTATTATTTTATGACCATCTAACCCCAGCTGAGGTGTTGTAGCTAATAGGTTCCACCTCAACTGTGCCCTCATGTCCTTGCACAGTGCAAGGTGCACAATCCTGGCAGACCCTGCATGTCATTTGGGAGAGAAGGACAGTTCCTAGAAAAGTGACAAGCCAAGGAATAGAGTTATCATTGAGCTGCAGTGACTTCTCACCCATGTGTGGGAACAAATTTTATTACCTTTTTCAGTTTCTTTGATAATGGTGGTACCTTGTATGTGCTAGTGTACTGGCTTTTTTTCTGTGGAAACTGTTCCTTTAAAAAAATGTTTTGGGCCGGGCATGGTGGCCCATGCCTGTGATCCCAACATTTTGGGAGGCCAAGACGGGCGGGTCATCTGAGGTCAGGAGTTCAAGATCAGCCTGGCCAACATGTGAAACCCTGTCTCTACTAAAAATGCAAAAAGCAGGCCAGGCGCGGTGGCTCATGCCTGTAATCCCAGCACTTTGGGAGGCGGAGGCGGGTGAATCACGAGGTCAAGAGATCAAGACCATCCTGGCCAACATGGTGAAACCCCGTCTCTACTAAAAATACAAAAATTAGCTGGGCAAGGTGGCGCATGTCTGTAATCCTAGCTACTCAGGAGGCTGAGGCAGAAGAATCGCTTGAACTTGGGAGGCACAGGTTGCAGTGAGCCGAGATCGTGCCACTGCACTCCAGCCTGGCAAAAGAGCGAGACACCGTCTCAAAAAAACAAAGTAGCCGGGCCTGGTGGCATATGCCTGTAGTCCCAGCTACTCAGGAGGTTGAGGCAGGAGAATGGCTTGAACCAGGGAAACAGAGGTTGCAGTGAGCTGAGATCGTGCCACTGCACTCCAGCTTGGGCGACAGAGCGAGAATCCGTCTGAAAAAAAAAAATGTTTTGAAAGGAAGGAAGGAAGTGTGGTTGCTAGAATTTGTAGGTTCCACTAAGCCCTTTCCATGTAGATGGGGCCTGCAGGGAGTTGGGGGCTGAGTGTGCACAGCCTGATGGCCTCTCTGCTCCCTAGATGCATTTCTGCTCTGCGTGCCTTTGCAATTACATCTATCATTAGCTAGAGAGAGGATCTGAACTAGACCTCCCCACTGGGTTCAGAGGACTTTCCTGCTACCTTTTCCCGTGTGTGTGTGTGTGTGTGTGTGTGTGTAGAGATTAAATTAGTTCTCAATAATAGTATTACAAAGTACTTTTTAAAATATATCCATCTTGCTGGGAGTGTTCTATAGCTGTATTAAATGTTGTGGTTCTTTCTAAATTGCATTCCATTTTATTCAGTGTATCTGTAAATCTAAAGCAGATGATATATTTTTAATCACAATATACTTAAATTTTCAGGTTAATATAGAACAATTCTATATTCTGTGATGAAATTTATTAATAATGAGTTCTTCCAGAGATTTTTTTGGGGCTATTTTATTATTTTTACTAATTCATAAGTTATAAAGCCTCTTAAATAGGCAAATGGTACTATATTTATCCAAGTATTGACCACCAACATGCAAGAGAAAATTGTAGCTAATGCCATGGGCCAGGTTAGATTTTTTTTAAAAAGTACATTATCTTTGACATGGTAAAACAAATGTAATGCATTTGGGGAAAATAACCCAGACTTTAAATAAAAACATATAGAGATACACATACACACCTTTGCTCTATATAGATATATTTAAGAACATACACTATTTGTGTTATCAGTTATATCCAGGAAAAGGGCTTTGAAATACTGAAGCTGTTTTCTAAACCTCATGCCCGGTGTACTCTTGTGCACCCAAGAGCGACACTGCTGGGATTTTCAGGACAGATGCTGGAAACCGAAACGTACATCACTTCTGGTTGCCAGTCTTTAAAACACACAGCTCTGAGACGAGACTAAGGGGTGAAGTACCTTCCCTGTGAGCTCAGAACTTTCACTTAAAAACGCCTAAGCCTAGACGTTGATGACATCACATGGGCTGTGTGTAATGTGTTTGTAGCCTCATTCACACTGTGAATAACTTGTTAAATTGCATATTTTGAGGTGTATTTTGAAGCTCTTAGGACATAGTTTTAGGGACAAAAACAAACCCCCTAGAATACTGTTTTTAACCATAGGGCACTTGTTACCTGCCTCTATATACTGTAATCTGAAAGTAAAGTTTCTAGAATATTTTTGATGAAAGTTTCCGGCCGGGCATGGTGGCTCATGCCTGTAATCCTAGCACTTTGGGAAGCCAAGGCGGGTGGATCACTTTAGGCCAGGAGTTTGAGATTAGCCTGGCCGACATGGTGAAACCCCGCCTCTACTAAAAATACAAAAATTAGCTGGGTGCGGTGATGGGCGCCTGTAATCCCAGCTACTCAGGAGGCTGAGGCAGGAGAATTGCTTGAATCTGGGAGGTAGAAGTTGCAGTGAGTCAAGATCATGCCATTACACCCCAGCCTGGGCTACAAGAGTGAAACTCCGTCTCAAAAAAAAAAGGATCATATGAATTTTAGAGCAAAAACTGCACAGCCCATTAATGATAGGGTTGGGACAAGTTGTTTTAATCTTTCCAGTGCAATATGCTGTCTGGACTGAGTAAAACGGGCATTTAGGGTGTTCCCGAACCCTTTCTTAGGTAGATAGTTTTTGCAGGCAGTATACAAAGCTGTATGTATGATAGTTTAGACCTCTTATTTTCCTTTTTATATATTAATAGTTACTGGATAGCCAGGAATACATACGTATGCAATACTGTTTTAATCCAATTTTACGTTTTTCTCTCCTTTGTGTTATTTTCTCATTAAATAATAGCATCCAAGAAATCATAAATACATTTAAGCTGAATGTGGCTTGACCGAGCTCTTTCCTCAACACCTGAGCCAGGCACTGTGCTGCCTGGGACAGGGTCACGGGTGCTGTCATGACATGCTGCTGTCATGTGCCTCTCTCTTTCCAGAGCCCAGCATTACATCAACATGCCCGTGCAGTTCAAACCGAAGTCCGCAGGCAAATTTGAAGCTTTGCTTGTCATTCAAACAGATGAAGGCAAGAGTATTGCTATTCGACTAATTGGTGAAGCTCTTGGAAAAAATTAACTAGAATACATTTTTGTGTAAAGTAAATTACATAAGTTGTATTTTGTTAACTTTATCTTTCTACACTACAATTATGCTTTTGTATATATATTTTGTATGATGGATATCTATAATTGTAGATTTTGTTTTTACAAGCTAATACTGAAGACTCGACTGAAATATTATGTATCTAGCCCATAGTATTGTACTTAACTTTTACAGGTGAGAAGAGAGTTCTGTGTTTGCATTGATTATGATATTCTGAATAAATATGGAATATATTTTAATGTGGTATATCCAGAAATTTTTCAGTGAGCTTGTCTTTTTCTATGCTGTCATACAGAAATTAGAATATCACTTTATTCTGTTAAGTATTTTCCAGCTTCTGGGTCTGTTCTGTGATTTTTATCCTCCATCACACAGTTTCCTTTCTCCTCAGAAATTCCTTCTCTGTTCCTCTGTCGTTTAGCCAGTTGCCCAGAGTAGAAAGGACAACTTACTTTTCAAGCAGCTGGTTATTTTACTGAGGGGAAGTCTTCATAGTCTGTGCAAACACAGTGAAGGAGGTTCCCACGTTGTTATCTTGAGTCTTTACCTCTCCTCTGAGCTCACATACTCTATGTAAAGCTAGACAGAACAACTGCTGCAGAAGCTGGTACAGATGGGGTAGGTTCCAGCAGGATACAGGGAGGGAAACAGCAGGCCCCGAGAGCAGTCTGTGGTAGGCTTGAGGTCAAGGTGGTGACACAGTTTTACCCGGGAGGAACGTAGTTATTTATTGCCCTTCTCTCCATTATTAGAGAGTCTCCTGATGAAGCTTTGTGACCCCCAGCTCATTGCCTTTGACTTTGAAGCAACAAAATCCCAGATTGTGTAGTAGCTCAGGGATGATCACAATTGGATATTATGTGGAGTGGAAAGACCTCAGGGCTTGTAGAAAGCTGGCCGGAGGACTTAAACTAATTACAGTTTAAGAGCAATGATTGTGAGCTTGATAGAAAAACAGATCCCTTTTTTCTTCTTCCACTTCACTTTACTTTTGCCAAGTAATTTTTGCTTAGAAATCAAATTTGTAAAAACATTTTTTTCACAAGTTAAACAGGTGGTACTTTTACTGATACTGCTTGACTTCTGTTCTAGATTTTGTGCATCAAATATGAGATGACCTCATGCTTGAATTTGTACTTATTTTTCAACAGTCAGCCTTAAACATTTTAAAACCATGCTATTGCTTTTTAAGACTGTTTGCCATGGTCTTAAGTGTTTGCCAAGGTCAGTTTCTAGCAGTCATAATAGTTTCAATTCTGTGCAACTGTTACTTTGCCTTTCAGTTTATACTCAGAAGGTCAAAAAACAGGGTTAAATGATAAAACTGTAAAGGTGACTCTTATTTATTTATTTATTTTGAGACAGAGTCTACCTCTGTCACCCAGGCTGGAGTGCAGTGGCACAATCTCGGCTCACTATGACCTCCACCTGGGATTCAAATGATTCTCCTGTCTGAGCCTCCCGAGTAGCTGGGATTACAGGCGCCCACTGCTATGCCAGCTAATTTTTGTGTTTTTAGTAGAGACGGGATTTCGCCATGTTGGCCAGGCTGGCCTTCAACTCCTGACCTCAGGTGATCTGCCCGCCTTTGCCTCACAAAGTGCTGGGATTACAGGCATGAGCCACCATGCCTGGCCAAAGGTGACTCTTCTTTAAAAGTGACTTTTAGGGATCTGCAGTTTGTCCTGTGCCTCCATGATTTGGAAACATGATGCTTGGCATTTTAAGAGCACGTGGATATGAACAAATGATTTGTGCAACCGGTCGCCACTCCTAAAGCAAATGCAGACTACGCTGCCTTCAAGACAGCTGCCAACGTGAAAGAGCAGTGCCCAGGGAAGGTTGCAGCAGAAGCTTGGCTTTAGCAAGGCTTCTATCGGAAATCTGTCTCTGTTCTTTCCCATCCCTTCCCACATTGATGTATTGAGTCTCCACCTCTCTTCTGAGCTCCTGACTCTTGGGTCCAGCCAGATGTTTCCATTTGATTATCATGTAGGCGGCTCAAACTTCTGATTTCCCTCCCTGCCTCACGGGCTTCGCCTTGCTTTCCTCATTCTACCAACCCATTTCCTCACCCTCAAGCCCTCATGTTGTTCCCTCTAAATTGTGCCTCTAACAAATCCTCATCCGTCCGTCTCAGCGGTGGCCACAGCAGCCTGAGCTCAGTCATCTCTAAGGCCACTGCAGTCGTCTCCTCACCAGACCACCTGCTTGCTCTTAGCTCCAGAGCTTTCTCTCCACAGAAGACAGAGTTACCTTTTGAAAGAGGTAACTGCTCATATGTGAGGACAGTCGCTTGCACGTGGCATAAAGCCCAGATTCCTCCCTGTGGTCTAGAGGTCCTCAACCCCGGCCACTGCCGTCCTCCCTGAGCTCCAGCTGAGTGGCCTCCCTGCTCTTCCAGCCAGCTCGGTGCTCATGTCTCAGGTTCTTCCCCAGGCTTTGGTGTGGCCAGCTCTGCTTCTTAGAGAGGCTCTCCTGCCCCATCCAAGGCAAACTCCTCCTCCGCACATCACACTGTCCATTGTGATATGGCCCTCATGTCTGCCGCATGTGTTCCTGCTTGTTTGCTCTCCCTCCCGTGGAATGTGAGCTCTGCATGACAGGACACCTGGCTGGCCCTGCTCACCCGCATCCCCAGCACCCGGACAGCCTCGCGTGGCCTGCAGGAGTGTGACTGACCGCCCAGTGGCTCCGGTGCGTTTGCCACACTCTCCTGTTTTGGAAGGCTGTCTGCTCACCGCCCTGCTGCAGATGCCCAGCTGTTTCTCCCCACTCCCAGTAAACACTGTCTTAGGAGAGCCTCCACTCTTGCCCCAAGATTTCTTACCGGTTTCTTATGCGTCTCCAGGACATACTTCCTAGTAGTAACAGCTAAATGTTTACTGGTACCTCCCATGTGCCAAGCGGTGTCCTAAGTGCTCTGTGTCTGCTGTGGTACTTAATTCTCAACAGCTTTATAGAGATTGGGCTTTTTATGACGGAGGGACCTGAGAGTGGAGAGGAGGGACAGAGCCCTTCCTCCTATGGTGGTCCGTCCACAGTGGCATCTGTGGACAGACAGACGGATTTATAGGGGGCTGGGGCTGGGGCTGGTATGGCCCATGGAGTTGATACTTGTATTACGTAAAGAAAGTAAGGCTCAGAGGGGTTAAGTAATTAACCAAAAGTCACACAGTTAAAAAGTTTGAGCTGGGATTCAAACCTTGTTTTTTTCTGACTTAGGTACCCAGTTACAGATGGCAGAAACTGTTCTTAGCGTACAGAAAATGTAATATTAGTATATGGCTGCTTTTAAAAGTTTGTGTTTGGTTGTAAAGCAGCCCTAAGATTGTAAATCAATGTGTCCTGCCAGCTGAGATTACTGGAGTCCACAAGAGTGAGGATGCTTCTCTTGTCAAGCAGGTAAGACATTCTGCAGGCAAAACTTAAAGTTCTGTAGAGCTCAGTGATGATGAGTGTGCATCATTACTGATTTAATGAGTCCAGAAACAAGACCGTGTAAGAGGGCATCTGTTTTTAGTTTTCAGTAAAGGTTGGGATGATTTTATATATGCAATACATAGATTTTATGGGGGACAGATTTCTGGGCAGAATTACACTGGGCAGAATTACACAAGTTCACAACTGTGAACTTGTTCTCTTTCTTAACTAACATTCCCCCTTTTCAATTCAGTATTAATTTTTTAAATTTTGATACTTAACATGATAGATTATTTTATAGAAGGTTGACGAAAGCCTTGCTCTAAAGAGAAAAACTATTTTCCCAGCCTTTTCCTGAATTAGATCATTTTTTAATATGTCTTTTTCATTAATGAAAACCCACTTGTCAGTTCTCTTAAAGGTGCATTTCCAGGCCACTGCACGTTTTTGCTACCCAACTCGGTTAGGATGTATGGGTTTCATATTGATGCTTCCTAAACTCTCAGAGCAGATTCACTTGGCATCTGATAAATTTTACTCACTCTTTAACTTTTATGCAAGTTTTTGGGTTTGCTAGTTGGCTTTTATTGAATTTCAAAATGCCACTTTGCGAACCCCACAAACACAGGCCCAGCTTCTTGTCGGTTCACCTGTCTGGTGTCACTGCCATACACACTTAGGACTCCTTGCTCCACACCTCCTTCTAGGTCCAAAAATCCCACAGGACCACTTTTGGGGAAATTGTTTGATACGAATTTATTTTTCTTTAAATAAGGATTAGTTTGTTGACTTGTTTTGTGTTTTTACACTATTTCCTGTATTACCTGAGCATGGATAGGAGAATGAACAGATAACTATAAAAATGTTCAGAGCAATGCCATTCTAAAAATAGTTCCTTTGTAAATAGGATTATTAGAGTAAGAAATAGGCAGATGCCTAGGCAGCTTCTAAGGGGGCCCACCATGGTCCCCACGTGGCCTTGTGCAGTCCTTCCCTCCAGCCCCTTGTTTCCAGCCAACAGAAGGCCTCCACATTGAGGGAAATTTCACCTGCCTGATCCCATCACAAAAGATTCCAACTCTTACCTGGCTACCAGACCCTCAATAAAGCAAGCTGCCATCCCAGGGAGGGCCACATGGCAAGGAATCAAGTGAGGCTGGAATTGACTGGCAGCTAGCTGCGAACTGAGGCTCCCAGCCCAGCAGGCCAGAAGGAAGTGGATCCTGCTGGCACCAAGTGAAGGCACTTGGAAGTAGGTCCTGCCTCAGTCGGGCCTCAGATGAGACCCCGTTTCGGGTGACACCACACCTGCAGCCTGAGAGCCCACAACAGAGGACCCAGCTAAGCTGTGCCCAGATTCCCAATCCCAGATGCTGGAAAATCCATGCTTGTTGTTTGAAGCCTTGGCGCCTGTGTAAATTCGTTCCATAGCATCAGATAACTAACACAGTGGGTGTTTAATTAAAGAGAAACATCACTGCAGATACAACCAGCTCTTTGAAATCAGCCACCTTGGTGGTAAATAGTTGCTTATAAAAGATTGAGACAAGCCAACAACTGTTGATGTTTTGTGATTAAAAACTCTTTTAACCTTTAATAAAACACACACTCCCATCTTTTGTTTCACTTTCACTATTTTTTTTTTTTTTTGAGACAGAGTTTTGCTTTTGTTGCCCAGGCTGGAGTGCAATGGTGCGATCTCAGCTCACTGCAATCTCTGCCTTCTGGTTTCAAGTGATTCTCCTGCCTCAGCCTCCCGAGTAGCTGGGATTACAGGCACCCACCACCACGCCCAGCTAATTTTTGTATTTTTAGTACAGACAGGGTTCCACCATGTTGGCCAGGCTGGATTCTGACCTCATGATCCGCCCACCTCAGCTGCCCAACGTGCTAGGATTACTAGGATTACAGGCGTGAGCCATCGCGCCTGGCCACATTTTTAATTTTATGCCTCGGTGTAAACGTAGGCGCACTGGTAAAAGATCCTGTAAGTTAAATACATGCCAATGTAAAGGAGTAGAAGGATTCGGAACTTGGGGAACAGTAAGGGAGATTATGGAAATGAAAGTAAACGTGACCCATCTGGTCTTTAAGAGATTCGCTTGTCAAGGTGGGAGAGGGGTGCAGTGAGGATGCTAACACCCCTCAAAAGAGAACCCGACTCTGGAGGCTGACAGCCAAGGCCTTGGGCTTTGGAGAGTGGCACTGAGTGAAGGTAGAGTTGAGCAAGTGAAGCCGCGGTTGGAGCCAGAATCCTCCCTGGTGTGTTCATGACAGTTCTCATCCTGCTGTGTCCTGTACCCACCCAGAAGATGCACAGGAGCACATGTCACTGGCGGGTAGGTTCTGTGAGCATGTTGGCATGGAGAGCCAGGCCAGGCAGCCCTCTTCCCAGTATGACTTAAGAGGGGGAAGGACTCCCCCAGCCCCATCCCCACTGGGTGCAGCCAGATTCTGCTTACGTTTTGGTTGCCCCATGAAATCGCCCTTCTGTCGAATCAGTGTGAGGAGAGGCGGTCATTTATGCCTTGCCGTGCACGAGACGCTGAGGCAGGGCAGGGAAGGAACGCACATCATCTGAGCAGACTCCCAGGGGCGTCCTCAGGATGTGTCCCACGTGGACAGAAAGGCTGCTGGGAGATCTGGGGAGGGTGCAGAGGCCAGGCCTTGCCATATCACAGTTTTGCAGAGGCCACCTCTGTCTGTGCGACGTGTACTTTTTCAGTCTTGGAAGTTGGTCTTCAGCAGCCACCCTGGCCCTGTCTTTATGGAAGTGTCTAGAGAGCTCCATGTGCTCTGCTGGTGGAGCCTGCTCGCCCTCGTCCTGTGTCTCTGCAGCCTCGTTTCCCCTCACTTGCTCCTCATGTCACATCCGCCCTCATACCCCTGGAGTGGGGCAGCTTCTTCCCAACTTGGGCCCCATCACCTCCTGTCTTCTACCAGGACACCTTCCCCAGCAGGAGGATGTCTCCTTCCTGCCTGCCAGGTCCTCAGGGAAGATGGCCCACCCACTAGTGAGGAACTGCTGGACGATTCTCTGTTGAGCGTCTGTTCTGCTGATTAAACCAGAAGTACCGTGAAGTAGGGACCAGGGCTGTGGTCACCCCCAAAGCCTTGGTGCCCAGAGCAGAACCAGCGTGTGGTGGGGCTCAGACCTTGTGAGAAAATGGATGCAATGTCCAGGGAGGCCTCTGTGTCTTTAGGCAATGGAAATGTCAAGAGGATGTGGACACTAGTTTAACATAGCAGTGCATTTATATTTCAAGCCAAACACACACCATGTGAGTGAAGAGACGCTTAAAACTGAAGTCGGGAGCAGGCCAGGACTGTTCACCACAGCTGCATACCACATGGCAGGAGGGGCCTCTGATGGCCACCTGGCCCTGGAGGACGGGAAGAGATGAGCTGCGAAAGATCTGAAAGAGGGAAGCCAACATGTCATTCACAGCTGACTTCATTGTTGATAGGGAATTCCAAGAGAATTCCTCCTGGAAATGATAAGCAGTAAGAGATGTGTACCTAGGAATGCGACGGTGCCTAATTGATACATACAAATCAATAGTCTTCCTATACATAAGGAAATAATGAACGACCAGAAAACAGCGGAAGACAAAACAGCAGAAATAAGTTTAGAAATGTGTGAAGTGTATACAAAGGAAACTGTCAGGTTCCTCTGGAGCACATCGGAGACTTGAGTAGGAGTAACTTACCGGACTGCACTGGGGGCCTTCTTCCGTAGCATGAACAGCACCCATGAGTGGGGATGGGGCTGGGGCCGCACCAGTCCAGGCAGCATTTCCCCCAGTGGAGGGGGAGCTCTGCAGGTGCCCAGCCTCCCACGCTGTTTCAGTAGCTTGTTAGGAACTCTCCCAGACACGGATAGTGGCCCAGCTGCCCATCCCTGCCGTCACTGGGTCTGAGCGTGGCCTGTCCTTTGTTTAAATCCTACATTTAGCTGGCCGGACTCACACCTGTAATCCCAGAACTTTGGAAGGCCGAGGGGGTTGGATCACGAGGTCAGGAGATTGAGACCATCCTGGCTAGCACGGTGAAATGCCGTCTCTACTAAAAATACAAAAACAAAATTAGCCGGGTGTGGTGCTGGGCGCCTATAGTCCCCAGCTACTTGGGAGGCTCAGGTGGGAGAATGGCGTGAACCTGGGAGGTGGAGCTTGCAGTGAGCCAACATCGTGCCACTGCACTCCAGCCTGGGAGACAGAGTGAGACTCCATCTTAAAAAACAAAACAAAACAAAAACAAAAACACCCTGCATTTAGCATATATCTATATTAAGATTTTACATGTCTTTTTAACTGTGCCAGAATTTTATGAGGGTTGGTATGGCAATTTTTCCTTATTTTTTTTTTTTTTGAGAGACAGGATCTCACTCTGTGACCCAGGCCGGAGTGCAGTAGCACGATCATAGCTCACTGTGACCTTGAACTCCTGGGCTGAAGTGATCCATCCTCCTCAGCCTCTCTAGTAGCTGGGACTACAGGGGTGCACTACCACACCTGGCTGATTTTTGTATTTTTTGTAGAGAAGGGGTCTTGCTATGTTGCCCAGGCTGGTCTCAAACTCCTGGGCTCAATGAATCCTTCCAACTTGGCCTCCCAAAGTGCTGGGATTACAAGCATGAGCTACCGCTTTGGCCCAATTCTTCTTGGTGTTAGTTACAAAGTTGCATAGATTTTGAGTAGTGAGCCCCAAACTCTCCTTTACCCATTAGCCCGATTTTACCTTGGGACTGTGAAGCTTATGAGGAACGCATATTTTGTGTTAAAGTAGAAGATAACAATAACTAAAGCTGTCAATTCTCCCTAAACCAATTTCTACATTTAATGCCATTCCAATAATGATAGCTACAAGGTGTTGATTCAAGTAGAAAACTGGTTCTTAGGTTGGCATGGTGGTGCCAACAGGACAGCCAGGATGTGCTGCAGAGGGAGAGTGATGGCATCTGGTTCTCCCGGGCCCACCACACAGGATGTCACTGTCAGCCTCCTGGTGCTGACATCAAGGTGAGGAAATGTGTGCTCCCTCGAAGAAATGGTGGGAGCCTCCACCTCGTCCTAGGCTTTCTCTCTGGAAGAGACCAGTCCTCAGGATTCACATGTGTCATCTTCTGCTGGTGGTCCATTTCTGCCACGTTTTGTGGTTGGGTTTAATTCAGGAGGGAAGCTATTACGAAGAAACATGGCAACAACTAAGCTTGTATGTCAGCCTCTGCCTGCTGGAATCCCAGGTCTTCTCTCAGTGGAAACTCGTGGAGCCACATGCAGTCCTAACAGTAATTAAAGCAGCCTGGGTGAGACTGGCTTATGAAAAGATCAGTGAAACAGAATGGAATCCAGAAAGACCCAAATACACACAGAAATTTAGATGGTAAGTGGCAACACTTCAGTGAGAAAGAGATGGGTTAGCCCAAAATATCTTCCAGGTGAATCACATGTAGAAATAAAACAGAGTCCCAGAAAAAAATATGGGAGAACAATTTCAGTTACTCATTTCCAATTAGAAACAAAACTGAAATTTTCTCTCACCAGCACAGCATATGAGTTGTCAGAATAGCCAGGTAGCTTCACACAGGAATGTCAGCTTTGCACACGAAGTGTGTTCTAATTTGGTGTACACCGTGAGAAAACGGAAGCTGAGCAAGCAAAACAATGTAGTTATCTTCTGGGCTGGTCACCTTGGAGGTCCTCTGTGAGAAAAAGACCTGGACAGATTTCTGTGGTCGTTTTGTGTCCGGAATTGGTGGGCTCTTGGTCTCACTGACTTCAAGAATGAAGCCGTGGACTCCCGTGGTGAGTGTTACAGTTCTTAAAGGCAGTGTGTCCGGGGTTTGTTCGGATGTGTTCGGAGTTTTTTTCTTCTGGTGGGTTTGTGGTCTCGCTGGCTCAGGAGTGAAGCTGCAGACCTTCACGGTGAGTGTTACAGCTCATAAAAGCAGTGCAGACCCAAACAGTGAGCAGCAGCCAAGATTTATTACAAACAGCAAAAGAACAAAGCTTCCACACCCTGGAAGGGGACCTCAGTGGGCTGCCACTACTGACTCGGGCAGCCTGCTTTTATTCCCTTATCTGGCCCCACCCACATCCTGCTGATTGGTCCATTTTACAGAGAGCTGATTGGTCTGTTTTACAGAAAGCTGATTGGTCCGTTTTGACAGGGTGCTGATTGGTGTGTTTACAATCCCTGAGCTAGACACAAAAGTTCTCCAAGTCCCCACAGAGCACTGATTGGTGCATTTACAAACCTTGAGCTAGACACAGGGTGCTGATTGGTGTGTTTACAAACTTTAAGCTAGACACAGAGTGCTGACTGGTGTATTTACAATCCCTTAGCTAGACATAAAGGTTCTCCAAGTCCCCACTAGACTCAGGAGCCCAGCTGGCTTCACCTAGTGGATCCCACAGTGGGGCGCAGGTGGAACTGCCCGCCAGTCCCGCGCCCTGCGCCCCGCACTCCTCAGCCCTTGGGCGGTTGATGGGATAGGGCGCCACGGAGCAGGGAGCGGCGCTCGTCCGGGAGGCTCGGCTGCGCAGGAGCCCACGGCAGGGGGGAGGCTCGAGCATGGGGGGCTGCAGGTCCCGAGTCCTGCCCTGCGAGGAGGCAGCTAAGGCCCCGTGAGAATTCGAGTGCAGCACCGGCGGGCCAGCACTGCTGGGGGACCCGGTGCACCCTCTGCAGCTGCTGGCCTGGGTGCTAAGCCCCTCACTGCCCGAGGCCGGCCGCTCCGAGTGCAGGGCCGCCAAGCCCACGCCCACCCGGAACGCGTGCTGGCCCACGAGCGCAGCGCACAGCCCCAGTATCGCCCACGCGTCTCCCTCCACACCTCCACACAAGCACAGGGAGCCGGCTCCGGCCTCGGCCAGCCCAGAGAGGGGCTCCAACAGTGCAGCGGCGGGCTGAAGGGCTCCTCAAGCGCAGCCAGAGTGGACGCTGAGGCCGAGGAGGCGCCAAGAGTGAGCGAGGGCTGCCAGCACCCTGTCATCTCTCAGGTTTTAGCTCAGGGCTGCTGTCCAGCACCCGCTCTTGCTTGGATACTTTCGGTGGTGTGGCTGCTGGTTACTGTATTGCACGACAAATGTTTTTCCCTCTTTCTGTTAGTTTAATAGCAATCTTAAGCCACCTAATTGGTTTTAAATGTTTCCAGTTATTTAGACCATGAAGAAGGCCATTGTTTTCTTGGGTGCTAAGGAGGGTGATGTGCCAGTTCCCTTCCAGAGCCTAAGCCTGAGGCTACCCCTAAAACTGATTAAAGATCAGTTACTAAAATATGTTAATCATGCAAAGATGACCAAGAGAATAAAATTAAAAAGGTGTAAACAGTATGTATAGTGTGATCCTTTTCTGTAAGGAAAATTACTCATGTTGGATGCAGGTGCACCAAGAACACTTCAGGGAACATCTGCAGGCAGAGAAAGCAGGGTGCCTTTGGGAAGGCGGATGGCAGGATGTTTATTGTTCACGTTATGTCTATCACGTTTGATTTTTGAATAATATGTATTATTTCTGTGGTCTGAAAAGAGAAGGTGGAGGAGAGAACGAAAGTCAGAGAATATAACCAACCCAACACACCAGAAGCTAGTGAAGCCCTGTGAATGGCTGATCCCAGGTAAGTTCCCATGTGCTAAGCTGGAATCAAAAGTGTGGGGTCTTCATGGGGCCGGGTGCATGCACAATTGAGTGGATCTGCTGCCAGCACGTGTTGTGTTGTGCCTGCACTTGGCGTGGCTGCACAGGGCTTGCATTGGTACCGGGCTAGGGCGGTCGTGGGGAGGGCCTGGGGAAGGCTGACTAGGGCCTCCACCGTGGGACCCAAGTCCCCAGACCTGGTTGCTTTACTGTATAGTCACAAACCAAATGGGGGTGCAGACGTTTTATGTTGGGCAACAATGGGGGAATCAGGTGGGTGTGCCCCGGCATCCTTGCTCCTCAGTGCGCAGGGCCCTCGAGTTAAAAGCAAGCGTCCCCGCGGGTGGGGATGGTCCCCTGGCGGCTCTCGGCTACACCTTCCTGCCCGGCTTCCCTGCGAGGCGGGCGGCAGTGGAACTCATTCCACAAAGGCTGCCTCTCACTGTGGCCGCCGTGTCACCAGCCAGAGCTGTCAGGTACGTCAGTCATGCTGCTTTGTGGTCATGTCACTGGCATAATCCCAAGATTAGGTGGCCACAAAGAGCCATGAATGAGGTGGTAATTGCGTTCAAGGGAAAAAGAATTTAAGAAAAAAAGACTTTACTTTCTCACAAGATTCGTGAAAGAAGTGACAGCTAATATTTTAAAGCTGGAGCAAGATAATTGTGGTGAGAGATCTTTGTGTGTTCTCTGGAAAATGCTGCATGCGCACAATGAATATTCAAATGCCATTTTGCGCTGTGAATACCAGATCGCCGGGCCTGAGGCCGTCTGCATGGGCCGTCGGCGGAGTCGGCCCGGCGGGCCGCGGGAATGAGCGGGCCACACGGAGGGCCTGGGCGCGCTGCTGGGGACGCCGGCTCCGAGCAAGAGGACAGCCGCCCCTCGGGAGTCGCTGGGAAAGGAGTCAGCGCCGGGCAAGCAGCCTGCAGCCTGTGCCAGGGAAACCTAGTCAGCCGTGCTCGGCTGGGGGGCTCGCTCCGCACTTTCGGTGCCAGAAAATGCCCAGAGGAGCGGGGCGGCCCCAGAGCCTCCTTTCGGGGCGCGAGGCCCGGCGCGTGTGTACGGAGTCCAGTCCCCCCAGGGAGTGGGGTGCCCGCACCTTCCCCTCCGCGCTCGGAGCCACAGGGGAGGCCCGGGCAGAAGCGAACCGTCGCCACCCTGGCGGGGCCTCGTGACTGCGGGTGCAGAACTGGGGGTCCCCGCCGGCGCGTGTTTCAGGGGTCCTGAGGCGCGCGTCTGCGGGGTTCCCAGGCAGCACCAAGAGGCGCCGGCCTAGGAGAAATCCGGATCGAGACAACTGCTGTGGCGGCTGGGCCGAGGCTGCGGTCGCGGTGGGAGGCGGCGCTGCTGGCGAGTCCACGCGGGGCGGACGGAGGCGAAAACAGCCCGCTTTCGCGGCGCAGGCAAAAGCAGGAATGGCGACCCCTCTGCGGGGGGACCTCAGGAGGAAACGTCTGGCTTGGGGAGTCCGCGCTCGGCGCGAGCTGTGGGGGCGGCCGGGCGCTCTGGGGGCAGTTCGGTGCTCCGAGCTCAGCCTCGTCTTGCTTTTCAGGGGTTGGAGGCGGAAGGGGGCAACGGAGCGAGCCCACTTCCGATGCACAGAAGCGCAGGTGGGGAGGAGGCCCGGCTGGGGAGGCTGGTCCCCGCCGCAGCCCCGCTGCCCCTATACCTTGGCTCCAGCGCCAGAGCTCCGCCGCTGCGCCCCTGGCTTTTTGCCTCTACCCCCTACCCTCTGCCGTCCCTCTCCTCCTAAAGCCAGTCCTTCCTGTTTCTCCTGGGGGCTTCCCCAGGGTGCTCATATATGTCCCGGCACCCCCGCTCTGGCGTAAAGAAAGGGCACCGCCGCAGGGCGGCCTGAGTTTAAGGGTCTGTCCACCAGACTCATGGTACTTTACCGCTCTGTGCCTCAGTTTCCTCATCTGAAAAGTAGAGCTCATATTAGCCCTGGGGCCTTGTAGGTGGTGAACATCAAATGAACTCATACAAGGGAAGGGGTCGTGTTACCGGTAGAGGGTCCTAACTGCAAGTTGTCCAGGTTGGCGTTTTGAACAAAGAATTGGACAAAACGTGCTGCAAAGCAAGGAAAAAAGGAAGCAACTAAAGCAGGGATTTATTGAAAACGAAAGTAGTCTCCACAGTGTGGGAGCGGCCTGAGCAGGCTCAAGGGCTGCGTTATACAATCTTCTCGGTCCAAATACCCGCTAGAGGTTTCCCATTGGCCACTCATGTGCTCCCTTCATGTAAATAAAGTGGTGGCCCATAATCGGTCTGATTGGTTGCGGAAAGCAGCCAACCAGAGGCTGAAGTGAAGTTACAAAGGTCACACTCCTGCGCAAACATCTGATTGGTTGCAAAAAGCTAACGTTAAGAGGCTAAAGTGAAAGTTACAAAGTTGGACTTCTATGCAAAGGAAGACTGGTGGCAATCAGTCTGATTGGTTGTGGACAGCCAGTTTCCCTTCGGCCCCACAGAAAAGGTGGGGGGTTTGCAAAGAGTAACCTCTGGTCCTTTTGTTACTTAGGCGTGGAAAGTTAAGAGTTTTCCTTTCAATATAGTTCTAGGAAGTCCGCGTGAAACGGCCTTAGGTGATCTGCCTCCATACCCTATTCTCCTGCCTCAGACCCGTGAGTCCTAGAAAGGATGGCCATCGCTGGCCGCCACATCATCGGGGTCTCATGAATCCCTGCTCTTGTACCTCGGGAGGCAAGGCTAGGCTGCCCTGGATTAGGATCTGCTGTTTGGAAGTGCCGTGTTCTGTTTTGGTTGTGCTCCTTTGGTTGTTTGGTGGGAGTTGGCGGGGCAGGGGCAGAAAGTGGCGCCCCTGGAGAGCCGCGGGCCCAAGCACTGGGGTGCAGCCCGGCTGTGAATCCATGCATTGAGCCGCCGTCACCTGCCCTGGTGTGGGTGCCTGTGTGTCTTGCTTTGTGGTCATCCTGGTTGCTCCAGCACACAGGTGTCTAATCTTCAAGGCAGAAAGAAGACGTGGTCACCCCCCAACCCCTAGACTCTGTATGTGTATGCAGTTTTCAGAGTGTTGTCTCAGGCGCTGATTGAGTGGGCAAGGAGAGGTGCTCAGCACGCAGGAACTGCAGCACCAGACAGGAAGTCACCAAAGAGGGAGTCCAGGTCAAAAGGGACTTGGAGACACAGCAGAAGCAACCGCAAAGTCTGAATCCTGACTCGAACAAGCCACCTGGCAAAAGACATTTTGAGACAAGAGAAATTGAAAAACTGACAAGGGGTTAGTTATTAAGGGAGTACTGTTAATTTTGTTGGGCGTGATAATGATAATTTTTTAAAAATTTATTGGCTGAGTGTGGTGGCTCATGCCTGTAATCCCAGCACTTTGGGAGGCTGAGGCGGGAGAATCATGTGAGCCCGGGCGTTTGAGACCAGCCTGGGCAACATAGCATGACCTCAGCTCTACAGAAAATTTTAAAACCTAGCCAGGCATGGTGGTGCTGCCCGTAGTCCCAGCTACTCAGGAGGCTGCAGTGAGCCATGATGGCCATTGCACTCCAGCCTGGGTCACAGTGAGACCCCGTCTCAACAAAATAAATAAATAAATGAATGAATAAATAAAATGTCCTTATGTTGGTGGAATACAAAGAATCAAATACGGATAAAATGATGTGTTGTCTTCTGGGATTTCCTTTAAATACTCTAGCAAAGCAATAGACAAAAGCTGGGAGGGGAACAATACATGAAGCAAAACTGAACAACGCTGGTAATTTTTTAAAAAAATTTTATTTGACATCCTGCAAAGCTTTATTCTTTACAGGAACAGTCAGTGCCCATCACTCCCTGTCAAAAGCCAAATAAGCTGCTCTCTCTAGAGGAGTGGCAGTAGTCCTGTGTGGTCCAGTGAGATCCAGAAGGTTCCAGGAGACCTTCAGTCCTGAGTCCCTTTCAGTCATCATCGTCTGAGTCTTGATTCTTCTGCTGAGTTGGATGAGCTCTCTGGCAGGTCGTCTCCCATCTGCTGGACCCTTCCTGACTGTACATCCCACATGTATTTGATGGTCACCTTAAATTCAGCCATCTCATACCCAGAAAGCATCAGAACACCAGCCTGCTCCGGGGCCAGCAGGTGGCCCTCCTTGCACACCTCATTGTCGGACAGCAGGGTCACCACACCTCTCTCAAAGGTGGTGGGCAGGCCCGGCTGCCTCAGCTGTGGCTTCATGGGGTGGGGAACTGCTCCAGGGGCCCTGGGTCCAGGCTCACGGTGAAAGCTGCTTTGTTACAGCTCAGCTGAAGTCCATTTCCGTGTATTCTGTGAACCACTCATTCACCTCCTCCTTCCAGTGGTTGGTGAACAGGAGATCCGCTTCACCCCTCAACCTTTTGCTGACCTGGTGCAGGTTGTCTTTGCACTCACCCAATGGGCTCCGACCCAAGGCCACCATCATCACCTTGTTTTTGCCAAAGAACATCCGGCTGTGCTTCCAGGCATTCCGGATGTCCTTCAGCTTGCTGTTCCACGTGTTGGCCACAGAGAGATGGAAAGGTACTTATCAGTGTCCACACGTTTCCGAAGCTCTTCTATCAGGTGTTGTTTCAATTCCAGGCCTTTCTTGGCAGTTTTGGTTAGGGACTTCCTTGTCATGCTTGGATTTGGGCATTGTTCTGAAGCCACGTGTGGTGGAAGATGGTGCAGCCCCAATGCTGGTAATTACTGATGGCAGGGGGTGGATGTGTAGGGCTTTATATTATCTCTCCTCTACTTTTGTGTATGTTTACTTTACTATTTATTTTATTTTATTTGAGACAGGGTCGTCTTGCTCTGTCACCCAGGCTGGAGTCCAGTGGCTCAATCTTGGCTCACTGCAACCTCTGCCTCCCAAGCTCAAGTGATCCTCCAACCTCACCCTCTTAAGTCGCTGGGACCACAGGTGCATGCCACCACCCCCGGCTATTTTTTTTCTTTCTTTTTTTTTTTTTTTTTTTTTTTTGTAGAGACAGGGATTTGCCACATTGCCCAGGCTGGTGGTGAACTACTGAGCTTGAACAATACATGCTGGGATTAGAGGGATGAGCCACCACATCCAGCCACTTTTGTGTAAAATGTTGGCTGGGCGCGGTGACTCATGCCTGTAATCCCAGCACTTTGGGAGGCCAAGGTGGGCAGATGACTTGAGGTCAGGAGTTCGAGACCAGCCTGGCCAACATGGCGAAACCCCGACTCTAATAAAAATACAAAAATTAGCCAGGCGTGATAGTGCACACCTGTAATCCCAGCTACTAGGGAGGCTGAGACAGGACAATTGCTTGAACCCAGGGGGCAGAGGTTGCAGTGAGCCGAGATTGCGCCACTGTACTCCAGCCTGGACGACAGAGCGAGACTCCATCTCGATAAATAAAAAATAAATAAATAAATAAATAAATAAAATGTCTGCAATAAAAAATGTTTTAAGTCAAAGAGTAAGATCACAAAAATAATACTCAGATATAACAAGTTTTTCTTCTGTGACTCATGTGAAGGACTCCAGAGGCCAGGATGGTGGTGAGAGCCACTTCCTCCATGTGGCATGTGGGTTGCCCAGTGCTCCAGGCCTGCCCCGCCTCGGGGCCTGGCACCTGCTGCTCCCTTGGCCTGGAATGTTCTCACCCAAGACCCCTGCATCTGACTCTCACCTCCTTCCTTGTGTGTTCCTCGCGTGGCTTTTTCGTGAGGTCTTCCTTAACTTCTCTGAATAAAACTCCCACTTCTCATCCTCCCAATCCCTCTCCCCTCTAGTTTGACACCAAAGTACCTTTCACCCACTGAGGTCCTGTGTGTCACAGAATGAAACTGTAGGGGCAGGGTTTTGTCCTGCTCACCAACGGATATCCTTGGACATTATGTATGTATGTATGTATGTATGTATGTATGTATGTATGTATGTATGTATTTCTGTTTGTTTTTCTTTTTTTTCCTGCTAAACAACCAAACAGGCAAAACCTAGCACAGCGGTTTGTTTTTTTTTTTTTTTTTTTTTTTTTTTTTTCTGAGGCAGAGTCTCACTCTGTCACCCAGGCTGGAGTGCAGTGGCGCGATTTCAGCTCACTGCAAGCTCTGCCTCCCGGATTCACGCCATTCTCCTGCCTCAGCCTCCCGAGCAGCTGGGACTACAGGCACCCGCCACCACGCCTGGCTAATTTTTTGTATTTTTAGTAGAGACGGGGTTCCACTGTGTTAGCCAGGATGGTCTCGATCTCCTGACCTCGTGATCTGCCTGCCTCGGCCTCCCAAAGTGCTGGGATTACAGGCGTGAGCCACCGTGCCTGGCCAACCTAGCACAGTGTTTAACGGTGGGAGGTCCCTGGTGAGTCTCTGCCAGGTCTCGGGTTCCAGGCTTCTGTCAGATGCACCGGCCGCCTAGGTTCCCAGGGCCTTCTATTCTTACAGCAGGTGGCCGCCATGCTTCTGACATTTCCCTGACACACAGGCTGCCTCCAGGGCCATCGCCAAGGACGGTGCAGATTTGCAGGCCTGCGTAAACCCAGCGGACTCCCTAGAGGTTTGGGAAGGAGAGGTCACCATTGTTGGCTCTACTGTGACTGTCCTGACTTGGCCCTCACTGGGTATTAATGCTTCAATTTCACAATGCACTTGGGCAGATGCCCCCTGGTCCTAAGAGAGGCCCCGCTCATCCTAGGCATACTTAATTGGTATTAGAGACGTCCATCTTTTCTGGATGGAGGAAATTGAAGCCTTGAGCCCATGTAATGTTCTCAGTGGAGCAGTTCAACACCAAGACATGCTAGAAACATTGTAGAGGCCTTTACCAACTTAGTCACCCTGCTCAGGGAAAGGGGCTGAGGCTGTCTCTACAGCAGCCACCTCCCTCTGGAAGGAGGAAGGACCCAAGACCCACACCCGCTGTCTACCCAACCAGCCCTAACTCTTCTTGTTGGCTCAAGAGTCCCCTTTCTTCTTCACTGAGCCACAAGACACAGAGCAGTGAGTAGCATCAGAGCAGCCTGTAAGAACCTGGATGCCAGGAACGGAGTGGAACCTGGAAGTTCAGCTTCCAACAGACAAACACAGTCAGAGCTCCCTTTTTAGAGTCCCTCCTGTGTAAACACACAGGGCATACAGGCATGACTTCCAGGAGCTTCACTGCAGCATGGCATGCACAGATAACACAACAGAAGTGACCTCAGTGCTGCTTTTGGAGGACAGATGACACGCATCTTGGTTCATGCAACTCAACACCGCACACATGTAAAATAGAATGAGTAGCTTTGTGTTGTGATATAAAAATGTAAGCTATATTATTGAGTGAAAAGCCAAATTGCCCACCAGTATGCAAAGCAGATTTACTCTTATTAGAAATGGAGGCTGAGCATGGTGGCTCACGCCTGTAATCCTAGCACATCAGGAGGCCAAGGCGGGTGGATTGCTTGAGGCCAGGAGTTTGAGATCAACCTGGGCAACACGGCAAAACTCCATCTCTACAAAAAATACAAAAATTAGCCTGGCCCAGTGGTGCATGCCTGTAGTCCCAGCTACTTGGGAGGCTGGGATAGGAGTATCAATTGAATACAGGATGTGGAGGCTGCAATGAACCAGGATCACACCACTGAACTCCATCCAGTCTGGGTGACAGCAAGATCCTGCCAAAAAAAAAAAAAAAAATCTAGCAGAGGACAGAGGAGTGTATACAGATAAACAAATGCATATTGTGTTTGCATCCCCTATATTAGTTTTCTATTGTTGCATAACAAATGATTACCCAAACACCAGGGGTTTGGTCTAGGTCCTGCTGCTCACAGCACAGAAAGCCAGTCATCAAGACAACCAGTATTGGCAGGGAAGAAAGCTTTAATCGGGTGCTGCAGCTGAAGAGATGGGAATTCAGTCTCAAGTCCGTCTCTCTGACTATCTAAAATTGGGAGTTTATATAGAAGGGAAGAAATGTAACTACATGCAGGAAAACAGTAATTAGGGAAGAATGAGGAAGAGGAGTTGGTCAACAGGCAGCAGGTGGTGCTCAGGCAATCATGAGGGTTGAGGGCCTGGCCACTCATCCTCCAGAGGCTGTGAGCTTGTAAGTTTCAGCTCCTTGATACTACCTGGGAGTCCTGATGGTCGGTTTCCTGAGAAAGGAACTCAGATAAGACAAATGTAACTTTCTCAAGTTTTAAGACTGAGAGGGTCAATTTCTATGTTTATTCAAAAGAAATGATAAACATCAGTTTTATGGGACAATTGGTCAGGTTTCAAAACTACCACAAACTCAGTGGCTGAAAATAATGCCTGCCTTTTTCTCACAGTTCTGTAGGTCAGAAGCCAGCACTGCCTGGCGGATTCTCTGCTCATGGTCTCAGGAGGCTGAAATCGAGGTGTCAGTCAGCTACATTCTCATCTGCAGCTTGGAATCCTCTTCCAAACTCATTCAGTATTTGGCAGCATTCAATTTCTTCTTGGCCATCAGCCAGGAGTCCCTGTCTCCTCCTAGAGGTTTCCCAGCTTCTTCAGCAGATCACAACATAGATGCGTCCTTTCCTGGTTGGTATCTGTGGGGGATTGGTCCTGGGTTCCTGGGACCTGTGCAGATAGCAAAATCAGCAGGTTCTCCTGACCTGCAGTCGGCCCTGCAGAACCCGTGGGTAGGAAGAGGCAGCATCCACTCTCCAGATCTGCGGGTTCTGCATTCCACAAATACTGTATTTTTGGTAAGTAGTTGGTTTAATCCATGCATGTGGAACCGTGGATATGAAGAGCTGACTGGGCTTGCTTTCTTCCAGACCAGCAGAGTGCATCAAACTCCAGGCTTCAAAGGGCTCATCTGAATAGGTCAGACCCACCCTTGATGATCCCTCTTTTGCTATAAAATGTGACATGATCAAAGGAGTGACATCTGATTCTACTTACAGGTCCATCCTCAAAATCTCAAAGGACCCCAAATAGCCAAAGCAATCTTGTAGGGAAAAAAAAAACTGGAGGCCTTACACATTCTGATTTCAAAACATATTGCAAAGCTATAGTGATCAAAACAGTATGATACTGGCATAAAGACAGAATAGAGTCCAGAAATAAACCCTCACATATATTGTCAAATAATCTTTGACAAGGCTACACAGTGAGGAAAGATAATCTCCTCAACAAATGTTGTTGGGGAAACAGGATATCCACATGCAAAAGAATGAATTTGGGCTCTTACCTTATACCATATACAAAAGTTACCTCAAAATGGACAAAATCCTAAATGTAAGATCCCAAACTGTAAAACCCTGAAAGGAAAGGGGAAAAAGCTTTATGGCATTGGAATTGGCGTTGATTTCTTGACTGTCACACCAAAACAGAAAATAGACAAATGGGACTATGTCAAACTTAAAAACTTCTGTGTGACAAAGGAAACAGTCAACATGGTGAAAAGGCAACCCACAGAATGAAAGAACACATTTGCCAGTCATTTATCTGATAACACGTTAATATCCAGAATTTATAAAGAACTCCTACAACTCAACAACAACAAAAAAACAAACATGCTGATTAAAAACTAGATAAAAGACTTTAATAGACATTTCTCCAAATAAGATACACAAATTGCCCACAAACGTATGAAAAGATGTGCAACATCATCATTAATCACCAGGGAAATGCAAATCAAAACCACAGTGGGATATCATCTCATGCCCATTAGGATGATCACTATACAAAATAAAAATAAAAAAAAAAACTAAAAAAAAAAAAAGTTTTGCTGAGGATATGGAGAAATTGGAAACCTGCATTGCTGCTGGGAATAAAAATGGTGAATGTTTTAGTCCATTTTTTGTGGCTATGAAGGAATACCTGAGGTTGAGGTTGGGTAATTTATAAAGAGAAAAGGTTTATTCGATTCACAATTCTGGATGGCTGGAAAGTGCAAAGCTGGGCATCTGCATCTGGTGAGGGCCTCAGGCTGCATCTACTCATAGCAGAAGGTGAAGAGCAGTCAGCATGTGCAGAGATCACATGGTGAGAGAGGAAGCAAGAGGGCAAGGGGGGCGTGGTGCAGGTTCTAGTTAACAACTAGCTCCCACAGGAACTAACAGAGCAAGAACTCATTATCGCAAAAATGACACCAAGCCATTCATGAAGGATCTGCCCCCATCACCCAAACACTTTTCACTAGGACCCACCTCTCAACACTGCCACATTGAGGGTTAAATTTCAACATGATATTTGATAGGAACAAACAAACTATATCCAAACCATAGCAGTGCAGCTGCTATGGCAAACAGTATGGAGATTCCTCAAACAATTAAAAATGGAATTAACATACAATCCTGCAATCTTAATTCTGGGTATATATCCAAAAGAACGGAACACAGACCTTGAAGAGCTAACTGCACACTCACATTCATAGCGGCACTGTTCACAAAAGTCAAGAGGTAGAAGCCGCCTAAATGTCCACCAATGGATGGTTGGATGGATGGATAAACAAAACGTGGTGCATAGGTACAACAGAATATTATTCCACCTTCAAAAAGAGGAAAATCCGGTCATGGACGAACCTTGAGGACAGTTCACTAAGTGAAATAAGCTAGTCACAAAAAGAAAAATGCTACAGGATTCCTTTTATATGAGGTATTGAAAGTAGTCAAACTTTTAAAAACAAAGTAAAGTAATGGTTGCCAGGGTCTGGGAAAAGGGAGAAAGGAGAGTTTTTCTTCAGTGGGTCTAGAGTTTTAGTTTTACCAGATGAAAATTTCTAAAACTCTGATGCACACAAGGTACTTACAGTGAGCACTACTGAACTGTGTGCCTAGAAATGGTTAAGACGGTAAAATTTATATGTTTTTGTCCACAATTTTTAAAAAAGAAGTTTTATGATGACATAGACCATTACTATATCTCCAGGGTCTAACACAAGTCTGGCACATAATAGGTGTGAACTAAATACTTGCTAAATGAAGGAATTCATAACTATAAAGCCTATGGTCTTAATTATTGTGGAGTATACTCTTTCTAAAATAGTAATAATCATCCCATATTATATATATATCTATATATAAATTGTTATTTCTAGGATGAGGGAGGGAACAGGGTATTGGAAACAACAGATGGAAGTTAGACTAATCGGAATGTACCTTCCTTTGTTGTTGATTTAGATTCCTTTGTTTTAGATTTGATTTTAGAACCATGTAAACATTTTCCATAATAATTATAAATCAATATTATATAAAAAATTTAAAAACAATCCACAAAAATAAAGACAAAAGAAATGAAACTAACATTTAGCATTTTTCTTTTTGTGACTGGCTTGTTTCACTTAGTGTACTATCCTCAAGTTTCAAGGATTGTATGTTAATTCCATTTTTAATTGTTTGAGGAATCTCCATACTGTTTTCCATAGCAGCTGCACTGCTATGGTTTGGATATGGTTTGTTTGTTCCCGTCAAATATGTTGAAATTTAACCCTCAATGTGGCAGTGTTGAGAGGCGGGGCCTAGTGAAAAGTGTTTGGGTGATGGGGGCAGATCCGTCACGAATGGCTTGGTGTCATTTTTGCAATAATGAGTTCTTGCTCTATTAGTTCCTGTGGGAGCTGGTTGTTAACTAGAGCCTGGCGCCACCCCCCTTTGCCTTCTTGCTTCCTCTCTCTCCGTGTGATCTCTGCACATGCTGGCTGTTCTTCACTTTCTGCTTATGATATTCTTCCCCCTGCTAAGTTTGTTTTTAGTTTGCTTTTGTTTTTCTAATTTCTTGAAGTGTAAAGTTAGGTTGTTGATTTGAGATCTTTGTTATTTCTTAATGTACATGTTCTGTGCTATAAACTTCTTCCTTAGTACTGCTTTTGTTACTCTCATAACTTTTGTTATGTTGTGTTTTTATTGTCATTTTTCTCAAGATATTTTGTAATTTCCTTTGTGTTTCTTCTTTGACCCATTGGTTGTTCAGAGTGTGTTGTTTAATTTCCACATATTTGGGAATTTTCTCCTTGTCCTACTACTATTGGTTTCTAGTTTCATGCCATTGTGGTTTAGAAAGATGCTTTGTATGACTTCGATCTTCTTAAATTTGTTAAGAATTTCTTTTGTGGCATAACCTGTGATCTGTGTACATCTGTGTACATTTGAGAAGAATGTGTATTCTGCTGTTGTTGGGTGGAGTGTTTTATATGCGTCTGTTAGGCTTAGTTGGTCTACGGTGTTATTAAAGTTCTTTCTTTCTTTTTCACTTAATATAATGACCTCCGGTTCTATCCATGTTGCTGCAAATGACAATATTTTATTCTTTTTATATTATAAAAATACAATATAAATACTATATAAAATATAATAAACTATATAACGCATTTTCTTTATTAATTCATTTAGTGATGAGCCTTTAGGTTGATTCCATATTTTGGCTATTGTGACTAATGCTGCAATTAACATGAGAGTGCAGATATCTTTTCAATATCTTATTTTCTTTCTTTTGGACATATACCCAGTAGTGGAATTGCTGGAGCATATAGTAGTTCTATTTGTAGTTTTGGAGGAACCTCTATACCATTCTCAATAGTGGCTATACTAATTTACTTTCCCACCAATAGTGTACAAAGGTTGCCCTTTCTCCACATACCAACATCTGTTATTGCCTGTCTGTTTGATAAAAGCCATTTTAACTGGGGTGAGATCTGTAGTTTTGATTTGCATTTCTCTGATAATTCGTGACGTAGAGCATTTTTTCATATACCCGTTTGCCATTCATATGTCTTCTTTTGAGAAATGTCTATTCAGATCTTTTGTCCATGTTCTATTGTAAACTTTTATTTTAGGTTCAGCAGTACATGCACAGGTTTGTTATATGCATAAACTCATGTCATGGGGGTTTGTTGTACAGATTATTTAATGACCCCAGTACTAAGCCTACTATCCAATAGCTGCTTATTTTACTCCTCTCTCTTCTCCCACCATCCACCTTCAGGTAGACCCCAGTGTCTGTCGTTCCCCTCTTTGTGTCCAAGTGTTCTCATCACTTAGCTCCCACTTATAAGTGAGAACATACGGTATTTGGTTTTCTGTTCCTGCATTAGTTTGCTAAGGATAATGTCCTCCAGCTCCATTCATGGTCCTGCAAAGAACATGATCTCATTCCTTGTTATGGCTACATAGTATTCCATGGTGTATATATACCACATTTTCTTTATCTAGTCTAGCATTGATGGGCATTTAAGTTGATTCCATGTCTTAGCTACTTTGAATAGTGCTGCAGTGAACATACCCATGCACGTGACTTTATGACAGAACAATTTGTATTCTTTTGGGTATACACCCAGTAGTGAGATTGCTGGGTTGAATGGTAGTTCTGTTTTCAGCTCTTTGAGACATCACCATACTGCTTTCCACAATGGTTGCCCTGATTTACACTCCCACCAACAGTGTATAAGCATTCCCTTTTTCCACATCCTCACCAGCATCTGTAATTTTTTGGCTTTTTAATAATAGCCATTCTGACTGGTGTAAGATGGTATCTCATTGTGGTTTTGATTTGCATTTCTCTAATGATCAATGATATTGAACTTTTTTCATATACTTGTCGGCTGCATGTATGTCTTCTTTTGAAAAGTGTCTGTTCATGTACTTTGCCCACTTTTTAATGTTTTTTTTTCTTGTAAATTTGTTTAAGCTATTTGTAGATGCTGGATATTAGACCCTTGTCAGATGCATAGATCGCAAATATTTTGTCCTATTCTATAGGTTGTCTATTTACTCTGAAGTCAGGTAGTGTGATGCCTCCTGCTTTGCTCTTTTTGATCAGGATTGCTTTGGAGATTCAGGGCCTTTTTTGGTTCCATATACATTTTGGAATTTTTTTTCTATTTCTGTGAAGAATATCACTGATAGGGTTCACACTGAATCTGTAAATGGCTTTGGATAGTATTGGCATTTTAGTAATGTTCTTCCAATTCATGAACATGGAATATTTTTCAATTTTTTGAGTCCTCTTCAATCTCTCATCAGTTTTTTAATAGTTTTCCATGTATAGATCTTTTACTTCTTTGGTTAAATTGATTTCTAGGTATTTTATATTCTTTGTAGCTATTGTAAATGAGATTTCTTTCTTTTTTTAATGTATAAAGGAAAGAGGTTTAATTGTTTAATTATCACAGTTCAACATGGCTGAGAAGGCCTCACAAAACTTACAATGATGGGGGAAAGCAAAGGGGAAGCAAGGCACCTTCTTTACCAGGTGGCAGGAAGTAGAAAGAGTGAGGGGCAAAGTGGGAGAGCCCTTTATAAAGCCATCAGATCTCGTGAGAACTCACTCACTATCATGAGAACAGCATGGGGGAAGTGCCCCCATGATCCAATCACCTCCCAGCTGGTCTCTCCATAGACAGGTGGGGATTATGGGGATTCCAATTAAAGATGAGATTTGGGTGGAGACACAGACAAACCATATCAGCCACTTATGTTATTTCTAATAACCCACTGCTCCCATTTCTTTTTTCTTTTTTTTTTTTCCACTTTCTAAAACTGTTAGTCTGGTTTTAGGTCCATCTATTTATATTCTGTGGCTTTCATCTTTTCTCTCACTTTCTGTCACCCACATCTTCCAACACTATTAATTACTTTTGAATTTTCGATATTTTTAATTTAAAAAAGCCCTATCGTTTTGATACTGTTTTATGTTTTGTGAATGTAATTGTTTTATGAATGTAATTCCTCAAGGAAATCTTTCAAACTAGTTTTTCCATTTACTACATAGCACTGACTTATATTTTAAAGATTCTGAAAAGCATAATTTTTTAATGTTTACATAGTGCTCCATCAAAACATCAATGTACGAAGAATTTGAGCAGGATGAGGCATCATCGGATGGTTTTGTTTCTTCCCCCCCACTTCCCCACCTCCACCAGGTCTATTTTTTATGGTTAGCCTAGAAGTAGCAAGGATAAACTGAAGCAGATTAGAGATGGAGTCTGTAATCTAGGTGGGAAATAATGAAAGTCTTCTCTAAGGTAATAGTGGTGAGGTAAAAGCAAAAGGGTAGCTGACAGATGTTAGGAGGTGAAATGGCGTAGGACGTGGTGAGTAACTGGTTAGGAAAAGAGGGAAGAGAGTAGTCCAGGTTATCCTCAGAGTCATGCTTTGGACAACAGGGAGAATAGGGATTTCTCCAAGTCAAGTCCTATTATAAATATATTCATTTTTATATTTCACTTTGAGTCTCAATTTAGCAAGATAACTTCCTTTTCATCAGCAAAACACCTGTTTACTGCTTACTAACAATATTAAGGGTGCAAATATTTACTAAATATATTTTTCTCATTTTAGATAGATGCCTATCATTTTATTTCTAAAAAGGTTTAATTCTATTTAGAGTCATTAAAATACTTACACTTAAATACTCAAACATAATACATTAGATGTATTAAGCATATAGATGCTCCTCGAATGAAGAATATTGTCTGATTTGGTTTCATACACAATGAAGATAATTTAAAATATAAAAAATTGGGCTTAAAAATGCAGCCAACCACCTGTTTTATTAAATTTTACCAGGTATCTACTTCTAAAAAGTCCTTATCAGTGCCATTTCTTTAAACCCAACATTTAGTAACTTAACAGATGTATTTTTAAAATTAGAAATTTTACTTTCAATGTACTGATTTTATACTTAATTAGTAGCTTTAAAATTTTTTAGAATATGTGAAGACCTGCATGAAACCATTCTCGACATTTTTCAAGGATTGTTTGCTAACTGGCTTGTTTTTACATACAGTTTTAAACATGTCTACCATTGGTGGTAAACAAGAATGATCACTTGAAACTATGAAACCTACCAAAGTGCCAGTGTATTAACACTGCTTTTTCTTTCTTTTATAAGAATCATTACTATTAACTCGTACTTGTTGGTGCGCAGAGGATGCCATTTTCATGCTCTCTTTCTTTATAAAGGCCTTCTCTATAGCTCCAGGTTTCCGAAGTATAACTGTGCATCTTCTCCTCCAGTCAACAAAGAATCATCCTGCACATTCCAACAGAAAGAACGAACTGTACAGCATGCCCTCCCTGAAGGCTAGTCACATGGGCCAATCCTAATGTTCATCAACTGAATCCTTCCTTTGTTATCCAAAGGAAGGATAACAAGCAATGTTTCCATCTTTTCATGATATAGGCCACCAATCAAATAGTCTAAAATATCTTCTTTCACATTAACCATTTCTCCGACATCCTGGATGTTCTAACATGTAATTGGTTCATCAGCATCCAGATGATTAAGATCCCACCAGTAAAATCTTTCATGTGTCATGCAGTAAATCTGTTTGTAACCTATCCCAGACCAACTGATACAGCTGACTGATGAAATTGAGTTACAGGTTGTAACCAGTGCGCCCTCTTCATTATCAACATTAATATCAAATACATTTACCAGGCCATCAAGTGAACCTGAGATTATCATGTTGGGATTGCTGGGATGGAAACGTACTTGAGTGACATCATTGCTATGTGTCTCTGAATATGCACCAATCGGGTCTTTAGTTGAAGATAAATCCTGAGAATTCATCCTTGCATCCCAAAACACCAACCATGCATCATCATCAACTTTTCTGTACCAGCACAAATAATATGATCATTACAGTTAATATCAAAATGGATAAAAATATTGGAAGGGTAATCTTTGAAGAGCTGGACATTAAGAAGTCCGGAATATCCACTAAATTCTCAGAGTACATTTAATCTTTCTCTATCATATATTCTGATTGATCCATTAGAATATAAAACAGCAACCAAGTTTTCTTTTCCTGCTTGCACAGTCTTCGATATATCTATGCCAAGAAGGTAAGTGTACTCTCTGGTTCCTGAGGAACATTTAACAATGTGCAGATTAGTAAACTGTTCCTCAGTCTTTTCCATATCAACAGTAGCATCCAAGGGTAGTAAAACTCCAGCAATCCCACTTTTAGGTATTTACTCAAGAGAAATAACAACTTATGTCCACACAAACATTTGTACATGTGTTCATCACAACTTTATTTATAACAGCCAAATACCTCAGCAGGTGGCCCCCAATGAGTACTGGAGAAAATGCAGGCTCCCAGATTTCTTTCTTGATTTCTTTTTCAGATTGTTTACTTTTGGCATATGTAACTGCTACTGATTTTCGTATGTTGATTTTGTATCCTGCAACTTTACTGAATTTGTTTATCAGTTCTAACAGTTTTTTGGTGGAGTCTTTAGATTTTTCTAAGTGTGAGATCATGTCATCTGTGAAAAATGCTAATTTGACTTATTTCTTTCCAATTTTGATGTCCTTTATTTCCCTTGCCTAATTGCTCTGGCCAGGACTTACAGTATTATGTTGAATAAAGATGGTGTAAGTAGCCAGGTGCAGAGGCTCACTCCTGTAATCCCAGCACCCTGGGAGGCCGAGGTGGACAGATTGCTTGAGGCCAGGAGTTCAAGACCAGCCTGGGCAACATGGTGAAACCCCATCTCTACTAAAAATATAAAAATTAGTCAGATACAGTGATGCATGCCTGTAATCCCAGCTACTTGGGAGGCTGAGGCATGAGAATCACTTGAACCCAGGAGGTGGAGGTTGCAGTGAGCTAAGATCATACCACTACACTCCAGCCTGGGTGACAGACCGAGACTCTGCTTCAAAAAAAGAAAGAGTTGAAAGTAGGTGTTTTTTGACTTGTTCCATATGTTAGAGGAAGGGCCTTCAATTTTTCCCTATTCAGTACCATATAAACTGTGGAATTGTTATATATAGCCTATATTATTTTGAGGTGTGTTCCTTTTATACTCAGTTTGATGATGGGTTTTATCATAAAGGGTTGCTGGGTTTTATTGAATGCTTTTTCTGGATGTGTTGAGATGATCATATAGTTTTTATTCTTGGTTCTGTTAATGTGATGTATCATATTTATTGATTTGTATATGTTAAACCATCCTTGCATCTCTGGGATAGATCCCATTTGACTATGGTGAATAATCATTTTAATGTGTTGTTAAATTCAGTTTGCTAGTATTTTGTTGAAGATTTTTTTTGCCTCTATGTTCAATCAGTGATACTGACCTACCATTTTCTTTTTTTGTTGTGTCTTTGTCTGGTTTTGGTATCAGGGTAATAATGCTGGCTTCATAGAACAAGTTTGGAAGTATTCCCTGTACTTCAATTTTTTTTTAGGGGTTTGAGTAGAATTGGTTCTAGTTCTTTGTAAAACGTCTGGTAGAATTCAACAGTGAAGGCATTACATCCTGGGCTTTCTTTCTTTCTTTCTTTTTTTGAGACAGAGTCTTGCTGTGTCACCCAGGCTGGAGTGCAGTGGCGCGATCTCGGCTCACTGCAAACTCCGCCTCCTGCGTTCACGCCATTGTCTTGCCTCAGCCTCCTGAGTAGCTGGGACTACAGGTGCCCACCACCACGCCCAGCTAATTTTTTTTTTTTTTTTGTATTTTTTTTCAGTAGAGACGGGGTTTCACTGTGTTAGCCAGGATGGTCTTGATCTCCTGACCTCATGATCCATGCACCTTGGCCTCCCAAAGTGCTGGGATTACAGGCGTAAGCCACCACACCCGGCCACTTTCTTTCTTTTTTTAACAGAAACCTTTTTATTATGGCTTCAATTTTGTTACTCATTATTGGTTTGTTGAAGTTTTCTATTTCTTCATGGTTCAATCTTGATGGGGTGAATGTGTCCAGGAATGTATACATTTCTTCTATGCTTTCCAATTTGTTGGCATATAGTTATTCACAATAGTCTCCAATGATTCTTTGTATTTCTGTGGCCTAGTTGTTATGTTTCCTTTTTTGTTTCTAATTTTATCTATTTGGGTCTTCTTTCATTTTCTCTTAGTCTAGCTAAAGGTTTGTCAATTTTGTTTATCTTTTCAAAAAAACCAACTTTTCATTTTGTTGATTTCTGTATTTTTTTAAGTCTCAATTTTATTTATTTTTGCTCTGATCTTTATTATTTCTTTTCTTCTACTAATTTTGGGTTTGGTTTGTTCTTGCTTTTCTAATTCCTTGAGGTGTATTTTAGGTTATTTATTTGAAGTCCCTTTCTACATTTTTGATATAGCCATTTATTGCTATAAACTTCCCTGTTACTACTGCTTCTGCCACATCCCATAGATTTTGGTATGTAGTATTTCCATTTTCATTTGTTTCAAGAAATTTTTAAATTTCCTTTTAAATTTCTTCATTAACCCATTGATCATTCAGGAGCACACTGTTTAATTTCCATGTGCTTGTGAAGTTTCTGAGGTTCCTCTTATTATTGATATCTAATGTTAGTCCATCATGGTCAGAAACACATACTTGATATGATTTCTGCATTTTTGAATTTGTTTAGACTTGTTTTGTGGCCTAAGATATGGTTTATTTTGGAGATTATTCCCATGTGCTGATGAAAAGAATGTGTATTCTGCAATAATTGGGTGAAATGTTCTGTAAATGTCAGTTAGGCTTAGTAAGTCTTGGGTATAGTTTAACTTTTTTTTTTTTTTTTGGCTTTCTGTCTGGATGATCTGTCCATTAACGAGTAGGGTATTAAAGTCCCCTACTATTATATTTCAGTCTATCTCTCCATTTAGATCTGTCAATGTTTGCTTTATATACTTGGGTGCTCTGGTATTGGGTGCATACGTATTTGTAATTGTTATATTCTCTTGCTGAATTTACTCTGTCATTAAATAGTGACCTTCTTTGTATCTTTTTACAGGCTTTGATTTGTAGTCTGAGATAAATATAACTACACCTGCTCTTTTTTAGTTTCCAGTCCCATGAAATATCTTTTTCTACCCCCTCACCGTCAATCTATGTGTCTTTATAGGTGAAGGTGGTTTCTTGTAGGCAGCATATATTTGGGTCTTGTTTCTTTATTCATTCAGCCATTTTATGCCTTTTATCTAAGAGGACTGAGTCCATTTATGTTCAGTGTGATTCATCATAAGTGAGGACTTACTACTGTCATTTTGTTCCTTGTTTTCTGGTTGTCTTGTACATCCTTTCTCCTTTTCTTCCTTTCTTACTGCCTTCTTTTGTTGTTAACTTATTTTGTCTTGTAGCATGTTTTAATTTGTTCCTTCTTATTTTTAGGAAATCTATACAGGTTGTGGATTATGGCTACCATGAAGCTTACAAAAAGCATCTTATAAGTTATTTTAAAGAGATGACAACTTATCTTAGATCACAAAGAAAAAAACAAAATAATTCTGCACTTTAACTCCACACCCCCACATTTCAACTTTTATTTGTCTCAATTTACATATTTTTACATTACCTATTTCTTAACAGGCTGCTATAACTATTATTGTTTTTGATATATTTGTCTTTTGGACTTCATGCTAGAGCTATGAGTGGATTGCACAGAACAATTCAAATATTAGGGTATACTGGGTTTGTCTGAGCTGAATACTTAATTTTACCTGTAGGCTTTATACCTTCAAATGTTTTTCATTTTTTATTTTTTCCTTTTAGCATTTTAGTATTTTTTTTTTCAGATTAAAGATCTATCTTTAGCATTTCTTGTAAGACAGGTGTCATGGTGAACTCTCAGTTTTGTTTGTCTGAAAAAGACTATCTCTTCTTCATATTTGAAGGATAACTTTGCTGGGTACAGTATTGTTGAATGGCAGGGGTTTTTTTTCTTTCATCACTTTGAAAATGTGGTCTCACTCTCTGTTGGCTTGTATGGTTTCCATTGAGAAGTCTGTTGTTGGACAAATTGTAGCTCCTTTATGTGTGATTTGCTTCTTTTCTCTTGCTGATTTTAGGACCTTCTCTTTGTTCTTGACCTTTCAGAGTTTGTCTTATTTGGGTCGAATCTGGTGATCTCTTACCTTCTTGTACCTGGTTATTTATATCTTTCTCAGGTTTTGGAAAGTTTTCTATTTTTCTTTTTGAATATGCTTTCTACCCCCCCTTACTCTTGTTCAACTCCCTCTTGAACACCAATAATTCTTAAGTTTGTTTTTTTGAAGTAATTTTCTATATCTTATAGGTAATCTTTGTTCCTTTTCACTCTTTTTTTCTCTTTTCTCCTCATACTATGTATTTTCAAATAGGCTGTCTTCAACCTCATCGATTCTTTCCTGTGCTTCATCCATTCTGCTGTTGAGAGCCTCTAATAACTTTTTCAGTTCAGCACATGTATTTCTCAGTTCTAAGAGTTATGTGTGATCTTTTTAATTATTTCAATCTTTTTATTAAATTTCTCAATTGCTTTTCTGTGTTATCATGAAGATCATTGAGTTTCCTTAAAACCGCAGTTTTGGGCTGAGCATGATGGCTCACACCTATAATCCCAGTGCTTTGAGGAGCTGAGATAGGAGACCTACTTGAGGCCAGGAGTTTGAGACCAGGCTGGCCAACATAGTGAGACCCCATTTTTACAAAAAACATAATTAAAAAAGAAATCAGCCAGGTATGGTGGCATATACCTGTAGTCCTAGCTACTTGAGAGGATTGTTTGAGTCCAAGAGTTTGAGGTTGCAGTGAACTAAGATCATGACACTGCATCCAAGCCTAGGCTTTGTCTCTAAAAACAAACAAACAAAAAACCCCTGCAGTTTTGGATTCTTAGAGAGCTCACATATTGCCATCTTATTAGGATCAGTCACTGGTTCCTTGCTTTTTCTATTTGGGGAGGTCATGGTTCCCTGTTCACAGTTGTTTCTTGTGGATGTAGTCTACATCTTTGCATTGAGGGATTAGTTATTTAAGTCTTCTTTGTCTGGCTTGTATTGGGTATGTTTCTGTAGAGCTTCTTTACCACTAGGTTGCCTGGCTCCTTTACAGCTGTAGGTGGTGCCTTAAATCCAGGTTCACCAAGCTGTAATAAATGATATGAATGCTGCCCTTCTTGAATGGGGGAGGCCCCAAAGAGGATATTCCAGCAGTATCGGAAGGCTGGCAAAGGGTTTATGCCCAGGAGACCTGTGAAATCAATCTTTTACATGTGGTGCTGCTGAACAGCCTCTCTGATTTGGTGTCTTCTTTAGCCAAGTTACAGAGCAGAGTTTCCAGGGCTGAGGATGGTTGTCCTGCCTGCCCATTTTGTCTCTGCCTGTCCCCAAGGATATTTCTCCCTTCTGGCACTCATAATGCTTTCCATGGGCTAAGGCAGGGTCAAATGTGCCAGAGAATCCAAGATGGTGGGGGACCTGGTTGTCCACCTTGATCGCAGTTTTTCCAGTGTAGAAACTGTGAGTTGGGGGAAAATATTTCCACGTGCTTGGTGATAGGCCGAATGAGGGGACGGGCATCACAGATGTGGAAGTCCAGTTCTCTTTCTGTCTGCTCAGAGTATCTTTATTTATCTGTGGCCCTGGGAACTATCTCATCTTCATTTTTGAGTTCTGAGATATTGCTGATGAGACTCTCAGTGCTGTATAGATATATTTTTCAGTTTTCTGGGGCAGGGGGTTGAGGGGAGTGAAACCAGCTTGCTTCTACACTGCCATTTTGAAACAGGAAGTTCTTGCCTTCAAGTCTGAAGACAATTTTACTGGCTGTAGTATTCTTGGTTGGCAGTTTTTTTCTTTTAGCACTCTAAATAGATCATTCTACTACTTTCTGGCCTATAATGTTTCTCCTTAGAAATTACTGATAGTCTCAAGGAAGCTCCCTTGTATATGACAAATCACTTTTTCTTGATGCTTTCAAAATTGTCTTTGTTTTTGACTTCTGACCTGTTTGGACCTGTTTATGTTCATCCAAGTTGGAGTCCTGTGAACTTCTTGAATTTGAATATCTGTTTCCTTCCTCAGATTTGGAAAGTTTTCAGCCATTGTTTTTCCAAATAAGCTCTCTGCCCCTTTCTCTCTCTTATCTCTGCCTGGGACTTTCATATGACATGTATTGGTTGGCTTGGTGGTGTTGTATCATTCCCTTAGGCTTTCTTTACTTTTCATCGTTCTTTTTCCTTTCATTTCTCTACTTTAATAATTTCAAAAAACCTGTCTTCAAGTTTGCTTATTCTTTTGTTGTTTGTTTGCTTGATCAAGTCTGCTGTTGAATCCCTGTAGTGAACTTTTCTTTTTCTTTCTTTCTTTCTTTTTTTTTTTTGGAGACAGTGTCTGGCTCTATCACTCAGGATGGACTGCAGTGGCATGATCTCAGCTCATTGCAGCCTCCACCTCCTGGGCTCAAACAATCCTCCCACCTCAGCTTCCCAAGTAGCTGGGACTCCAGGCACATGTCACCATGCCCAGCTAATTTTTGTATGTTTTTGGTAGAGATGGGGCTTCACCATGTTGCCCAGGCTGGTCTTGAACTCCTGACCTCAAGTGATCTGCCTGCTTTGGCCTCCCAAAGTGCTGGGATTATATGTTTGAGGCACTGTGCCCAGCCCCTGTAGTGAATTTTTCAATTCACTTATTGGATTCATCAGCTCCAGAATTTATGTTTAGTTCTCTCTCTCTCTTTTTTTTTTTTTTTTTTTTTTTTTTGCTGTTTTTATCTCTTTGTCGATAACCTCATTTTGTTCATGCATTGTTTTCCTGATTTAATTTAGTTGTTAATCTGTGTTCTCTTGTTGTACATTGAGTTTCTTTAAGAGAAATATTTGAAATTATTTTTGAGGTAATTCATAGACCTCTATTCATTTAGAGTCAGTTTCTGGAGATTTATTTTGTTCCTTTGATTCAACCATGTTTTCTTGCTTCTCCATGGGTCTTACTATTTTATGCCGTGATTTGTGCATTTGGAAAACCAGCCACCTATGGCAGTCTTTTAGGACTAACTTGATAAAGGGAAAACTTTCACCAATCATCTGGGTTGGAGATTCCAGAAGCCTCTCAAACCTTTGGGATGTGTTCTCTCTGGGCGTGTGCATGTCATTTCCCAGTTAGAGGGGTTTTCTGGTTTCTTTTTCTGGAGCTTGTAATCTCTTACTCCCTCTGGTGTCTGTACGAAGTATTGCAGGTTCTTTGGAGCTGCAAGAAGCCACTGAGCTCTTTTGTTCTCTGTGGCTCCCAGGATATCCAAAGTATATCAGCTCCATCAGTGATCCAATTCAAGTGAGACAAAAACCGTTGCCTCAGGCAGCCCCTGAAAATTAGACTGTTGGACACATGCTCCAGTCTTCTCTTTTTCCCTTGACGGAGAAGCTGTGAACGGGGTGCTTTCTGCTGATTGTGCTGCTTTGAGGAATGGCTTTTGGGGTTGAAATAAAATGGCTTTTGTTACCTTTTTCAAAGTGGCTGTTCTGGCTTTGAGTTTGCCTGGGGTGCTGCCACTTCTTAAATGGTTTCTGGAGTTCTCATGCAGACTTTTTGGACCATATATTGTTAAGTCAGTGTCTTGGGAGGAATGACACTTGAGGCGTCTTATTCCACCATGTTGGTGATGCCACTTCCTTGTGGTGACTTATATGACAGCAATAGAAAACAAATATGAGCGTCACAGGGAAGCAGTGAATAAAATTCACATGGTGAAGAGCTAGAGGACCACTGCTTCTAAGGAGTCATGTCCTTCGCAGGCCTGAGCCTCATCCCCTTCCTTCACTGTGAACAGAGAAATCGGCCAATTGCCAAACATACACTGAGTGTCTCTCTTGCATAAAGTGCTGCTGACCAGTGTTCTAGGGGTCCCAGTCTATGCGTTCTGGCGGTGGCACTCTTGTTGGGGATGCAAAGGGTCCCCAGTTGTTGCAGTCACTGGGTGAGAGGTGTCCCAATGTGGGGATGAAGGAAGGGCCTGTGGCCTGATGCAGGCAGGGGAGGCACCATCGGAGGGCAGGGCTTGAGCCAGCTGCTGGGGGACTCCAACAGTGCAGGAATGGGAGGAATATTCCAGGGCGGGATGCGAGAATAGGAAGTGATGTGTGTGTGTGGCAGGGGTGGTAAAATATACACCTCATACATTTACCATTCTAACCATTTGTTTTTTTGTCTTTTTTTGAGACGGAGTCTCGCTCTGTTGCCCAGGCTGGAGTGCAGTGGCAACATCTCGGCTCACTGCAAACTCCGCCTCCCGGGTTCATGCCATTCTCCTGCCTCAGCCTCCCGAGTAGCTGGGACTACAGGCGCCTGCCACCGCGCCTGGCTAATTTTTGTATTTTTAGTAGAGACGGGGTTTCACCATGTTAGCCAGGATGGTCTCGATCTCCTGACCTCGTGATCTGCCCGTCTCGGCCTCCCAAAGTGCTGGGATTATAGGTGTGAGCCACTGCGCCCAGCCCATTCTAACCATTTTTAAGTGTCCAGTTCAGTGGTGTGAAGTGAGATGTGTTTTTGAGTAGGAAGTGGTTTATTTTGGCAAGGGTAATCCAGGGTTGGCTCTTTCAATGGCTAAAGGACTAAAATCCTCTCAGAGAAAAAAGTAAAAGGGCTGCTTACCAGGCAGTAAATCCTTAAACAAGTGTGCATTGCTTACAGTATTGGCTAAGGAGATGATAATTTGACTTGAATAATCTTGCAAAGTGAGATGAGATCCCCACTTCCCAGATAAGGAAGCTGAAGGTCTGATTAAGTGACCTGCTCCAGTTGCACAGGAGGTGGGGGCATATCCAGTACCAGAGCCCAGGTCTCTACATCCTTCCTCTAGGCCTCTTTTCTCTCCCCCTTGATGGCTGGCCTGCCCCCTAGACCGACTGTTTCTTGGTCTGTGTACAAAAGTACCTTCCGAGGAGAATGCAGGGTGCCAGAGGTTAGCGGCAGGGAACAGCAGTGTTTGGACTCCAAGCTACGGGAGCCACGCATTCTGTCCTCAGGGTATCACCACCCCATTCTAGACACCAATGAGGACAGGGCTTAGCATGTCGAGACGAGGGGTTTGAATTTCATGTTTGTGTGCGTTCCGTTTGTTGGGAGGCACTGTCCCTTCAGTGTTGTCATTCATAGTGACACCCTCTGCATGGTGCTGGTTGCCAGAGGCAACCTGGAGCCCTGGAGTCAGCATGTCACCGTTGGCACATGGTGCATGGGGAATCACAGAGAGAGTGAGCTGCCTGCTGGCTCAAATACCCTGAGTCATAAAAAGGTCTCAAGAATAGATCTTGGGTGTCCGGGGGATGCGTGGCTGTTCTGTAAGAGCTGAGATGACCTCGAAGCCTTGTGAGCACGGGCTCCTTGGGACCCCTTTGTGGAACCATGCAGCGGGACGTGAAGTCAGCCTTTCCTTGGAGCCTGACCCTCTCAGCTCCAAGCAGCCTCCCCATGGCAGTGTACTCAGGTCTGTCTGTCCAGTCATAGTGGGAACCCTGGCTTTGAAGGGGGTGCAGAGTCCACGTGGCCCAGATCTCTCCCTAGGGAAATAATCCCCTCCCTGCCTCCCACGGGGGTCTTGGCCTTTGGCCAAATAGTCCCAGGAGTGAGAGACCCACTTTTGGAAGGCAAGCATTTTTTATGTTGGGTGATAGCTATTATCTATCATCACCATCCTCTTCTCCGCCTCCACCTCTTCCTCCCACCCCCCAGACAGCCAGCACCACCCCGTGCCTTGCAGCGCTGAAGGCTCTGCCTAAATCACACATCCCAGGAGGTGGAGGCAGTGGGGAGGGCTGAGGGTGGGACCTGGGTCCCCCACCTGTCGGGCTTTGTGCCCTGGCATCACTGCTATTTAAGCAGCTTTCTCCCACACGCAGACCCCATGCACCTGCCTGGAACCGAGGTCATCAGTTCCAGCTTGGTCCCCACAGCCACCAGGAATTGCAGGTGTTAAGAGAAGCCCAGAGAGAGTTAGGATTTCGTCCCAGCTTTGCCACTAACTGGTTGTAGGATCTCAGGCAAGTCACAGTACTTCTTAACAACTTCTTTTTTCCGGTTGCAAAATGACAGACTTAGACCAGATTTGATTTGTTTGTTTTTTAGCACAGTTGTGAGCATTTTCCATAGGTTGTGCTCTTTGCTGGATACCAAAATAAGAAGACAATCGAGGCAGGGGACTGAGCCACACACCATGGTTATAAGTTGGATGGGGTAAAAGCACAGCCACGGAGGCCGTGGGGTCACAAAGCCCCTTCCACAGCAGCAGCCTGGTGAGGGAGTTGGAAATGTCTGTGCCAAGGAAGGGGCACACCGGGTGGGAGGTGGGCACTACAAGCCCTGAGGCCTAAAAGTGTGTGAAGCCCCATGCCTTGTGGGAACGGAAGCGTCAGAGTCCAGCAGGAGAGAGGAAAGGCCGGGAGGCCACGTCAAGCTGGCTCTGTTGCCCAGACTGGAGTGCAGCAGTGTGATCACAGCTCACTGCAGCCTGGAACTCCTGGGCCCAAGCGATCCTCCTGCCTCAGCCTCCCGAGTATGAGAAAGGGTTTTTCTGAGGCAAGTGGCTGATCCGATTTGCCCCGTGGGGAAGCCGGCACTCTGGGAGTCCCAGCACAAACGGCAGACAGAGGGTCTGCAGGAGAGGAGCCCAATTCAAAGGAGCAGAAAATTGGATCGCCCAGATGTGTCCGGTGGGGAACACTGAAGGGCAAGGAGCCCCCTCAGGGTGTGGCCCATGTGCAACGACAGAGAATGCCAGGAAGGGTTCCTCCAGCCTTACCTCTTTGAAGACATTTGCTGAGCCCGCCCCACGCCTCCCCTCCCAGGGCTAAACATTGCCCCTGTCCCCGCTGTTTCCCATGCACATGTGGGCCCTCAGCCTGCTCTGGGCAGAGGGAGGGCCTTAGGGGCGTGGACACCCGTCCGAAGTTCCACCTTTGGTCCTCCATGAGGCAATTATCACGCCTGATCACACACAAGTTTTTCTCAAATATAACGCTATAAAAATCCAAACAATTTGGTCACACAATTTGTCCAATTATATCCTGATAAAAAAAGGACAGATTCTTATTGAATCTTTGCAATTAATGCCAATTAAAGCAAAGAACCTCAAGAAAAATACTTACAAATCCTAAGAGATGAGTAAGATATTAAAGAATGTTTTGTTTCAGCTTGCAAAAGCATAGTCTATTAAGCTAAAGGTTAAAGACAGATCCAGAAGAAGGAGAAAGGCTTCATCATATACTGATCACAAAGAAAACACAAAAAATAACAGTGGCGAAGCTCAGATTTCCTTCATGCATCCACTCAATCCCACTTCCAAAGGCTCTCAAACCCGGCCTATTATCACTTCTTGAATATCACACTAAATACTACAAGACCACTTCTGTCATTTTAACAGAGACAAGACCCAATTCTAGTCTGGCATTAATGTAATATTTGGCAGCAAACGATTCATATGCTTTTATTTTTTCTTACGAACAAACCCATTAAGTATGAACAAATTTTGCCCAAATTGTAACACATTTCATTGTTTTTTTTTTTCAGACTCATTATTTGCAGATATTTGGAATCAAGGAAAATAAGGTTTACTTTCTTTAAAACTTCCATAATTTTCTATTTTCATTCAAGTTGTATCTTTCACTACTCTCTTTCCCATTCTGGAGCAAACAAACACTTCAGACAAAACGAATCTCTTTATCCTTGGTGAACAAAAGCACATCCCATTGAATGCACGATCATATTTCTTTGCCACTATTGCTCCTAGTGTAGTCTCAGTCACTAATGTTAGTTATAAATGTTAACCCAAGCCAATAACTTCCATTTGCAGGTAGAGCTGGGAGGTGGGGATAGAGACCCATCTGTTGTCACACAAGCCATTTTAGCAGACAGCGTCTCCCCGAAGGTGGGGGCCTCTGGAAGCAATTGCTGAGATGGAGCTAGGGGTGCAGACGGTTTTTAAGGCACAAAACTTGGGCAAAGGGAGAAGTCAAGGCACAATTCAGCCCAGAGAAAGCCTTGGCCGGCCCAGCGGGGGACACCCAGGCCAGAGCTGACAGTGAGAGGTCCTGGCTGGCTGGCTGGTGGGGCTCGGTCGCAGGTGTGGCCCAGGCCATGTGGGTCTCAGGTGAGGCGGCTCCGTGCTGCTGATGAGGGCGCCGGCAGCAAGTCCTTCCTCAAAGGGGCACCTGGCCCGGCACCTCCGTGTCCACCACAGCCAGAGAAGTTCACAAACACATAGAAGAAGACCCCTTGCAACACGTACAGCAAAGTGGCAAAGCTGAACATCTGTTAACACGGCCCAAAGGTGTAGCTACACTACAGCATATAAAAATAAGAAGAAATGAGTATTTAGAGATTGTTAATTCAGTCAACATAAATCCAAGGTCTTAAGGTTATTAAGGACTTTGGAAATTATGTGTGAAATAACATACCACAGAACATAATTACTATTGGTATAACAAAGTTTGTTAGAATTTTAATTCAATTTAGTTGAACACATTTTATTTACACTTCTCTAAATCTAAAAATTTATATGGAGGTACTATTAGTTTATTTGAACAGAAACATCAATATAGGAAGTTTAGAAAGATCAAGTTATCTGGACTATGCAAGACAAAACAAGTTTACATCTGGTCAAATAAAATGGCCGATAGGAGGCAGGAGTAAATTGCAGCTCCCACCCGGACAGACAGCGCAGCGTGTGGAGACTCACACCGGTGAACTTTTGCTCCAAGAACTACCGCAGGAACCTACCAGGAAAGCGAGAGAATCCACAGACCCTTTGAAAGAAGTGGATTGCTCCTGCAGGCCCCAGGAGACAGCCCCCAAACTGTGGGTACCCAAAGTGTGAAAGGGGGATCATCCACCCCTGAACACACACCCTCACTGGGGAGACTGAAGGTCCAGATTACAGGAGAAGGAATCGACCTTACCTGGAACTGAGATAATTTAGAGAGCCGTGCAAAATACAGGGGTTGAGGAAGCCGTAGGTAGAGCCCTGTGGGCTCCCTCGGTCCCCAGGGAAGCCATTTCTGACTTCATCTTCCAGAGGTCCTTAGGGAGGGCTGCCAGAGGAACTGGGGAAAGACCAAAGGAGAAGGAAACTTCCAGCTGAACTTTGTAACAATTTTAACCAAACGCGAAGTTTCCCGGACAGAACTCGGGCGACGGGTGAATCGGAGCGCAGACACAGCACAGAAGCCGCGGCAGGCGGGGAAGCTTGAAACCTGAAAGCCCTGCTTGCTTTCTCAGCTGGGAGGCTGGTAGCCTGGGGCAGGTTCTCAGTCCTGTTCATCAGCTGCCTGGAAACAAACTCGGTGCTGTCCTGTGGGGGATGGGGGCGCCACAGTGGGAGTGAGACTGGCCTTTTGGGCTGTGTAGGAGCTGAGTGAGGCCTGTAACTGCCAGCTTCCCCTCACTTCCCTGGTGACCTGTGTGACACAGCGGAGGCATCCATAATCCTCATGGGAACAGAAGGCCATGGTCCTGAGAACCATCCCCCATCCCTCACAGCAGCCGCAGCAAACCCCGCCTAAGGAGAGTCTGAGTTCAGACACACCTAATCCTGCCCCCACCTGATGGTCTTTCTCTATCTGCCCTGGTAGCTGAAGACAAAGGACATAATGTCTTGGGAGCTCTAGGGCCCTGCCCGCCACCTGATCCTCCCTATACTACCACAGCAGATGGGCTCTTGAAAAATGCCACCTCCTGGCAGGAGGCCAACCAGCACAAAACTAGTGCAGTAAACAGACTACAACTAAGGATCCTCACAGAGTCCATTTCACTCCCCTGCCACCTCCACCACAGCAGGTGCTGCTATCCATGGTTGAGAGACCTGAAGATGGTTCACATCATAGGACTCTGTGCAGACACCCCCAGTACCAGCCTAGAGCCCGGTAGCTCCACTGGGAGGCTAGATCCAGAAGAGAAATAACAACCACTGCAATTCAGCTCTCAGAAAGCCACATCCCTAGGGGAAGGTGGAGAGCACTACATCAAGGGAGAACCCTATGGGACAAAAGAATCTGAATAGCAGCCCTTGAGCCCCAGATCTTCCCTCTTACATACTCTACCCAAATGAGAAGGAGCCAGAAAAACAATTCTGGTAATATGACAAAACAAGGTTCTTTAACACCCTCAAAAGATCACACTAGCTCATCAGCAATGGATCCAAACCAAGAAGAAATCCCTGAATTGCCAGAAAAAGAATTCAGAAGATCCATTATTAAGCTATCCAGGAGGCACCAGAGAAAGGTGAAGTCCAATTTAATGAAATAAAGAAAAGATACAAGATATGAAGGAAAAAATCTTCAGTGAAATAGAAAGCATAAATAAAAATCAATCACAACTTCTGGAAATAAAGGACGCACTTAGAGAAATACAAAATGCACTGGAAAGTCTCAGCAATAGAATCGAACAAGCAGAAGAAAGAACTTCTGAGCTCAAAGACAAGGTTTTTGAATTAACCCAATCCAACAAAGACAAAGGAAAAAGAATTATAAAAAATGAACAAAGCCTCAAGGAAGTTTTGGCTTATGTTAAACAACAATTATACCTAAGAATAATTGGTGTTCCCAAGAAAGAAGAGAAATCTAAAAGTTTGGAAAACATATTTGAGGGAATAAACAAGAAAAACTTTCCCAGCTTTGCTAGAGATCTAGACATCCAAATACAAGAAGCCCAGATAACACCTGGGAAATTTACCGCAAACAAATCATTGCCTGGGCACATTGTCATCAGGTTATCTAAAGTCAAGATGAAGGAAAGAATCTTAAGGACTGTGAGGCAGAAGCACCAGGTAACCTAAAAAGGAAAACTTACCAGATTAACAGCAGATTTGTCAGCAGAAACACTACAAGCTAGAAGGCATTGGGGCCCTATCTTTAGCCTCCTTAAACAAAAGAATTATCACCCAAGAATGTTGTATTCAGTGAAACTAAGCTTCATAAATGAAAGAAAGATACAGTCTTTCTCAGACAAACAAATGCTGAGAGAATTTGCCACTACCAAGCCAGCACTACAAGAACTGCTAAAAGGAGCTCTAAATCTTAAATCCTCAAAATACACCAAAATAACACCTCCTTAAAGCATAAATCTCACAGGACCTATAAAACAAAAACACAGTAAAAAACCAAAACAAAACAAGGTATTCAGGCAACTAATAGCACGATGAATGGAATAATACCTCACATCTCAATATTAACATTGAATGTAAATGGCCTAAATGCTCCACTTAAAAGATACAGAATGGCAGAATGGATAAGAATTCTCCAACCAGTTATCTGCTGTCCTCAAGAGACTCACCTAACACATAAGGACTCACAAAAATTTAAGGTAAAGGGATGGAAAAAGATATTCCATGCAAATGGACACCAAAAGTGAGCAGGAGTAGCTATTCTCGTATCAGACAAAACAAACTCTAAAGCAACAGCTGTTAAAAAAGACAAAGAGGGACATTATATAATGATAAAAGGACTTGTCCAGCAGGAAAATATCACAATCCTAAATATATATGCACCTAACACTGGAGTTCCCAAATTTATAAAACAATTACTACTAGACCTAAGAAATGAGATTGACAGCAACACAATAATAGTGGGGGACTTCAACATCCACTGACAGCACTAGACAGATCATCAAGACAGAAAGTCATTTATATCCTAAAACAAATGGACTTAACAGATATTTACAGAACATTCTACCCAACAACTGCAGAATATACATTCTATTCATGAGCACATGGAAAATTCTCCAAGATAGACCATGATAAGCCACAAAACAAGTCTCAATAAATTTAAGAAAATTGAAATCATATCAAGTACTCTCTTAGACCACAGTGGAATAAAATTGGAAGTCAATTCCAAAATGAATCCTCAGAACCATGCAAATACATGGAAATTAAATAACCTGCTCCCGAATGATCACTGGGTCAACAATAAAATCAAGATGGAAATTAAAAAATTATTTGAACTGAACGATAATAGTGACACCACCTATCAAAACCTCTGGGACTCACGCCTGTAATCCCAGCACTTAGGGAGGCCGAGGCAGGTGGATCACGAGGTCAGTAGTTTAAGACCAGCCTGGCCAAAATGGTGAAACCCTGTCTCTACTAAAAATACAAAAAAATTAGCTGGGCATGGTGGTGGGCACCTGTAATCCCAGTTACTGGGGAGGCTGAGGCAGATAATTGCTTGAACCTGGGAGGCAGAGGTTGCAGTGAGTCGAGATCTCACCACTGATCTCCAGCCTGGGCGACAGAGCAGACTCTGTCTCAAACAAACAAACAAACAAACAAACAAAAACACCAACCAAACAAAAAAACCTCTGGGATATGGCAAAGGCAGAATAAGAGGAAAGTTCATAGCCTTAAAAAATGCCAACATCAGAAAGTCTGAAAGAGCACAGACAATCGAAGGTCACACCTCAAGGAAGTAGAGAAACAAGAACAAACCAAACCCAAACCCAGCACAAGAAAAGGAATAACACAGATCAGAGCAGAACTACATGAAATTGAAACACAAAAACAACACAAAAGATAAATGAAACAAAAAGCTGAAAAGTTCTTTGGAAAATAAAATTGATAGACTAAATTAGTGAGATTAACCAAGAAAAGAAAAGATCCAAATAAGCTCAATTAGAAACTAAATGGGAGATATTACAACCAATACCACAGAAATGCAAAAGATTATTCAAGGCTACTATGAACACCTTTATGTGCATAAACTAGAAAACCTAGAGGACATAGATACATTTCTGGAAATATACATCCCTCCTAGATTAAACCAGGAAGAAATAGGAACTCTGAACAAACCAAGAACAAGCAGCTAGATTGAAATGGTAATGAAAAAATTGTCAACAACAAAGAAAAGCCCTGGATCAGACGGATTCACAACTGAATTCTATCAGACATTCAAAGAAAAATTGATACCAATCCTATTGACACTATTCCAAAATACAAAGAAAGAGGGAATCCTCCCTACATCATTCTATGAAGCCAGTAATACCCTAATGCCAACACCAGGAAAGGACATAACAAAAAAATAAAACTACAGGCCAATATCCCTGATGAATATAGATGCAAAAATCCTTAACAAAATACTAGCTAACTGAATCCAACAGCATGTAAAAAAGATACTCCACTATGATCAAGTGGGTTCACACCAGGGATGCAGGGATGGTTTAGGTTTAACACATGCAAGTAAATAAATGTGATACACCACATAAACAGAATAAAAACAAAAATCACATGAGCATCTCAATAGATGCAGAAAAAGCACTGGACAAAACCCAGCATCCCTTTATGATTAAATCCCTCAGCAAAATAGGCATAGAAGAGACATACCTGAATGTAATAAAAGCCATCAATGACAAACCCACAGCCAACATAATACTAAATGGGGAAAAGTTGAAAGCATCTCCCCCGAGAATAGAACAAGACAAGGATGCCCACCCTCACTACTTCTATTCAACATAGTGCTGGAAGTCCTAGCCAGAGCAGTCAGACAAGAGAAAGAAATAAAGGCATCCAAATTGGTAAAGAAGAAGTCAAACTGTCACTGTTTGCTGATGATATGATCATATACCTAGAAAACCCTAAAGACTCCCCCCAAAAGCTCCTAGAACTGATGGAATTCAGCAAAGTTTCAGAATACAAAATTAATGCACCCAAGTCAGTAGCTCTGCTATACACCAACAGCAACCAAGCTGAGCATTAAATCAACAATTCAATCCCTTTTACAATAGCTGCAAAAAATAAAAATAAAAAATAAAATACTTAGGAATATACCTAACTAAGGAGGTGAAAGACTTCTAGAAGGAAAACTACAAAACACTGCTGAAAGAAATCATAGATGACACAAACAAATGGAAACACATCCCATGCTCATAGATGGGTGGAACCAATATTGTGAAAATGATCATACTGCCAAAAGCAATCTACAAATTCAATGCAGTTTCCATCAAAATACTACCATCATTCTTCACAGAACTAGAAAAAGCAATCCTAAAATTCATATGGAACCAAAAAAGAGCTTGCATAGCCAAAGCAAGACTAAGCAAAAAGAACAAATCTGGAGGTATCACATTATCTGCTTCAAACTATCCTACAAGGCCATAGTCACCAAAATAGCATGGTACTGGTATAAAAATAGGCAAATAGACCAATGGAACAGAATAGAGAACCCAGAAATAAACCCAAATACCTGCAGCCAACTGATCTTTGACAAAGAAAACAAAAACATGGAGTGGGGAAAGAACACCCTATTTAACAAATCGTGCTAGGATAATTGGCAAGCCACATGTGGAAGAATGAACCTGGATCCTCACCTTTTGCATTATACAAAAATCAACTCAAGATGGATCAAGATTTAAATCTAAGACCTGAAACCATAAAAATTATAGATGATAACCTTGGAAAAACCCTTCTAGACATTAGCTTAGGCAAAGACTTCATGACCAAGAACCCAAAAGCAAATGCAACAAAAACAAAGACAAATAGATGGGACTTAATTAAACTAAAAAGCTTCTGCATAGCAAAAGAAACAATCAGCAGAGTAAACAGACAACCCACAGAGTGGGAGAAAATCTTCACAATCTATGCATCTGACAAAGGACTAATATCCAGAATCTACAAGGAGCTCAAACAAGTTAGCAAGAAAAGTATCAACAGTCCCATCAAAAAGTGAGCTAAGGACATGAATAGACAATTCTCAAAAGAAGATACACAAATGGCCAACAAACATATGAAAACATGCTCAGCATCACTAATTATCAGGGAAATGCAAATCAAAACTACAATGCTACTTTGGGGGGCCAAGGCGGGAGGATCACTTGAGGTCAGTAGTTCAAAACCAGCCTGGCCAACGTCGTGAAACCCTGTCTTCACTAAAAATACAAAAATTAGCTGGGCATGGTGGTGGGCGCCTGTAATGCCAGCTACTCGGGAGGCTGAGGCACGAAAAATGCTTAAACCTGGGAAGTGGAGGCTGCAGTGAGCTGAGATCGTGCCACGGCACTCCAGCCAGGGTGTCGGATTGAGACTCTGTCTCAAACAAACAAACAAAAAGAACACAACCAGAATGCGATACTGCCTTACTCCTGCAAGAATGGCCATAATACAAAAGAAATAATAAAAAAAAAGATGTTGGTGGGGATGCGGTGAAAAGGGAACACTTTTACATGGTTGGTGGGAATGTAGACTAGTACAGCCACTGTGGAAAACAGTGTGGAGATTCCTTAAAGAACTGAAACCATCTGATCCAGCAATCCCACTACTGGGTATCTACCCAGAGGAACGGAAGTCATTATAAGAAAAAGATACTTGCACACACATGTTTATAGCAGCACAATTTGCAATTGCAAAAATATGGTACCAGCCCAGATGCCCATCAATCAACGAGTGGATAAAGACATTGTGTTATATATACACCACGGAATACTACTTAGCCATAAAAATTAATGAAATAATGGCATCTGCAGCAACCTGGATGGAACTGGAGAGCATTATTCTAAGTGAAGTAACTCAGGAATGGAAAAACCCAACACCGTATGTTCTTATAGGTGGGAACTAAGCTATGAGGAAACAAAGGCATTAGAAGGATACAATGGACACGGGAGAATCGGGATGGGGGGGAGGGGGTGAGGGATAAAAGACTATAAATCGGGTGCCATGTACACTGCTTGGGTGATGGTGCACCAAATCTCAGAAATCACCACTAAAGAACTTACTCATGTAACCAAAACCACCTGTTTCCCAAAAACCTAGGGAAATACAAAATAAAAATACAAATAAATTTATAAAACAAATAAATATTACTAATAATGATACTTGGATATTTTATTTAGGAAGCTAATGGGATTTATTTATTTATTTATTTATTTTGAGACAGGGTTTCTCTCGTTGCTTAGGCTGGAGTGCGGTGGTGCAATCTCAGCTCACTGCAACCTCCGCCTCCTGGGTTATAGCAATTCTCCTGCCTCAGACTCCCGAGTAGCTGGGATTGCAGGTATACACCACCACGCCCAGCTAATTTTCATATTTTTTTGTAGAGATGGGGTTTCACCACGTTGGCCAGGCTGGTCTCGAACTCCTGACCTCAAGCAATCCACCAGCCTCAACCTCCCAAAGTGCTGGGATTATAGGCACGAGCCACAGTGCCTGGCTGCTAATAGGGATTTGAAAACCGGAAATATACATGTTTAAATGTCTTGGTAAATATATCTAGATCATAATGGTATGTGTGAAATTGTGTATAGCTTTGAAAATAAAACAAAAAAAGACAGAGAAAAGAACTGGGGAATTTAAACCTAAAAACACAAACAAATTTACATCTTATCAAAAATAAAATGTATGCCTGCATTATATGCAGCATAGAAAAAAATGAAGGAAAAGGCGTATTTGCTGTCTTTAAATCAAATTTATCAAACTGGTCTGATTTGTTTCATCACTTTGATTATATGAACTTAGTTTCTTATAGAAAAAAATGCTATGAGGGATAGTAATTTTGAGGAGAAATATTTTTTCTTGGAAAGCTAACACATTTAAAATATTAGAAGGCCAGGTATGGTGGCTCATACCTGTAATCCCAGCTCTTTAGGAGACTGAGGTGGGAGCATCACTTGAGGCCAGGAGCTCAAGACCAGACTGGGCAACATAGCAAGATCCCATGTCTAAAAAAAAATAAAAATAAAAAATAAAATATTAGAAGTTCAGTTTCTATATTTTCTGGGGATTTTGAGGATATTAAATTCATATAAGCACTTATCAGCCATTCAGGACAAAGTTCCTTTATTGTAAGAAACTTTGTAATCTAATTTATTAATACATTGTTGATATAAGAAAAGATTTCAGACACGAGGAGAGGTAAAGGCTTTTCTCGGTTGGAGGCTCACAGACCCACTGAGTGCATGTAGCTTCTGCCATGCATCCTCAGCCACAGGCCACAGCCAACCCAGAAGCACCACTCATGGGTCCAGATCCTAAAACCTGTTCTCTTTTCCAGGGGGCGCAGCACATCCTTCTGATGGAGTTGAGCTCACAGGAGGGCAGGAAGGAAAGAATAAGCCAGATTTTCTGTCCTCTCTTAGTGGAGAATGGACCCCTCCTGCCCCAATAGGGACACATCCTGCCAGGGCAGACCTGCAAACCTGGCTGTCAGTCATTGCTGAGAGGACTTGCACATTGGATAGGGCCAAACCAGAACCAGAACCGAAGCAGGCCCCAAACCAGGAAGGAACACAGCAACACATGGTCAGGAATAAAGCAGCATGGGGAGTCAGTGCGGGAAAGGGCTTGTGCCATGTGGGGCCCGCCGTGGGCCGAGACTGAGTGTGTCTGCAGCAGGTTCAGCAGCCTCGAGGCTCGTTGGCAGGTGGAGTTCTGTGGCTTTGCTGGGTGAGTTGCAGAGGCATCTTGGCGGGACCCCCAAAACCTTCAAACGAATTTGCAAAAAGATGAAAACATAACTTTCTACAAATATAGAGTGAACACGTGTCCTAGATTTAGTGAGCTCGTTAGCGAAGAGCCAGAAGGAGGCTGCAGCTCGTGCCCATGTTCCTCGTCTGAAATATCTTTCTGGTGGGCTGAGCTGCATTTGAGAGTTTACACAAGAAGTCACACTGACCATTCCTACAAGGTGGCAGAACATTCCAGAACTCCTTGACCACGTTCTCCACATGGGCCTGTGACAATGAAACAGCGAAAGAACAGACACAACTAGCTCCATTTTTGTTGAAGGGGCCTCTACCCACTCCTGCACGTAGGCTAGGATAATTTTAGAGCACTGAGATAAAACACAAAAACAGTAATCATGTAGTTTTTGAAACTAACTCTGGGATTAAAAGGGAAGTATGTAAACAGCTAACTATGTTTTGTTAAGGATTTATAGAAACAGGGAGGTTTAGCTACTGTCACATGAGAGACCATTACTCATGGACAAAGAAGTTTTACAAACTTCCCCCAGACCCTTGTTGGCGCCCAGACAATTGCGGTTGTCAGCCCCCTCCTTTCCCTCTCACAGAGAAGACGAGGCAAAGCCCGCATGATTCTGAGATGGATCTCTGGGACGTTAGTTTCCACGTCTTCTCAGTTTGCTGACTCTCTGAGATAAAGTCGCCTTCCTTGCCCCAGCTCTGTGTCTCTTGACTTATTGGCTGCCGTGCGGCCGGCAGAGCAAGTTTGGACTCAGTCACGGCCTCTCCGTGCACCTGACCTCAGTTAGAAGTGAAAGGGTTCCACCGTCCCTCATGGCTGCCCCTGTAGGAACAGCACGTGGAGGAACCAGGTGGCTTTGGATCCTGCTCTCTGAAGCCCGCGTGGATTCTGAGGGTCCATTTGGAAGAGGATGCAAAGACTGCGTTGTCCGTGGTATTTCCCATTTTCAGGGATATGAGGCCATCATCCAACAGAAGCACATACAGTCAGCCTCTGTCAGTGGAAAAGAGCCACAGTGAAGCGTGAAGCCTGCCCTGCTTTTTCACAGACAAATGTTAAGAACCCAATAAAGATCCTCTAAGTCTAAGTATTTGTAAGATGGGAAGTGCTCTCAAAACCTAAGGCTGAGGTCCATGGAGCTGGGAGAGAGGGGGCAGGTAGACCCAAGCAACTGGAAAATGGGAAAACGTCACTGTACTAACATAAAAATCCAGCATGTGGATACATAGAGAAAAATAAATTTATTTATACATGAAGTAATTTTATCCTTAGAGGCTTTAGCTGAGGCGTTCCTCCTGCTGTAGGGAGAAGGGGACTTGTTTCAGATGAACAGTGTCACTCTCTAAGGGCCACCTGGGCCTCAGCCTCAGCCGGTGTCCATGGGCACTTTGAGCCCTGGAGAGGTGGCCTCTCAGCCACCCACACTCCCACAGGCAGCAGTCACAAACTTGGGACAAAAAAATAAAAAACAACTGTGTGCAGCGCCAGAGAGAGCCCTGAGGAGGCTGACCCTGGACGGAGCCCACGCCTGGAGGAAGGGGCGGCAGAGGCCAGCCGCCTGCTTTCTGTTGCTTTTCCCTAGAGGGTGGCCTCAGTCCAAGCCAAGCAGAGGGAGCAAGAATCTGGACATCTGGACAAAAAGCCACAGCTTATTGCCTCGAAGAGCCAAAGAACAGAATTTGGGCAGCTCAAAAATCCAGGAAAAGGAGAAAGCCAGAGAAGGGGAGTCCTACCTTCCGTGGTCACCTAAATCTCCTGGCACTAATAATCAGCACAGCCCTTATACTGGTTACCATTTTAATCCTAGGCTTGACTTATGTAGGAGGCCCCAGCCGGGCTGAAAGCAAAGTTGAGCAAAATTGGTCGGTCAGCCTCCCTACTGCCATGCCTCACGAGTTTTAAAAATCACATTGTGAGCCTGAGTCAATCCTTCAAGACAGATCCTGAGTGGCTAACTGGTCCTAAATTCAAAATAGATCCATGGAGCCATTTGCTGGAAAACCCACATGCTTGTGTAACTTTGGGACTTTCATAGCTCTCTGCTCCTGTTCACGCCACCTGAATCAACAGCTGCCAGGAAATCCCATGTCACCTCCTGGACCTTAACCCACAGACAGTACCTATGTTGACTAATCATGACTAAACAAGCATTGGCCAATCAAAACTAAGCAAGTGTGCATCCCTCATTTGCATAAGCAGACCAGAGTGGGAACCTGGGTGGAAACCGTCTCTACAAGACAATGCTTCTCTTTGTTTTCTTGGAGCACACCGATGTTTTGTACCAAAGGCTGTGTTTCTCCAGTTTGCGAACTGCTCACTAGAATGAAGTCTTTCTTTTTTTAAAGAAAATCCTTTTTTGTAAACTTTTTGACAATATCAACATGGCCTAGCAGCATATCATGATGTGGTGATGTTATTTATTCTGAAATTAACTATGCTGGGAGAAACTGGTTATTTGCAGAAATTGAGTATATATACACATAGTGAAATGGTTACTATAGTCAAACAAATTAACATATCCGTCACCTTACGTAGTTACCCATTTTTTGTATGGCAAGAACACCTAAAATCTACTCTTTCAGCAAAAATTCCCAATATGGTGTGGTCTTATTTCTCCAGCTAATGCTGCTCATTAGCTCTCTGGACTGGCCTCCTCCTTATCTGCTTTGTCTCCCTTGGTGTACATCTCCCATTTCCTCCCCGGCCCTGGGAACCACCCTGTTATTCTCTAACTCTGTGCATTCGACTGTGAGGAAACAGAGGCCACAGGAGTCTGAGTGACCTGCTGGGGTTGCTGGGTGAAGATGCTAGGATTTGGACTAAGGCCCTGACAGGGCTCCTAGGCCCCAGGAGATGGCATTTTGTCCTAAGCACAGATGTTGAAAGACAGTTTCTACATCTATATTAGATGTGTAAACTATATTTCATCAAAATACAAGGGCTCCGAGAAAATTAGTCAATGGTTTGGGCTTTAGCAGGCATGTTTGGGTGGCACGCATCTCTATGCTAAGGTGGGAGCATGTCTCTGCTCGGTGTTGGTGGTGTGACCCACGAAGGCACAATCCTCACTCCGGCGAACACGGAGCCTATTGTGTGTGTGACGCCTGAACACTGCGAGTGGATTTAAAGGTGTAATTGTGAAACTGAAAGTGTTACTATAGTTCAGCGATACATGAGGCAGGACTTGGAAAACAAATGACCAGCCTGAGAAACCATTTCAGGATTCCACGAGGAGCATGAGGAAGGGGCCAGCGACTGCTAGGCTGTGTGAGGTGGGCACAGGCATGCTTCACAGATTCTCACCTACGGGCAGTGCCTGGGACATGCGTTTCTCTATGCTGTGAGCTCAGCAGCAGTCTCCACACTAGGGAATGGATCACTTAGCAAAATGTATAGATTTTTTTTCGACTAGGCCATATTTATAGTGGCTTTAAAAAATCATGTACACGTCTTATACCTTTAATTAATGTAAAGGCGTCACATACATATTTAATACATGTGTTTAGTATTTACTGTGTGGTTATATTTTCTCAACAGCAGACATCCATATGTTGCTATTTCTAGCAGATCTGCGGGGCTCGCGTCTTCATTGCTGCATAGGTTGTCTGTCATGCATGCAGCTTTCACCTTTTGTGTTGACGGACAAACTCAATCTGTACCACCATTAAAGAGCAGGCCATTTTGTTTTTGTGGTTGCATGTTCTCATGTAGTTCTAAATTTCTTGTAAAGAATATGATGTTTAAAATGTTATTATTATTATATTTTGACAGTCTAGCTCTGTCGCCTAGGCTGGAGTGCAGTGGCACAATCTCTGTTCACTGCAGCCTCCACCTCCCAGGCTCAAGCAATCCTCCCACCTCAGCCTCTAGAATAGGTAGGACCACAGGCATGCCACTCCATGCCTGGCTAATTCTTTTATATTTTGTAGAGACGGGGTCTCCCTATATTGCCCAGGCTGGTCTCAAACTCCTGGGCTCAAGTGATTGAGCCTTCCAAAGTGCTGGGATTATAGGCATGAGCCACTGCACCCAGATGATATGTTCAATTTTATCATATTTTAAAAAGTTTCTTCCTAAATGAATTTAATTTGAAGTGGGACAAAGAGAATTGAGTCTACATGAGCTATTTTCTATGTTCTCCTTTGTTTAGAGTTTCATAATTATCTCCCTGATGGAATACATAAATAATACTGACATTATTATCACATTGTAATTCTTCAGCTTTCATTGTTAATTGCATTTGTCAGTGCCTTCAGTATATGAGACTATTGATCAAGCCATATAGGACATATAAATATGACTAAAGCTTCCAATGGTTTGTGAATGTTATGGGCAGAAGTTTGTTTCCAGGTTGAGATTATCTGTTGTCTGTCCCGGCAACCATAGGGTTGATTGAACAGAAAGAACTTAGCCTGAGGCCTGTTCCAGGGGCTCAGGGTGGGTGGCCCACGGTGAGAGGGCTACGGAGAGCCTGCGTGCCCTGCCCGGCACCTCGCACCCTCTGGGGTCCCAGCAGGCCCTCACCCCCTCAGAGGCACATCTTCCATTCGGTTCTCTTATCAGGCCTATTTCCAAAAAATGTTCTGAGACACTTTACAGTATTAAGACATATAGGAAAAAGGGCTCTCAGACAAAAATAGTCCAGAGACTTTTTGGAAAAAAGAAATGTAATTATTCCAGCCCCCTGGCATGTGGTCATTATTGCTTTTCTGCAGCAGGGGGGAGTAGTTATCTGTTTGTTTGACAGCTTCATTAAGATGTAATTGATATACAGTCAACCTTTGCACAACACAGGTTTGAACTGCCAGGTCCAACTGACATGTGGATTTTCATTGGCCTCTGCCACCTCTGAGACAGCAAGACCAACCCCCTCCTCTTCCTCCTTCTCCTCCTCAGCCCACTCAATGTGAAGATGAAGAGGATGAAGACCTTTATGATGGTCCACTTTCATTTAGTGAATAGTAAATATATTTTCTCTTCCTTATGATTTTTGAATAACATCTTTTCTCTAGCTCACTTTATTGTGATAATACACTATATAATCTATATGACATACAGAATGTTCATTGACTGTTTATGTTACAGGTAAGTCTCCTTGGTAACAGTCAGCTATGAGTAGTTACATTCTGGAGGACTCAAAAGTTATACTCAGATTTTCGACCACGTGGGAGGTTGGCGTCCCTACCCCCTACATTGTTCAAGGGCCAAGTGTACAATTAACTGCACACATGTAAGGTATGCAATTTGATGAGTTCTGACATTTGTATACACCAGTGAAACCATCACCACAATCAAGATAACGAACACAAACCACAATTACTCATGGCCATTACTACCAGATCACTCTTGCAGGAATACAGAGGAAAGACTGATTAAAGCCAAGTCACAGTGAGTTTCTAATTCATATCCACCAGGATGGCTGTAATAATAAAAAAAAAAGCCAGATAATAACCAGTGTTGGTGAGGATGTGGAGAAATTAGAACCCTCGTACACTGCTGATGGGAATGTAAAATGGTGCAGCTGATTTGGAAAACAGTCTAGCAGCTCCTCCGAAAGTTAAAGGTGGAGTTACCATATGACCCAGCAATTTCTTTCCTGGAGAACTGAAAACATATGTCCACATAAAAACTCATACTCGAATGTTCACAGCAGCATTATCCATGATAGCCAAAAAGTAGAACAACCCAAATGTCCATCAGCTGATGAATGGATAAACAAAATGCAGTGCATCCATATTGTGGCATATTCAGCCACAGGCAGGAATGAAGGGCTGCCACGTGCTGCCACACAGACGGACCTTGAGAGCCTTGTGCTTGAGTCAATAAGCCAAAGTCCGCATGTTATATGACCCCACTTCTGTGAAATGTCTGCAATAGACGAATCCAGAGAGAGTAAATTCGAGGTTGCCTAGGGTGGGGGTTGGGGAGGGTGGTGAGTAGGGGAGGTAGGTAAAGGGCACAGGATTTCTTTTTGGGGTGAGATGACATATTCTGAAACTGAGTGTGGTGCTGGTTGCACAGCTCTGTGACACAGTAAAAACAATCAAATTACATGCTTTAAATGCGTGAATTGTGTGGCATGTGAATTATAGCTCGTTAAAGCTGTTCTTTACAAAAGAGGTGCTAATGACCGATCACACCAATGAGTCTCCATGGCTGCTCTGCGAAGCCCTCTGTGCCCCAACCCATTTAGTGGCCCTAGTGATAGATGCTGCCATTTCTGTGTGAGAAAGCTTAGTGAGGTTCAGGAGCTTGTCCAACATCTTCCCATTTAGCCAGTAAGGGGCAGATCTGGTGATTAAAAAAACAAACCGAAAAAACCCTAGCTTTCTTATGGTGTAATTGACATATAATAAACTGCACCAATTTTTTTTTTTTTTTGAGATGGAGTCTAGCTCCGTCACCCAGGCTGGAGTGCAGTGGCATGATCTCAGTTCACTGCCACCTCTTTCTCCTGGGTTCAAGTGATTCTCCTGCCTCAGCCTCCCAAGTAGCTGGGATTACAGACACCTGCCACCACGCCCAGCTAATTTTTATATTTTTAGTACAGATGGGGTTTCACTGTGTTGGCCAGGCTGGTCTCGAACTCCTGACCTCATGATCCACCCGCCTCAGCCTCCCAAAGTGCTGGGATTACAAGCGTGAGCCACCGCGCCCGGCCAAACTGCCCCAATTTAAAGAGTACAACTGCCTAAGCTTGGGCACAGGTGTAACCCTGTGAAACCATCACCATAATCAAGACAATCAACATGTTGCAAAAGGGCCCCCAATTCACTCTGCCAAAAGGAAAAATACCAAGCTGAAAGCTGAGTCATTGAAGAAGCTGCCTTTCCTTTTATTCCTAAGCAGATAGCTACAGATAACAGGTTAAACGTCTCTGCAGGGAGCTACTCTATGTTCACCTTCTTTTATGTAAAGTGCTGGTTTACTTAGCAGGAGACCAGTACATACTTGACTATTGCCCTACCTGCTCCTTTTCTCTTGCAACATATGGATTACCATACCCCTCCTCTTTCCCCTCCAGCCCACTTTTCCCCTTTAAATATTAAAGCCTCAAAATCGTCTTTGGAAAAAGGCACAGACCACGGACTGCTTCTGGGATTCTGTCTTTTCTTCTGCCAGGCAGGTCCTTAACCTTGGCAAAATAAACTTGTAAATTGATTGAGACCTGTTTCAGATACTTTTTCATTTACAACATCCATCCCCCAGAGTTCCCTCCTGCCCAGTCCTAATCTCCAGCATCTCCCTGCCCCCCACCCTGTCCCCAAACAACTGGTGGTCTGTTTTCTCTCATTAGAGATTAGTTGGCATTTTTATATAAATGAAAACATACGGCATATTTCTTTTTTGTCTGGCTTTTAAAATTCCGTGGTGTTGTTTTGAAATTCTTCTGGGCCATACACAATATGCATGTCAATAAATCGTTCTTTCTGATGACCAAGTAGTATTCCACTGTATTGATTATACCACAATTTCTCTATTCATCTATTGATTTGGTTGTCTACAGTTTGGGACTCTTACAAATATAGCTGCTATGAACAATTGTGTACAAGTCTAAATGGATAAGCAGTCGTCCCCTCTTATCCATGGGGGATGCCTTCCAAGATGCCCCCCACAGTGGGTGGCTGAAACCTCCAGTAGTACTAAAGCTGACTGCCGGCCATTGGGACATGTCTCCACTGAGGACTTCCATCCACAAACTTAATGCTTTTTCCATCTTAGCCAAGCACGCACTATACACTGTGGCTGTAACTTTTGCAGTTTGAGGAGCAATAGCAAAACTAGCATGAATTTCTTTTTTCTTCTTCACAATTTCACACACAGACGCTTTGTTCTTACTGTAGAGCTCAGTGTGTGATTTTTTTCTTTCCTTATTAAGTCAAAAACGTTCACCTTTTCATTTGAAGGAAGCAACTGATGGCTTCTCTTTGGCGTATCCGAATTGCCAGCACTACTACTCTTGCACTCTGGGGCCATTCTGAAGTAAGACAAGGGTGACTTGAGCACAAGCACTGTGGTACCGTGACACAAGTCGATCTCATCCCGAGACGGCTCCTAGGTGGCGATGACGGTACGGACATGCTGGAGAAAGGAAGGATTCACACCCCACCTGGGACCGAGCGGGACAGGGCAAGCTGAGCGACGGTACTCAGAATGACATGGAATTTAAGACATGAATTGTTTATTTCTGGAATTTTCCATGTAACATTTTCAGACCACAGGTGACTGTGGGTAACTGAAAGTGCAGAAACAGAGATAAGGTGTGGCTGCTGTATGTTTCCTTTCTCCTGGGTAAATACCTGGGGGTGGAGTGGCGGGGTCATAAGGTGAGTCTATCAGAACTTCTTAAGAAATAGCCAGGCTGGCTTCCAGAGTGGCTATTCCTTGTTGTAGCCCCCACAGCCGGGGGTGAGAACACAGCGAGCATTTGGAGTTCAGCTGCCCAAAAGCAAAGACCACGAGGGCTACGGTCACGTGTGTGGTGGGGCTGATATGCCACTGGTGTGCTGACCCCGCAGCTCCTGCGGCTGCTCCCCTGGACCCGCCTCCACTAGAAGCAAACAGCCGAGGCCCCACCCTCGAAGGGGATGATCCCCCTTTCTCAGGTGTCTTTCTTACGGCTTTGGTGGGAGCTGTTGCTTGTCTGTCACTGTCTACCAGAAAGTAATAAAACAAATGAGCCAGCTGCAAATGAAATGGAGTTGAAATTAGGAGTTCACTTTTAGTAGAATAATTTGTTATTTTCCATTAATGTATGCTTACGATTAGGACTTTATATTTCCACCTATAATATATTTGATCTTTAAAGGTGTTCCACAGATGGGAGCTCCTTGATTTCCCATCTGAGCCTAGAGGGGGACACAGGAAACCACTGGCAGCTTCTGGGGCAGGGAGTGAGCTGGGGACGAGGAGATTGCCTCTCTGCCCTTGTTGTGATCATAGAACAGAGACCACATGCGTGTAGGTGCTTGAAATAAAGAGACAAATACGGCCGGGCACAGTGGCTCAGGCCTGTAATCCCAGCACTTTGGGAGGCCGAGGCGAGTGGATTACCTGAGATCAGGAGTTCGAGACCAGCCTGGTCAACATGGCGAAACCCCATCTCTACTAAAAATACAAAAATTAGCCACACGTGGTGGTGGGTGCCTGTAATCCCAGCTACTCGGGAGCCTGAGGCAGGAGAATGGCTTGAACCTGGGAGGCGGAGGTTGCAGTGAGCTGAGATTGTGCCACTTCACTCCAGCCTGGGCGACAGAGTGAGAGACTCGGTCTCAAAAAAAGAGAGACAAATACAACTTCTGTTGTCATCCTTTATTGGGGAAGCAGATGGTAAAAAATAAAAATGAATAGAGGTAGGCGCACATGACATTAGTTGCTGTGTAAAAGGAATAGGAAAGACAGATGAAAATTAGAGGAGTCAGACAGGATGCTGTTGAAATTAGGGTGACCATGTAATATATTTTTTTAACCAGGATAATTTTTTAAAAACTTTTAATTTTGAGATAATTGTAGATTTGCACACTGTTGCAAGAATTAACACAAACAGAATTCCATATGCCCTCACCCACTTTCCCCAGCGGAAATATTTTGCATAACTCATCTGCTACCACAGCCAGATAACGCATTGATGCACTCCCAACCCCGCTCAGAGCTTACCAGTTTCACATCAAACCGTGATGATTTTGAGAGTGTAAGAGAACAGAATTATAATTTTTCCCAGATGACAGATGTGAACTATGACTGCCCATGGTCTCCCGTGCTTTTTCTAGGAGCCTACAGAACCTGTTCAGGGAGATAGAAAGAAAAAGGGGACACAGACAGTTCCTGCCATGAGGACTTTCTGTCTACTGGAGGGATACCTCAGAATTCAGACAATCCTATGCAAAGTGGAATGTGTGAAGTGAATAACAGAGTAATAGGATGCAGACAGCATTAACCTCCACTTGAGAGGCTGGGGAAAGTGTCATGTTGGACAAGACAGCTGAGTTTGTCCTTGACCCCTGGGTGGCTGCCTCTTGCAGTTCCTGGCATAGGTTAGTGGCTAGGAGCCAAACTGTCCAGGCTGAAATCTTGCCTCTCTCCTCACTGCCTGTGTAACTGTGGGCAAGGCGCTTGACCTCTGAGCCTCCATTTCTCCTCTGTAAGAACGAAGGAGTAACAGCGCCTAGCTCGTGGAGGGTGGGGAGGGCTGCCCGAAACACACACACAGAGCTCAGAATGCATGCGGCCCTGAGGACGTGCGGATAAATGGCTACTTTGCTATCACCCACAGGTAGAAGATGCTTAATATGCATTCGTTGACTGGGCATGAAAGTGGAGAACCTGGCTAGCCATCGGGTGGGAGTGAATGGAATATTTAACTTGGGGTTGAGTTGGGCCTACAGAGAAGAGAGGTTGGGTGCATCGCGTGGAGCTGGGGAGAAAGGCTGTGGCTGGAGGGTTATTCTTGAGGACGGGACAGTGTGAACCTCGAGGATTCAGGTGGCCAAGTCAAGTCAGGTGAGAAGAGGATGCAAGACGGGGCGACAGTCTCTACTCTTCTGGGAGTTAAGAAGGTCCTGCAAGAGCTGATACTGCCCAGGTGGGTTTTTTGGGAAGCGGCTCTGGAACTGAGGCTGGTGCTCAGCAAGGGGACGAGCAGTGTGGGCCGGGGACGCTGGGCCACCTGCCATCTCCATGGTGGCCTCCGCCCATCCCTGCAGAGTGCTGTGGTGTGGATGGCCTTTGGAATTGTCCTGGCCATGGTGAGGGGGCCCGACCCTCACACTGCCAAGATGACAGATGGCTGGATGGGGGCTGTGCCTGGAAGGAGGGGTGATGGGGGTGTGAGGCCCTGTCTCCTGAGGGCAAGCCTGGTGTGCACTGAACATCTTTCACATGGGAATGTGGCTGACTGCTACGGGGTCTCCAGGAGGGGTGAAGGCAGAAGGGCCTGGCAGTGAGGAGCATGAGGACCTAGGAGCAATTGGCCATGGGGTTTAGGGATCTAAGCCTTTGGTGATGCCAGGGAGGCTGGGAGCATGGGAGGACATTTCCTTGTCAGTACACGAGGTGAGGAGGTGGAGGCAGAACCATGAAGGACTTGCGGCAAGGAGCCATGTGGCCCAAGGAGGCCTGGCTGGTGGAGTAAGGATTGATGAGAGGGCCTGCTAGGAGTGGGACACGAGGCTGCGCTGCCCTCACTGGGGGGTAAGACTTCTGCCCTGAGGCTTCTCTGTGCAGCCGGAAGGTGCACCCAGGCCTGCGCTTCCTGGAGCTGCCACCTCTCCCTGCAGGTTAGGCACCCGGACTCTGTGCCATGCTGGTGAGATCCTTGGCATTGGGAATGTAGTTTGTGCTGGAGCTGGATTCTGAGCAGCAGGAACTGGGCCTAGTCGGCTTCCCTGTTGCTTTCCAGAGTCTTCAAGGGCAGGGTGTCAGGCATCCAGGGAAAGAGAAGACACTTCTACCGACTGGCGAGCCCACACTGCCACAGTGGAGAGCCAAGAGGGCCTTCGAGACTCAAACGGAGAGGCAAACGTGGATCCCTTACCTTCTCACTGGAGAATCCAAAGGCTTCGCTACAGCAGAGAAGCCCTGTGCGTGGCTGGGCTGAGCTTTGGCGCCACGGTCCCATGTTGAAGCCTGGAGTGGCCACAGGGCACTTCTGATCTCCTCATAGGCCTCAGTTTCCTCATCAGTGAAACCAGGGTGGAGAAGAATGGTGTTACCTGCAGAGATGTTGGGCTCAGAGATGAGCAAGATCATGGAAGCAGAGCATTAGCCCCTAGGATGTTTGGTGCGTGTTTGCTGCTGTTACAATGGCTGCGGGTAGGTGAACCCATTTGTGTAAAGTTCAGCTGGAATTGACAAACTCTGTTTTTGTCATGATCAGCAATCCTGCTCCAAAACACATGGCTCCCACCTGGGTACCTCCCCTCCCTTCCTCTGGCACTGAGGGCTGCCAAGGTCAGGGGTTTCAGAAGGTGGCAGTGAGAATCAGCAGAGCCTCCACTGCTGTCAGCCAGCACTGCCCTGCATCCAAACGACACAAGCAGTGGTAAGGCCTCCTGGGTGGGTCAGCTGGCAAGGAGCCCTGCCCTTGCTGTGGGCTCTGGGGGCGGCCACAGCCACTCTACAGCAGCCACATGCAGGCATCCTCTGGCTGTGGAGCAGCCGCTGGCCCATGGCCGAATGTGCACTCGGCTGTGTCTCAGGGGACAGCCTGGCCAGGCGGAGTCCAGGTCAGTGGAGGAGACAGGCTTCTGTCACCCAGCCCAGGCCCAGGGAGAGTAAGGCATGGACAGGTGGCTAGCAGCCCCTACAGCAAGCAGCCAGGATGGTCCCCCTGTGCACAGGAGTAGCCTCTCTGAGGTCAGTTCTAAGCCACACATTCCCAAAAACAAGGCTGAAGGAGCCCCTCTGGGAGGTGGAGGCTCTCCCCTTATACCTAGGGGTCCTGGGCCCACCCTATCCCATCTGTGCCTGGCATCTTCCCCTCCTTGGAAGCTGCTATTCCCTGATTTGTCTCCCTTTGCCCTGGTGGCTCCTTTAGAGCTGGGTCACCTTTATTTTTGTATCCACAAGGCCTGGCACAGGTAGGGGTTAATAAGTCCACCTGGCTGTCCACCAGTGCCTTGGGCAGTGCTGGCCCAGGATGATCGCACCTCGCTGAGACCCTCCCGACAGCTCTGGGGCCCGACAGCTCAGCAAGTGTGCTTCAGGCTCTGCCCAGGGCCACGGTCGGGCTCAGGATGCAAAGACTCAGGAAGCCTCAGGAAGCCTCAGGAAGCCCCAGACTCGCAGCAAGGTGCGAGGTGAAAACACCTTAGGTTTCCACAGGGCCTTCATCCCAAAGACTGCCCTCGCATAAACTCTCCCACATTCAGCACCCAGGGGATGCTGCCAGATCAGTCATTCTCACCTCCACTGCAGGCCAAGGGCCCAGAGCTGCTGGACCATGGGTCAGAGGCAAGCAGCACCTGGAAGCCACACCCCTCTCTCCTCCCCAGCACACCCCCAGCTACGACACAGTGCCCCGCATGCCCCGAAAACCTGATGGAGCTTTTCAAATGCCTGAAAGGCTCACCTTGCTCCCAGGGGAAAACTGTGAGCCAGGTACACTCTGGCAGGGAGAAAATAAATCCTTCTGAACTTTGGTGCCCTTATTTGTTGATCACAACTCTCATGTATGCCTGTGGGTTTAAATGATGCCACTGTAAAAACCCATTGCATATTTACTGATTGGCGTGGGAGGCACCGCGCAGGGAGGCCTGGCTCCTGGAGGCTGACTGTGGAATTACTGTGGAAGGAACTGGAGTTAATAGTTCTTACCTGTGACTTTTAAACAAAGGCCATCAGAGAAAGGGGAGAAAGGGAAGAAAGAGATTTCATGGAATAAAGAAGCAATACTATTTTCCAAGTCATGCTGTTAGCTAAGAAAATTCTGTTTTCTATAACGTAACTCTTCATAGCATGCAGGTATAAGGATGACATGCCAAATATAAATACCATGATGAAAATGAGATATTCCTCCATATGCATGTATTACATTTTGTGAATTGTATAGTATGTGTTTTCTTCTTTGTATTTATAGTTCTGCAATAATTATTACCTCACTAAAGGATGTGAATGACATAAAAGTTGTAACCTGATTCCTAATTTTTTTCAGCTTACTTCTTGTATTTAGGAGAAATGTTTCTGTGTTTTGCCACTGAGGCGTCCTCTAGAAATGAACTGCCCTTCTCGCTCCCCAGAGGAGACTGTGTCCTGCCCAGCCAGATCACCGGGCCACTGTGGTCCCTTTGTGCAAGGGCCCTGGGGCCAGAGCCCCGCAGGAGTCTGAGAAGCTGTGCATGCCATAGACCAGGCTTGGAGGGAAAAGAGCTAGGAAAATGTTTTAGGCTCATTTTAGTTTCAAAATTAAGTTTTGAGATTCTTTTAACTATCAGACATTTCACTTAAATTTCATGTTAACAATGTTTTAGGACTCGATTCTAAAGCTACACAGGTACAAATACCAAGTAACTCAGGCACATGAAGCACTCATCGTGGCTTCATTTGTAAACGCAAAAGCTCTTTATGAGCAGGGGTCTGGCTGGGTGAACCACAGTCTGCCCACAGTGGGGCCGAGACCCCGAGGTGGGCCAGGGACTGCTATGCAAGGATGAAAAGGGAGAGCTCAGAACGTGGTTAAGTGGGAAATCAAGATGCAGAAGTGTGTGTATTCGATGCTCACTTTTGCTAAGAAAGGAAGAGAAACATGAGTATGTTCTAGCAACTTGCTTGTATTCATAAAAAGAAACACTGGAGGATAAACCAAAATCTGCCCGGGAGGGAAGGGACAGAGTGAAGAGGACAAGGATGTGAGATGGAGGCTTCTTTCAATAGAGCGTGCAATAGGATTATGACTTTGGGGTCAGGTAAGTACCATATATATTTTTAAAATACAAAAAGCAAGAACAACTCCTAAAAATTAAAAAGAAACTGAAATGAATGAACCTGTGTGGTTGTTGACATATGCACCCAGAGAAAATGGTTATTTTAAGAGACTTTAGAACACAGTATTTACACTACCCATCCTTAATGGAAATCTTCTAGACAGCAGCAGACCTGTAAGGAGATGGAACTTTAACCTCATTCAGTAGTCTTGTCATTCGTAGGAACATGGGATTGCTAACTGCTAAACCATTGCATATATAATAGATAAACCATTTTAGATATAAAACATATAATATAAATGCATGGGTACGTGTGTATTTTATATGTGTATTAAATGTATTCACAATTTTTACATATATATCTTGATAAAGCAAATAAATTAGGTTACAGTTCTTATCAAATAAGATTTTTAGAAGATAAAATATTATGATGCAAAGGTGAAATCCAAGTATTAGGTAAAGTCGTTTTGAAGTTAAATTTAAATCAGAAGTATTAGCTTCACTCATGATTTTGAAAAATTCATGTTTCCAGCTCTGTCTACTAAAAATGTCTGCAAGGAAATGTAACTCATTGACAATGGCCTCCCTAGAAAAAAATAGATATATGTACAAGTGTAGATATAACTGCTGTGTATCTATGATTTGGGGAATTATTTCAATGTTAATCTTGTTATATTAAACAATGTAATTAACAAAATAAAAACCAGAAGCTTATATTCAAGTTATGATGTCATGTCTATAATATACAAATTGAGCTGAATATCTGTAATTATTGTAGATTAGTCAATATGAATAATTCAATCCTCAACATACATTGTGTTTTATTTTTCATAATGATTAATTTAATTAATTATCAAATTTCAACGTTGTTTTTGTTGCATGGGTGGAGACTTTTACCACAATACTCTGTATTGCATCTATAGAAGAGTGCAAGTTAATTATTTAAATAATCTCTTCACTGGGCATGATTTAATATATGTATGTAAGCATGTACACATGTTATTTTCCTAGAAAGAATGATTAGAAATCTTGCTGACTCTAGAAATTTCATAGTCTGCTCAGAGAAAGTAATTTATTGACTTCAGTAGAAAATATGCTGCAGCAGTTTCTTCTTCTTTTTCTTCTTTTCTTTTTTTGAGATGGAGCCTTGCTCTGTTGCCAGGCTGGAGTGCAGTGGCACAATCTCGGCTCACTGCAACCTCCGCCTCCTGGGTTCAAGTGGTTCTCCTGCCTCAGCCTCCTGAGTAGCTGGGACTACAGGCACCTGCCACCACACCTAGCTAATTTTTTTATTTTTAGTAGAGACGGGATTTCACCATGTTGGCCAGGATGGTCTTGATCTCTTGAGCTCGTGATCCACCCACTTCAGCCTCCCAAAGTGCTGGGATTACAGGTGTGAGCCACTGCACCCAGCCCAACAATGTCTAATTATTAGATAAAACCAGAAAGTAGACATTATAGTAATGAAAATGAAAAAGAAATATCAAGATGTTAGAGTTGATAAACAGCTAGAAAGCCGTTACCTCACAATTTAAAAGTAAATTCCAGACGGATTGAAAATTTTAGTGTAAAAAATAAAACTATAATATTAGAAGAAATTTTAGGGGAGTATTTCTGTCACTTTGGGTGGGAGAGAGGCGCCTAAGCAGGAAAGGAAATCAAGAAGCTATCAAGGAAAAGACAGGCATTTTTTTATTTGGTAAAATATGCACAACACAAAATTTGCGATTTCTAAGCATGTTTAAGTGTACAGTTCAGTGGCGGTAAGTACCATCACACAGCTGTGCAACCATCACCACTGGCCACCCCTGTAACATTTCCGTATTCTCAGCACACAATGTTTGCATACTGCACAGCAAAAGATGTCATAAGGAAAGGCAGGAGATACTATGTTGAGTAAAAACTTTAGCAACATTTGATATTTCTGGCACACGAAGCTCTCCTATTATTTGGTAAAAGACATTCCAAAAGAAAAATGGATAAAATAGCATGAATAGGCATTTCATGTACACAGAAATCTAGATGGCTAATAGATATCTGAAAATTGGTTGATGAAATGCAAATTAAAGCAATAAGAAAATACCATTTTAACCCATCAAACTGAAAAAAATTAAAATGAGTCTTCATCCTTATATTACTGGTAAGTATGAATAAATTGCTGAAAATTGATGTTGGGAATAAAATTAAAGCAATAATGTGATATCATTTTTCTTATAAAACCAACAAAAATTAAAATGAGTGAAACATCCTTGCATTATTTGTAGGAATGTGAGCTGCTAAAACTTTTGGAGAATGTAATCTAAAAATATCTGTTAAAACTTGAAATCCAGCCAGGCTTGGTGGCTCACACCTGTAATCCTGGCTACTTGGGAGGCTGAGGTGGGAGGGTTGTTGGAGCTCAGCAGGTTGAGGCTGCAGTGAGCTGTGATGGCACCACTGCATTCCAGCCTGGGCAACACAGCAAGACCCTATCTCAAAAAAAAACCACAAACAAACCAAAACACAAAATTAAAATCATTTGACCCAGCAATCAACCTTTAAGAGTCTATCCTATAAAAATGAGAGAATCAGTGGCGTGTGTGTGTGTGTGCGTGTGTGCGGGTGTGTGTGTGTGTGTGTGTGTGTATGAAAGTTTATTGCAGCATTGTTGCAGTGGCAAAAAAAACCCAAATGACCTAATGTCCACCAATAGGGCTGTACAAGTTAGGATATACTACTTTATCCAAAGGAAATAAGCCAAATAGCTCAAAAAAATAAATGGCCTAAAACAGTTTTCCTTGCAAGACTGCAGAAGAGCTGCACAAATTGCCCTTGGGAGGCCAGGCGGAGGGTCTCTCCCGGGATGCATGTTCACTCTTGCCACAGCTGGAGGAAGCAGGCCCTAAGGCTTGCACTGCAAAGTGATGAGAATGAAGCCCTGGTTATGCTAGACTTCAAGGCATGCATGCTCGGAAGGGTAACAGGATATTGATGAACTGTGAAAAATCTCTGCTACAAAGGGAATGGTTGGATAAATTGTAGTTCTATCTAACTATGGAATATTATGTATTCCTAACAAAATGAGTTAGACTCATGCTGGGAAGATTGCTCGTGGTCTAGTAAGTGATTAGCAAGTGGCAGAGTGAGATGCATACAATTATCCCACTGAAAACAACAGCCAACAAACATCTGCATGTACAAGCGTTTCAATTTGTATGAACGTGTGTGGAGGGACACATATATGAACGTGTGTGGAGGGACACATTGGGTACATCAGGGAAGGGGAATTGAATGAGGGCTGGGGATATTGCGTTAACTTTAAAAATGTATATCTTTGGGTAGTCTCACTTGTTAACATGAGCATGCTTGATTTTCCTAATTTCAAAGGAAAGTTATGTAAAAAAGGTAAACATTATTAAATAAAAAAACCTTTAGTTTTTCTAGTTGAGGATCTCTTTACCCCAAGACGATTCCAAGTAATAAAAAGCAAACATTATTTCACAATGTGTCTGTGTGTATTTCTAAAGTCTGCTGGAATGATATCTGTGTCTCCCGTGCTCATTTGCAATGTGAACTTGCTGCTTTCTCATGGAGAGGTGGAGTCTATCTCTCCACCCCCTAGAATGTGGCAGGGGGTCACATTCCAGGGTGATGCTGGGCCAGTGCCAGGCGGGGCCCTTCACTGGCCTGAAGCCCGGTGCCAGGAGAAAGGAGTGCAAATATCCTGAGAAGGCTCTGCAGCGAGAAGCCCAAGGCCTGTGGGGAAGCCGCAGAGGATAAGCTGCCTTGAAGGGAGGCAGGCTGAGGAGCCCAGGGTGCCGAAAAGTGAGGGAAGAAACCATCTCACAAATAGATCCTGGCACCCTCACCCTCGCTGGTGCCATGTGCATCGAGACCAACTGCCCCGCTCAGACTTCCCAAATTCTTGACCCACAAAAATGTGCACAAATAAAGTGGTTTTTAAAAAAATAATAAAATCTCATTTTATTAATAAAATTAATAAGTTGATTAACCTAGTTATAGGGCAATTTTTTATGCAGCAAAGCACATAACAACCGCCTGGTTTCTATAAGGAAAAAAGTCTCCTCTACATTTCTTTACATAATTTGTTTTTTATATTACATGTTAACATATTTTGTCTTTTTTTTTTTTTTTTGAGACGGACTCCTTTTTCTTGGCACCCAGGCTGGAGTGCAGTGGTGCGATCTGAACTCACTGCAACCTCTGCCTCCCCAGTTCAAGTGATTCTCCTGCCTCAGCCTCCTGAGTTGCTGAGATTACAGGTGCTCACCACCATGCCTGGCAGCGGTGCGATCTCAGCTTGCTGCAATGTCTGCCTCCCCGGTTCAAGAGATTCTCTTGCCTCAGCCTCCTGAGTAGCTGAGATTACAGGTGCCCGCCACCATGCCAAGCTAATTTTTAGTAGAGATGGGATTCCACCATGTTGGCCAGGCTGGTCTTGAACTCCTGACCTCAGGTGATCCACCCGCCTCAGCCTCCCAAAGTGCCGGGATTACAGGCATGAGCCACTGTGCCTGGCCTGTCTTTTTTTTTTTTGTTTAAACCAGAGATCTTTCTCCTTTCACTTACAGGATCAAAAAAGCAAATTAAAATAGGAGGTAAAAGAAAAAGCATTAAGTTTTACGTAAAAGGTATTATAATATTGGTATTTGTTTGGGAAAAACACCTATAACCAGAGACAACAAACTTTTTTTTTTCCAAATAAGCTACATTGCCCGTTATTTTAGTAAGTAGTACACTGTAATTGTTATGTGTTTTTTATTATTCTTTTACATGTCTTAAAATTTTCCCAGCAAAGCCTTACTAGTATTGCTGAAGAGACACTTTTTCTGCTTACTTGGGGAAGTTTGCTCTCTGAATTAAAAAATAAACAAAAGAGTGAAAGCTCTGTCATCCTTTTCTCTCTTTCCTCTCCTCTGTATCCTTACCCCTCCCTCATTCTGCTTTCTTCCTGCCCTCTTCTGCTTTTCCCCACAATCCATCAGAGTACTTCTGCATGAACAACAGGATCTGACTCCAGGTCTCCCAGGAAGGAAGGGTGCTTGTAGGCACATGTGCTCAATGGCAGGGTAAGAACAAGGGCTGGAACCCAAGCAGGCGCTATGTGTTCTCTGGAGGGAGGGCACATAGCATACCGACTCCAGCTTGGGCATCCCTTTGGGTGAATTTGACTTCCGGTAATTCCCACTTCTTTAAACCACTCTCTTAAGCCCTGCAGAACATCTCAGTGGCCCAGCCTACTTACAAGTTGTCCCCTGTTGAATGGGGTAGGAGGAAAAGATCTCTAGCAGGAAGCACAAGGGAAGATGGTCCAACATGGAGATGGGGTGGCTGGTAGGAAAGGTTTGCATACTGCACACAAATGGCCACTACAAATTTAATTTCATCAAAGTTATGCTTTAAAAATGCAACAAAAATTCAAGATGAAAATACCCTAAGACACAGAAATCCCATTCTAATGCAGACACTAAGAAAAACTCTCACACCTGTGTACAAAGAGACAGGTACAAGGATGTTCATTGCAGTAACGTAAAAGACCAAAAATTGTAACACCTAAATGTCATCAACAGGATAAATGGTAAATGCATTGTGAAATATTCACATGGTAAAATACTATTGCCAGTTTAAATCAATGAACTTAAGCCACATGTGTCAACTTGAATGAATTTGGATAATGTAATGAGTGAAAAAGTCATACATACACTATGATGACGTTTATATAAAGTTTAAAAACCCACAAAACAATACATATGGTTTAGGAATATGTCATATGCAGCGTAAGTATAAAAACATGGGTAGAAAGGAACAACTAATGTTGGAAGACAGCTTTCCCTTGTCAGCATGTCCTGCCAGTCAGTTACCAGTGTCCTTGGTTCTGAACCATCCCTTGAAGGATGTTCGTATAACCCTGGAAGATGGAGACAGTGATTCCTAATGGGGCAAGGGTCAGACATGGCCACTGCCAAGGATAAAAGGCTCAGGTCCCAGAACTCAGGGCTCCTTTCTTATAACCCACTGTGTGTGTAGGTGTCATCTGACTCTCTTTGCATTGCCCTGTGGGAACTGGGGCTCAGGTTATTGGTGCAAAAATGCTGATGCTGCTGTTGCTATGGAACAAATTTTCCTTTGTTTCTGACCCAGGAGTCTCATGTCTTCTGCCAGCATCTAAGAAACAGTAATGGGCTAATTTATTAGTTTCAAAAATTAACTAATAGGCTAAATTATTACGAATTTATTTGTAAAATTTTAGAATATTCATGGCTCTCAAAGCTACCTTCAGGGTAAGAATGATCTCTAGGAAGGAAGGGGAGTAGAATAAGGGAGGGGTCAAAGGAGGGCTGCAGAGTTTAATTTCTTAAGAAAAAGCCCTGGCCGGGTGCGGTGGCTCATGCCTATTATCCCAACACCTTGGGAGGCTGAGGTGGGTGGATCATCTGAGCACAGGAAATTGAGACCAGCCTGGCTAACATGGTGAAACCCTGTCTCTACAAAAAATACAAAAAATTTAGCCAGGCATGGTGGTGTGTACCTGTAGTCCCAGCTCCTCGGGAGGCTGAGGTGGGAGGATTGCTCAAACCAGGGAGGCTGAGGCTGCCGTGAGCCAAGACCATGCCACTGCACTCCAGCCTGGGTGACAGGGTGAGACCCTGTCACACACGCACACAAAAAGAAAACGCTCTGAAACAAATATGGCAACGTGCTAGTATGTAGAGGTGTTTATCGTCTTATCCTCAGTGGGTTTTTTCTTTCTTTTTTTTTCTTGCTATGTCTAAAACAATTTAAATAAAAACTGAAGGTATATGTTTTAAAAAGGGAAACATCTTGGATAAAGGAATACGTCATTTTTGTTGGACAGTGACTGTATCCCTGCAGTGAGGTGGGAAATCTGTTTTTCTCTAACTGCAAGCCATTTATTAACAGAAAAAAACTGAAACCAGAGCCAAAAATACACTTATTTGGGTGTATTTATCCACATCTCTTCAATATTAAAGAAAAAAATCTATTCATTTATTTGCTTTTAATCAATAAGATGAACATAAATACCTCACAATAGCAGGTAAAGGAACATCTTCAGTTGTTTATGATGTCTAATGAAAGGAGAAAGGCATCATGGGAAGTAATTAGTAAAGGAAACTGAAAAATGAGGAGAGGAAGAAGGAAACTGACAGAGAAAGGGAAAGAGAAGTACACAGTTGTTTTTTTTTTTTTTTTCTGGTGTCTCGCTCTGTCGCCCAGGCTGGAGTGCAGTGGCGAGATCTCGGCTCACTGCAAGCTCCGCCTCCCGGGTTCACGCCATTCTCCTGCCTCAGCCTCCCAAGTAGCTGGGACTACAGGCGCCCGCCACCACGCCCGGCTAATTTGTTTGTATTTTTAGTAGAGACGGGGTTTCACCGTGTTAGCCAGGATGGTCTCTATCTCCTGACCTCGTGATCTGCCCGCCTCGGCCTCCCAAAGTGCTGGGATTACAGGCGCGAGCCACCGCACCCGGCCAAGAAGTACATAGACATTTTTAAAAAGAGATAAGAGGAAAAAGATAAGCAGACATGGGAGACACACGGCTCCTACGTGTACAGAGAATCAGGCTGTTTGTTTACTTCACCTCCGTTGGTCTTTGGGGCTCCACGCTGCCCGCCTTTCCTACCCTTCCCCCGAACCTTCCTTGGCCTTTTTGCCGGGTCCTCCTCTGAAGCTTGAGTTCTTCAGGGTTTGAGTGGGGGTGCTCTTTTTTTAAGGATTAATATTAATGCTTTTTATTTTTGTGTTTTTTCTTACATTTAAACTAATTTTTAATTGTGGTAAATACATGTAACATAAAATTTACCTCTTTAGCTATTTTTAAGTGTGTGGTTGGTGGCATTAAGTATTACACATTCACATCACAGCCCTTCATCCCCAGAACTCTTTCCATCCTGCAAAACTGAAACTCTGTATCCGTTAAACACAAATACTCCCTTTTATCCTCACCCAGCCCCTGGCAATCACCATTCCACTTTTTGTCTCTGTGAATTTGACTACTTTTATAGATAACATCATATAAGTAGGATCATACAATATTTGTCTTTTTGTGATTGGCTTATTAGACTTAGCAGAATATCTTCACATTTCATCCATATTGCAGCAGAATCACTTCCTTTTTAAGGCTGAATCATATTCTCTGGTATATTCATACAATATTTCATTTATCCATCAATCCACTGATGGACACTTGGGCTGCTTCCGCCTCTTGGCTATTGTGAATAGTGCTGCTATGAACATGAGTGTGCAAAAGCTCTTCAAGACTCTGCTTTCAGTTCTGAGTATATACCCAGACATGGAATTGCTGGATCACATGGTGATTTTATGTTTAACATTTTGAGGAAAATCATACTGTTTTCTACAGGGCCTATATGATTTTAAATTTCCAACAATGCACAAGGGTTCCAAATTCTCCACATCCTCAGTAACACTTGTTATTTTCTTTTTTTAAATAGTAGCCATACTAATAAGCGGGAAGTGGTATCTCGTTGTTTTGATTTGCATTTTCCTAATGATTAGTGACTTTGAGCATCTTTTCATGTGCTTGTTGGTCATTAGTATAACTTCTTTGGAGAAATGTCTATTCAAGTCCTTTATCTATTGTTTAATTGGGTTGTTGTAATTGTCGTTTTGTTGTTGTTGTTCAGTTGTAGGAATTCTTTATATGTTCTGAATACCAATCCCTTATCAAATAGATAATTTGTACATATTTTCCCTGATTCCATTGGTTGCCTTTCCACTCTGTTGTTTGTGTCCTTTCATGCACAGAAATTTTTATTTTTGATGTAGTCTAATTTGTCTATTTTTTTCTTTCGTTGCCTGTGCTTTTGATGTTATAGCTAAGAAACCATTGCCAAATCCAATCTCATGAAGTTTTCTCATTTTCTTCTAAGAGTTTTATAGCTTTAGCTCTTACATTTAGATCTTTGATCCATTGTGAGTCAATTATTGTATTTGGTGTTAGGTAAGGGTCACACTTCATTGTTTTGTATGTGAATTTCTGGTTTTACCAACAACATTTGTTGAAAAGAACTGTCCTTTCTGCATGGAATGGTCTTGGCACTCTTGTTGAAATCACTTGACAATATATGTGACAGTTTATTTCAGGGATCTCTATTCTATTCCATAGGTCTATTTGTCTGTCTTTATGCCAGTCCCACACTATTTGGATTACTATAGCTTTGTAGTAGGTTTTGATGTTTCTTACATTTGATATGTTAATTTATATAATTAATTTTTGTTATATGGTTTGAGATGAGAATTAATTTACCTTTTTTTTTTTTGTCAAATCACATTGGTAAGTGGAAACCATACATAGTGGGAGGGATTGCCCCTCAAAAATCAGTAAACATTACTAATCTGAGCTTTTCTTTGCACCCCAAAGAGATTGTTAAACCTTGAGGTGCAAACTACTCTTTCAGACTCTACATTTTAAATTGCTTTTGAGTTTTATTAACAATACCCACTACTGTAAACTTCACATTCTTGAGTTTTTGACTTTCAGTTATAGTACAAATTCATGATTCATATATACAATGTACATGCTATATATTCAAATAATTCAAGAAGGATATTTGAGAAATATATTTCCTGAGCCCTTGTGCTATATATGAATGACTACTAAGCTGGATAAAGAATTGTGCCTTTCAAATCCCTGTACTTACCTGTGACACTTCTCCTGAAACAATGCTATGAAGAAGTCTGAAGCCACCTTGATTCTTACTCCATTGTAGGTAACCTGTGTTTTTTTTACTGCATCCTTGTAGAATTTTTCTCTTTATTCTTAAAGGTAAAAATGGTGTCAGAAACAGTCTAAATGTGGGTCTTTCCCATTAATTTTACCCGGAATGTGGTAGGTGCTTGTCACCTGTGAACCAGCTCCTGTTTCAGCTTCGGAAAGTTGTAGTTAGAACATTTTTTTCTTATTGGATCTCGTGTTTTATTCCTTCTTGATTATTCTTAGAAAACCTATACTCTCTAGGTAGATCTCCTTTTCTTCCCCTCCATGTTATTTTTCATCATGTTCATCTCTGTTGTTCTCTCTATTTTTTTTTTTCTGAGATAGAGTCTCATTCTGTTGCCCAGGCTGAAGTGTAATAGTGCGATCTTGGCTCACTGCAACCTCCGCCTCCTGGGTTCAAGAGATTCTCCTGCCTCAGCCTCCTGAATAGCTGGGATTACAAGCATGCGCCACCACATCTGACTAATTTTTGTATTTTTAGAGACAGGGTTTCACCATGTTGGCCAGGCTGGTCTTGAACTCCTGACCTCAAGTGATCGGCCTGCCTTGGCCTCCCAAAGTGCTGGGATTACAGGCATGAGCCACCCCACCCGGCCTCTACATTTTTAAAAATAAATTTGATTTGATTTTTTTTACTGAGGTGAAATTCACATAACGAACAATTTTAAAGTGAACAATTTAGTGGCTTTTAGTGCACTCACAATGTTGTGCAACCACCACTTTTATCTAGTTCCATAACATTTTCCTCATTCCAGAAGAAAGCCCTGTGCCTGCTAAGCCATTACTCTCCATCTCTCCCTCTCCCCCAGGGCCTGGCAACCATCAGGTGCTTTCTGCCTCTGTGGATTTACATGCTCTGGATGTCTCATGCAAATGGCATTATACAACATGTGACCTTTTGTGACAGGCTTTTTTCACGTACTATAATGTTTCCAAGGTTCAACCACATTGTGGATTTAAATTAGTGCTGAGAGTTACTTGATTTTAGCCTGCAAAACTTCCTTTATTATTTCTTGTAAAGTGGGTTGGCTAGCAATGATTATTTCAGATTTTATTTCTCTGACAATGTCTTTAGTTTACCTTCAGGTTTTCAACATTTTTATTTTTATTTATTTATTTATTTACCTTCAGTTTTGAAAGATAGTTTTGCTGGATATGGGATTTTAGGCTGACAGTCCCCCCCCCCGCCCCCACTTGCATCCTGAGCACTTTGAATATGTTTTCCATTGTCTTCTGGCTTCCATCGTTTCTGTGATAAGTCATCCATTAATCTTATTGGGGCTCCCTTGTAAGTGTTGAGTTGCTTTCCTCATGCTGCGTTCAAGATTTTCTTCTTGTCTTTGATTTTCAGCATTTCTACTACAAAATGTCTGTTTGTGGATCTCTTTGAGCTTGTCTAACTTGGAGTTTGCTGATCTTCCTCAATGTCTGGGTTAGTGTTTTTCAGCTAATTTAGGAGTTTTCAGCTAATACTTCTTTAAATATGATTTCTGCTTCTTTCTTTCCTCTTCTTCTGATACCCCATTATACATTTGTGGTTATGCTTAATGGTCTCCCATGTTTCTCTGAAGTGTTATTTTTAATAATTACTCATTATTAATTATTTTTTCTCTTTGTTTTTGAGAGTATATAAGCTCTATCAATCTATCTTCAAGTCTGCTAATTCTTTCTTCTTCCAGGTTAGCCTCTCCAGTGAATTTTTAATTTCAGTTATTGTGCTTTTTGACTCCAGAATTTCCATTTGGTTCCTTTTTTTTACAAAAAATTTTCTATCTCTTTATTGATATTCTCTATTTGATATAAAAATGGCATCATACTTTACTTATTTCAGCATGGGTTCTGTTAGTTTTTTGCTTTTTTTTTCTTTATTGAGATAGAGTCTCTCTCTGTCTTCCAGATGGAGTGCGGTGTTATGATCATAGCTCATTGCAGCCTTGAACTCCTGTGATACTCAAGTGATACTCCCACCTCAGATTCCAGATTAGCTGGGACTATAGGTGTGCACCACTGTGCCCAGCTGATATTTTCATTTTTGTAGGGACAGGATCACACTATGTTGTCCAGGATGATCTTCAATTCCTGACCTCCTCCCACCTCAGCCACCCAACATGTTGAGATTACAAGTGTGAGCCATTGTGCCAGGCTTCTTTTAGTTTTTTAAAAGACAATTTCTGTTGCCTGCTTTTTTTTTGGTCTCTGAGTCATGCTTTCCTTTTCCTTGCATGCTTCCTAACTTTTTGTTAAAATTGGATGTTTTAGAGTTTTGTTAAAATTGTACATTTTAGATAAAATACTGCAGCAACTCTGGATACTGGTCATCTCTCTCTGGGGCTTGTTGTTGTTATTTGCTGGTTTTTTTTTTTAGTGAGTAGCTGGATTACTTCATTACTTCAGTGATGTCAATTTCTCCAAAAAGTGTCAAACCTCTCACATTGCTTCTCAGGAGGCACAGGTTTGGGTGTACTTGGACACTCTTCTTCATCTTTTATGTCCTGCCCTCAAGTCTGTTCTTTACTTAGCATCCAGAGTAATTCTTTTTTTTTTTTTTTTTTTACAGAATCTCACTCTATCGCCCAGGCTGGAGTGCAGTAGTGCAATCTTGGCTCACTGCAGCCTCTTCCTCCCAGGTTCAAGTGATTCTCCTGCCTCAGCCTCTGAAGTAGCTGGGACCACAGGCAAAAGCCACCATGCCTGGCTAATTTTTGTATTTTTAGTGGAGATGACACCTACTGCTTCTTTAAATTCATCTCATCAGGCATTGCATGAGGATGAATCACCTCCATACATCCTGCACGTCCACCCCACTGCCCAGCTACTTGTTGCATACTTCGGAGGTATCAGTATGCTATTATTGCTGTAACAAGCTACCACAAACTTGATGGCTTAAAACAACACACATTTATTGTCTTACATTTTGGAGGTCAAAAGTCCAAGATAAGTGAGCACGGCTGAGTTCCTTCCGGTTGTTATAGGGGAGAATCTACCTTCTTTCCTTTTCCAGCTGCTAAAAGCTTCCTGTATTCCTTGGCTCATAGCCCCTTCCTCCATTTTCAAAGCCAGCAATGCAGCATCTTCAAATTCCTCTCTGTCTTTCCCTCTCCCCATTTTGCCTCTCTTTCCAACATCACATCTCCTGTGACTCTGACCCTCTTGCTTCCCTCCTATAAGGACTCTTGTGATTACATTGTGCCCACCCAAATAATCCAGCATAACCCCCTCACCCCCAAATCCTTAATTTAATCGCACCTGCAGGGTCCCTTTCCCCATCTAAAATAGCATATTAGCAAGTTGCAGGGATTACCACATGGACATCTTTGGGGGCCATTACTCAGCCAACCACACCAAGCATGCACATATCCTATAACCCAGCAGTTCCACTTTGGGCTGTCTGCCTTAGAGAGACTGCCGTATTTACACAAGAAGATGTGCACAAGGATGTTTACTACAGCACTCTGTATAATGGTGAAATATTGGAAATAACTTCTTTTACAGCACAGTACGTGATTAAAAAAGCAATTCTGAAGCCAAACTTTTTTGATTCAAATTCCAGCTCAGCCATTTACCAGCTGTGTGACCTGAAGCAAGGTATTTAACTTCTCTGTAGCTGGTTTTCTCATCTCTAAAAGGGTTATCATAATAGATCATATATCACAGGCTCATTTTGTGGACTTTACTTAATGCAGATAAAGTGCTTAGATAGTACCTGGCATACTGCAAATGCTATATGAGTGTTTGATGTTGCTGTTATTACAGTAGGAGAATGTCTAAAAAGTGAGATTGGTTCATTTAATGCCACTCTCTTCAACAGCTAAAATAAGTCATCCCTCATATGAGATATATATATAGAGTTTATTTCATTTTATGAGATGGAGTTTTGCTCTTGTCACCCAGGCTGGAATGCAGAGGTGCAACCTCAGCTCACTGCAACCTCTGCCTCCCAGGTTCAAGTGATTCTCCTGTCTCAGCCTCCCGATTAGCTGGGATTACAGGAGCATACCACCACACCTAGCTAATTTTTGTATTTTTAGTAGAGACAGGGTTTCACCATGTTGGCTAGGCTGGTCTCAAACTCCTGACCTCAGGTGATCTGCTCACCTCAGCCTCCCAAAGTACTGGGATTACAGGCATGAGCCACTGCGCCCGGCCTCAAATATATTATATTGAGTGAATAAAGCAAGATGCGAAAGATACACACTGTATAATATCATTTAAGTAATTTTGAGGACACAAAGCAATCATGTAGATTGTTTATAGATGTAATAATATGTAATAAAAGCACAAAATGGGTATAATGCACACAAATTTCACAGTAATGTTGACCTGGGAGGAAAGGGAGAGAAAGAAGGACTTAAGCTACAGCTGTACTTTTCCTTATTAGTTCCCTCATTCCTTTTTTTTTAAACAAAAAGATGTGAAGCAAATAAAGTGAAATATCAGTTTCTGATTTATCTTGCTGAGGATATAGATGTCATAGTATTCTTTTACTTGCACGTTTGAACTGCTTCATAATTGAACATTAAAAATTCAAGAAGAAGCTTAAACTTGGAAGTTTTTTGTGTTGGTCTTTGCTGTCCAGCATACTGGTGGCTGCACTGTGCAGTGATCAGGGCTCTGTCACCTTTCAACTGATGCCAGGTGGGTGGAGCTCCTTTCCCCAAGGCCACTCATCAGTGCCCAAGGAGACTGCGCCTCCCTCCTGCCGGGCATGGGTGGTGACGCGCAATGCTCTGCCAGTGGTGAGGCTGGTGCTCTGCGGCAGCCTCCTGACCAGTCTGGCTGCTTCCACACCATCCCCCTCCTCCCAAAATGATGCTTTTAGAAAGGACGTTGAGTGTTCACACGCCCAGTGACTTCCCATCTCCTTTGGAATCCAGTCTCAAGTTCTCATCATCATCTTCAAACCCTGCAGGACCCGGGGCCCATCAGCCTCTCCTTGCTCATTTCCTACTTTCCTCTGGATCACTGCGTGCCTGGCACCAGCGAGCCTCCTCCCTGCTACTTGAGCAAGCCCAGCGTGCACCTGTCTCGTGGCCTTTGATGGCCAGAATTCTTGTCCCCATATCTTGGAAGTTCTCCTCCTCCCCATGCAAGTCTCTGCTTCCAATTCACCTCCTCCAAGATGCCTCCCTGACTTCCTACCTACAGTAGATGGCCCTGCACTCTCTGTCCCAGCGTCTACTTTCATTTCTTCCAGGGATACCAGCACTTTTAATATTACCTGTCTGCCTTACTGGGATGCAGGCTCCATGAGATCAGAGACTCTGCCTGTTTGGTTCACCATCAAATCCCCTGAAAGAGTACCTGGTACAAAGTTGCACTCGATACATATTTGCTGAAGAGCTGATTGAGAGCAGGGCAGAAGGCCCCACGGTCAGGTGCTTTGTCTTCCCACCTTAGTACTGCTTCATTTGGTGCCCTGATCTAGAGCCTCTGGGAAGCTGCATCTCTGGAAGATGACCCTTGGTCTCCAGAGAGAGAGAGAGAACGTGGTGGGGGGGAGGTCTCTTGGCTGCTCACGGGGAAGGGGCCCAGTGGCCACATCACTCTCTGAGTAGCTCCTGCCCCATCTCACATCTCCTCATTCCAGCTGCCTCTCAGGGGTTTGCAGGGAGGGTCAACTCACACCATGATCTAAATATTATCCACCTCCATGGTGCTTTTCTTTTCTTTTTCTTTTTTAGAGATGGAGTCGCACTCTGTCACCCAGGCTGGAGTGCAGTGGCACGACCTCGGCTCACTGCAACGTCCACCTCCCAGGCTCAAGCAATTCTCCTGCCTCAGCCTCCCGAGTAGCTGGGATTATAGGCACCTGCCACCTGCCACCATGCCCAGCTAATTTTTTTTTTTTTTTTGTATTTTTAGTAGAGATGGGGTTTTGCCATGTTGGCCAGGCTGGTTTCGAACTCCTGACCTCAAGCAGTCCTCCTGCCTTGGCCTCCCAAAGTGCTGGGATTACTGGCGTGAGCCACCATGCCCGGCCCGGGATGCTTTTCTAAGTCAACTGCGTGCTCTTTCCACTCTCCAAAAATCGTCTGGAATCTTATGTCTGCCGTTGGTCTCTTCTCCCTTCGACAAGTGGGTTTGTATCTTTTCAATTATTATTTTAGCAGTTTTTTTGAAGGGAGAGCAACAAACACACACAGCTCATCTAGTAGGCTTAACTGGGAGTTCTTGATCCACAAACTATCTTTTTAAAGAATATGTATTTTTAAGCTTGTGACAGGTTAAATGTGATAACTGAAGCAACAAATATGGCATTATAAATGATGAGTTCAACATCATAATAAAATAACTATTACTAACATTGACATTCGAGACGGCCAGGATGGCAGTCTGTTCAGTCCTGTATCTGCAATGCTTGGGCAAACCTCTTTGACATGGGACCACTCTTAATTTCTGGTTGTGTCTGCTAATAGGATACTGACTTAGTCTCCCATCAGTCCATTTTATGAGATGAGTTGATAAGAAATTAGTAGTTTTATTTTAATGAATATATTTTATTTTGAGACAAATTGAACAGAATGTGCAGAGGATTCTCATGTCCCCTCACCAAGTCCCTATGTCCTGCACTGTAAACCTCTTGCATTACTGTGATATGCTGATGTTGCAACTGATGAGCCAAGAGTGATACTTTATTGCCAACTAAGGACCAGGGGCGAGCCTGGGTGGTGGCAATCCCAGCACTTTTGAAGGTTGAGGCAGGAGGATGGCTTGAGGCCAGGAGTTTGAGACTATCCTGGGCAACATAGTGAGATCCTGCCTCTATAGTAATTTTTTAAAAATTGGCCAGATGTGGTCGTGTGCACCAATAGTTTCAGCTACTCGGGAGGCTGAGGCAGAGGATCACTTGAGCCCAGGAGTTGGAGGTTCAGTCTTGGTGTTGTACATTCTACGGGTTTGGATGATTGTATAATACTGTGTATCCACCATTATAGTATCAGACAGAGTAGTTTCACTGTCTGAAGAATCCTCTATGTTCTATCTATTCATCCCTCCCCAACATCCAACCCTTGGCAACCCCTGATCTTTTTATTGTCTCCGTAGTTTTGCCTTTTCCAGGGTGTCATAGAGTTGGACTCATACAGGGTGTAGCCTTTTCAGATTGTCTTCCTTAACTTAAATAATGTGCATTTAAATTTCCTCCATATCTTTTCATGGCTTGATAGCTCATTTCTTTTTAGTGCTGAATCATATTCCAATATTGGGATGCACCACAGTTTATTTATCCATTCACCTACTGAAGACATCTGGGTTGCTTCCAAGTTTCTGCAATTATGAAAAAAGCTGCTATAAGCATCCACATGCTCCGGGCAAACGCCATGGAGCATGAGTGCTGGGTCACATGGTAAGAGCAATTGTTCATGAGGGTTCACTTAGCTAATATTTTCTACACTTATGCTTCCCCTAGTGTTTGGATCGCTTCATCTCTACATTGCCAATGTCTTAAAAAATACATTTTGTCTTAAAATGAACAAAGGACATGAACACTGATTTTTTCAGCTTACTCTAGTGATATCTTTGTTTCTGCATATCATTTGAGATTGTTCCCTTGGGTTTAGCTGAGACTGACTCCTTTCTCGTAGGGTTACTGGGACCTCTTCAAGGCTTCATGTGCTCCACTGGACTGTGATGGGCACTTTATTTTTGATATGCAAAACATCACTTTGGCTAGTGGGGGTTCTTTGTTTTATTTAGCAAGATCTCACATATTTTGAAAAACATTCTCTGGCAACCACAAGATGTGCTGCGCCCATCTTGATTTTCGCCGTTTTCACCATGGAAGCAGCGACTTTCCAAGGATTTCTGGCCACTGTTTGTGGAGAGGAGCATTAGAGGCTGAAATCCAGGGCTCTCTCTCTGAAGGCCTTGGGCTTCCCTCTGAGTCCAGGCTACACACATGTAATGAGGGAAGCAGGGGCTGTCCATGCTCCGGTGACAGAATCGGAAACCCTTTTAAAGTGTGTGAACTCACACCGATGTTCTCATTCAACTCCAACTTTACTAAGCCGCTCTTTATTTTGTTCTAATACTAAAATATGTTTTAAAATTGTAAATTTTATCCATTTTGAACACAAAGATTTTTTTTTAAATAAAATTACCCCCTCCAAATAAATAAATTTAGAGATGCTTCGTGTCAGTTAAGTACCTTCGATCACCTTCTCAGAAGATGCCTTTTTCCAAGCCAACAGCCATTTCCAAGACCTTGAGACCTTCAAAGTCAATTTTTAAAGCTCAATTAATTACAATACATTTGCACAGATCACACAGCCTGAAGCCACAGCTCATTGGCAGAGGGTATTCTCTTCTGTGAAGCAGAGGGCTTAACTCACACATACTGAGTTACTCACAGTCAGCAGTGATAATATTCAATCAGAGCGGCCATTAAGATGAAATTTTCCTGTAATTGGCCTCTCTTTTGTGGTCTATGGGAAGGATTTAATCTCTGGGCCTGTGACGCTTTTCTTAGCCTCTCTCCTCCTCCGCCCTCCTAATTGAGGAGGACTCTCTCGGGGATTTTCTGCTGTAGGCAAGTCCCCAGTTGCTGGAAAACCCTGGCTTCATGGCATGCGGGGACTGATGTGTCGTCCATACCTGTGATGTTTTATATGTTTGTTTAATTTTTATGTAGGTCATGTGTCTACTCATGCCTGTGAACCAATGATTTACTCTGATTTTTAATGTCTTTATACATTGACTACAACAAATCCTCAGGAAACATCTTTCTAGAAGCTCCTGGAATTCCTGGGCAGCTGGACATCAATACCCCGGACACCTACAGGGCCTTTTTCTCCTTGCTTTTATATAATTTTCCAAATAGCATCATGCTACCCCTACTATCAAAGTGTAGTGGACATAGGACGGTTTTGAAATGGTTTGCATCAGAGAAGTCCTGCCCCCAGATTTAAAAAAAAAGACCTTTCTTTTATTAAAGGACACAGCTGTATTTCAGGGCCAGCCAGTTGCCAGAAGGCACACTGGCTTCAGCTTCTTAAAGCTTCCCTGTCCCTTGAGTAAAGCAGTCTACTGAACCCAGGAGACTGTGCAAGGTGAGGCCAAAGACACATGCAGAAGACCCAGACTTGGCCCTAATCCATTAGCCCACTTGTGTTTTTGCTTTGGTGTTGGGATCTCAGGGGAATGTGGGATTGACCCAGACCAGTGTTCTCCCAGGACCTTTCTGCCAGCCTTCTTGGGAAAGACACACTTTTTCATTGGGGCCACTAGACAGGATGGGAGACTGGAGCACCTGGGGCCACTGCTGCCCTATGGAGAGGCCCTAGCTGAGAATCAGACTCAACTGAGGCAGCAGAGCGGGAATGGAGAGAGAGACAGACAAAGCCACAAAAACCTTCATTCGAAACGGGCTTCAGACCTGCCTAAAGCCACATCCACCCCTTGAACTTCACAGATAAAGTGAGCCAAGATACTCCCTTTCCAGTGTCGATCTGAGTTGTGTCTCACCACTTGCATTTCAAAGAATCTTGTTGAAACAGAACTTCGGGGTTTTAGATATGAAGTTGTAGGCAATTTGCGATAGGTGGCTAAAATGAACTCTTGCAATATTAGTTTGTACTGCCCCATCTGCCCTGGCAGGGAGGTGACCAACCTGGTCTAACTAGAAAAAAACCACATGTGGCATTGTACTTACTGTTGGCCACCACCCTCCAGGGTCAACTGGAAGTGTCCAGAGGAATGACAGAGGACTCAAGAATACAGCACATGAAAAATGGTTGGAAGTACCACGGCTGTCTGCTTGGAGAAGGAAAGCGTGGGAGAGAGCTGCTTCAAATAGTGATCTTCTGCAGAGGACGCTGGCAGCTCTGCATGCACAGGACAGCTGAACCTGGGCTGCAGGAGGCCACCTGCTGAACCCAGGTCTCAGCTCAGTGCGGGAATAAACTCCTGTAACTCAGCATGGTCCCCATTTAGTGTGGGCTGCCTGGGCAAGCATGAGCTCCGGGAGAGTTGGAAATCTGCTTGGCAAGGAGGTACTAGAGACATTTCTGAGATGGCTTCACCTTGAGGGCACGTCCCTTGAGAGTCTAAAATGTATAAGAATGTCAAGCTATTGGCTTGTGCTTTAATTGAGATTAGCTGGCAGCTAACTCAGAATAAGTTGCCTGCTTCACAATTTTGGCCTGATTGAGGGTTGGCCTTGCTTCTAAATGTTTTTATCACACCTTCAGTGGCCAAGTGAATTGAAGGGAGGCTTCTGCCCAAAAAGCTGAGATAGTACGAGCCGTGTGATTCCTACCCTTTCCTCCAGGACTTGTTTCTCCAAATCCCACTTGGCTGTTTGGGCTTTCCTCTGTCTTTCGTGGGTGAAGACTTTGTGGTCCTGGAGACATGGGCCCTGATTTGAGATTTTACCTAGAAAAGGCAGGATGAAGCTGGTAGGGACTGAGGCAGTCTGGAACACCTACTGACTTCTAAATGGAACATTCTTTGCTGAAACTTCTTTTTTTCTGTGTTGGCTACCAGAAGTTCACATCCCATGTAAAATGTAAGCCCAGTGAAGCAGGGGCTTTGGTTCACAGCTGCATCCCAACACATTGCACAGGCCCGGTGCACAGTAAGACCTCCATAAGTATTTGCTGAATGAACGAGCAGAAGGTCTTAAAGGGCCTCTGAGATCACCTGGTCTATGTCTCTCCTTTTCTAGGATTTCCCCACCTCCAGAACTGTAAGAAGTACATTTCTGTTGTTTATAAATTACCTAGTCTAAGGGATTTTGTCATAGCAGCAGGAATGGACTGACAGAATCAGCACACACACATCAGCAGCACTGATAAGAAATGTAACATATCCACACATTTACTTACGTAGGCACTTCATACTTTTAAAAAACTTTTATTTTTGGTTTAGTGGTACGAGTACATGTTTGGTACATAGGTAAACTTGTGTCATAGGGGTTTCTTGTACAGTTTATTTCATGATGCAGATACTAAGCCCAGCATGCATTCGTTGTTTTTCCTGATCCTCTCCCTCCTCCCAGCCTCCACTCTCCGAAAGGCCCTCATGTGTGCTGTTCCCCACTGTGTCCATATGTTCTCATCATTTAGCTTCGACTTATAAGTGAGAACATTCAGTATTTGGTTTTCTGTTTCTGTGTTAGTTTGTTAAGAATGATAGCCTCCAGCTCCATCCACATCCTGCAAAGGACATGATCTCATTTTTTACAGCTGCACAGTATTCTGTGGTGTATATGTACCACATTTTCTTTGTCCAGCCTACTATTGATGGGTATTTAGGTTGACTCCATGTCTTTGCTATTATGAATGGTGCTGCAATGAACATACATATGTATGTGCCTTTATAATAGAATGATTTATACTCCTTTGTGTATATGTCCAGTAATGGGATTGCTGGGTTGAATGGTATTTCTGTCTTTAGGTCTTTGAGGAATCGCCACACTGTCTTCCACGATGGCTGAACTAACGTACACTCCTACCAACAGCACTTTACCCTTTTTACTTCAAGCATTTAATTTAATCATTGCCATCTAACGGACTGCCCAACAAATAATTCAAACTTTAAACGAAACATGAGGTTCTTAAGTCTTGCAGGCTGAACTGGACAGAGCAGAGAAATTCCTGAGGCAGAATCTGTGACCCAGGCCTAAAGTCTCACTATGCGTCCCCACCTTTCCAGGTGGAATGAGGTTAAAGAATGCCAAAGATCAGATGGTTGTAGATGTATGGTATTATTACCTAGGAATCCAACTTACCAAGGGATGTGAAGGACCTCTTCAAGGAGAACTACAAACCACTGCTCAATGAAATAAAAGAGGACACAAACAAATGGAAGAACATTCCATGCTCATGGATAGGAAGAATCAATACTGTGAAAATGGCCATAATGCCCAAGGTAATTTAGAGATTCAATGCCATCCCCATCAAGCTACCAATGACTTTCTTCACAGAATTGGAAAAAACTACTTTAAAGTTCATATGGAACCAAAAAAGAGCCCACATTGCCAAGACAATCCTAAGCCAAAAGAGCAAAGCTGGAAGCATCATGCTACCCGGCTTCAAATTATACTACAAGGCTATAGTAACCAAAACAGCATGGTAATGGTACCAAAACAGAGATATAGACCAATGGAACAGAATAGAGCCTTTGACAAACCTGACAAAAACAAGAAATGGGGAAAGGATTTCCTATTTAATAAATGGTGCTAGGAAAACTGGCTAGCCATATGTAGAAGGCTGAAACTGGATCCCTTCCTTACATCTTATACAAAAATTAATTCAAGATGGATTAAATACTTAAATGTTAGACCTAAAACCATAAAAACCCTAGAAGAAAACCTAGGCAATACCATTCAGGACATAGGCATGGGCAAGGACTTCATAACTAAAACACCAAAAGCAATGGCAACAAAAGGCAAAATTGACAAATGGGATCTAATTAACTAAAGAGCTTCAGCACAGCAAAAGAAACTACCATCAGAGTGAACAGGCAACCTACAGAATGGGAGAAAATTTTTACAATCTACCCATCTGACAAAGGGCTAATATGTAGAATCTACAAAGAACTTAAACAAATTTACAAGAAAGAAACAAACAACCCCATCAACAAGTGGGCAAAGGATATGAACAGACACTTCTCAAAAGAAGACACTTATGCAGCCAACAGACACATGAAAAAAATGCTCATCATCACTGGCCATCAGAGAAATGCAAATCAAAACCACAATGAGATACCATCTCACACCAGTTAGAATGGCGATCATTAAAAAGTCGGGAAACAACAGGTGCTGGAGAGGATGTGGAGAAATAGGAATGCTTTTACACTGTTGGTGGGAGTGTAAATGGTTGAACTACCATTGTGGAAGACAGTGTGGCAATTCCTCAAGGATCTAGAACTAGAAATACCATTTGACTCAGCAATCCCATTACTGGGCATATACCCAAAGGATTATAAATCATGCTGCTATAAAGACACATGCACATGTATATTTATAGCGGCACTATTCACAATAGCAAAGACTTGGAACAAACCCAAATGTCCATCAATGATAGACTGGATGAAGAAAATGTGGCACATATACACCATGGAATACTATGCAGCCATAAAAAATGATGAGTTCATGTCCTTTGTAGGGACATGAATGAAACTGGAAAGCATCATTCTGAGCAAACTATCGCAAGGACAGAAAACCAAACACTGCATGTTCTCACTCATAGGTGGGAACTGAACAATGAGAACACTTGGACACAGGGTGGGGAACATCACACACCGGGGCCTGTCGTGGGGGAGGAGGAGTGGGGAGGGATAGCATAAGGAGATATACCTAATGTAAATAATGAGTTAACTGGTGCAGCACACCAACGTGGCACATGTATACATATGTAACAAACCTGCGTTTTGTGCACATGTACCCTAGAACTTAAAGTATAATTAAAAAAAAAAAAAAAGAATGCCAAAGGCAGCTTCCAAAGGCGTGTCAAGGAATGGAGTGGAAATGAGCTGTTTAAAGCCTCAGTGCAGCGTGAGTGTCTGCAGGCAATGAGCTTCAGGCACTCCTCAGCGGCACTTCATTCAGCCCAGGGGAGTGAGCTGAGCCCTTTCCTGTGGAGGGAGGAGGCCTGCGAGGTGTCTGGGGAGTCTAATCCAGTGGGCAGACTGCCTCTCTGCTTTTCCCCGCCTGAGAGAGCTGGCTCTGCTGCTGAGTGACCCCGCCTTACAAAGTCCTCCCACATCCAAGAGTTCCCTTTTTGCAAAACCTTAAAAATGTGGTGTTATAATATAAATGTGTATGACGTTTACACACAGCTAATGAATTCACTAGCATAAAGCTAATGAATTTTTACATATGCATATACCCCTGCAACCACACTAGATGAAGACAGATCATTTCCCTCTCCCCCAAGGGCTCTCTTGCCCCTTCCCACCCACTACCATCCTGAGTGACCATGGATCTAACTTCTATCATCATCGGTTAGCTTCTCCTGTTTTGGAACATCACACAAATAAAACCATATGTTACTATTCTTTTGAGCCTGAATTCTGTCATTCAAATAAGTTTTTGTGGCATTTATCCATGTTGTGTGTGCCAGCAGTTTCATGGGTTTAAAAAAATTTTATTTTATTTTAATTTCCGGGGTCCATGTGCAGGACGTGCAGGTTTGTTACATAGGTAAATGTGTGCCATGATGGTTTGCTCCACCCATCAACCCATCACCTAGGTATTAAGCCCGGCATGCATTAGCTATTTAACCTGATGCTCTTCCCACCACCGCCACCCGCTCTCCCCTGACAGGCCCCAGTGTGTGTGTTGTTCCCCTCCCTGTGTCCATGTGTTCTCATTGTTCAGCTCCCACGTATAAGTGAGAACATGAGGTGTTTGGTTTTCTGTTCCCGTGTTAGTTTGCTGAGGATAGTGGCAAATTTACAAGAAAAAAATAAATAATCCAATTAAAAAGTGGGCAAAGGACACGAGCAGACACTTCTCAAAAGAAAACACATGTGGCCAACAAACATATTTTAAAAAGCTCAATATCACTGCTCATTAGTTTCACGGTTTTTAAACTACTCTGTAATCTTCCATTACACGGGTGTACCAAAATTTATTTATCTTTTTTCCCTGATGGACATTCGGGTTATTTCCAGTTTTTTTCTCTTGCGTTTGAGCAAGCCAGCATGAAGCTCCTCGTGGGTGCCATTTGTTGGACATCTGCCCTCAGTCCTCTTGTGCCCTCGCAGGAGGAGAATTGCTGGGATGCAGGTTCTACTGACTCCTTACCCTGGTGAATGTTTACAATTGTCACTGTTTCCAACCTCAGCCATTCTAGTGGGTGTGCTATTTCGTGAGTTCAGTGCAAACCGAGCGAGTACCTCTTCCCATGCTTGTTGGCTACTTAAGTATCTTCTTCCGTAAGGGACCTTTTCAAGGAATTCGCCCTTTTCTTATGGAGCACGTTCCGGTAAGGAAAGCCACATTGCTATGTTCTCTACAAACGACCCCTCACCAGCGGGACAGGGAGATGCAGAGGCACACAATCCTGCCTCCGTCAGTGTTTGATGAAAAAGCAGAGCCTCTGAAAGCAGCCTGGGACCAGGGATTTATGATGGGCCGCTGTGGCTGGTGAGAAGCCGTGGGAGGCCATGGCTCTGGGACTGGCAGGCCCGCAGGCAGAGTGAGGACAAACCACACTCACGGGGACACCTGGAGCCCTTGAGGACAGGGCAGCCTGGGCCGTCTCACACTCCTTCAACCTCAGGGATACTGGTGACCTGAGGACGAGGAGGGTGCCCTTCTCCACAGGTGCCCTTCTCACATTCCTCACCCGGGACTGGGGATGCTTCGGGGGGAGGCCCAGTGGGGACAAGGGGACCTCAGGTAAAGGAGGTGTGAGGGCTTCACAGCACCTGGAACCCCACAAGACGCTGCAAACGGCGACTTGCCTTCCTCCTTCCAAATCTCACACAACTTTCTCTGCGGCCAACTGGACCTGGAACCTTGCAGGGAAGGAATTCTGGGAAGCATGGGACCCGCACGGCTCAGCTGACACAGTATAAACTCACCAGAGCTTGTCCTTGCTTGTAAGGCAGTGAAAAGGACTGAAGGAAGCTAATATTTATTGAAAAGTAAATAAACATTTATTTATTTACCTTTTGGGCCGGGTACCTTGCTCAACACTTAACTTGCTGGCAATTTATACCCCAGTAGACAGCTGACTGAACCATGTGTCAGAGAGAAATGGAGAATTCAGAAGGGAGGCCTCAGAGGCCACCTCAAACCAGCAGCCATCACTGCAGCCTCAGAGACCCAGAGCTCAGGGAAGACTCAGCTACCCTGGGATGCTCTGTGGGGTGCAGGGGACTTGGGGGCCACCTTGGCAACAGGACAGATAGAGCTGTGGCTGTACAGACTGAGATGCGGGAGGTGTGCGCAGGGCTGGGGAAACTTTAGGTACTGTAATATTTGTAAGAGATCTGACAGTACATGTATCACAGCTCAGGAAACGCTTCATCATTTTTCAGCGATGTAATGTGTAGATACCACACACAAATATGTCTGGATGGATTGTCTTTGAGGTCACACATTTCTTTCTTTCTTGCTGTGTTTTCCCTTTGTCTTCACTCCCTGGCCCCTAAGGAGAGAGCAGGTGCTGTGGCTTTTGCCCAAGGAGAGAGCTCTGCAGCCAGGCTGAGAGCAGAAGTTGCCTGCAGAACACTTCTCTTTCCATCCTGTGTGATTTTCAACCTGATCCCAAAGGAAGTGAATGAGGTTGGTGGGTCCTGGAGCAGCGGGGTCCACAGGATCCCAGGGAGGGGATGGGTATGCAGATGGGGACTTGGCCAGTGTCACAGAAGACCCCATGAAGTAGTAACTATTACTTCCAGTGTACAGATAGACGCTGAGGTGTGGCGATGCTGCGTGTTGGGGCGAAACGCGCAGGAGAAGTCGTCCAGGCTCAGGGACAGAGCCCTTGCTCCGGGGCTGCTCATCGTAGATTCTGGTCCTGAGAATCTAGAGCGGGGCTCCCACTTCTCCAGGACCAGAATTACCCACATGAAGCTTCTCTTTCTCATTTCCTTCTATTTCTCATTTAAATTAAAGAGTACAAGGCATAGGATGAATCATATTGGATAAATTTCATTTAAATGTTATGCATGAGATCCAAGAAACAAAATTGTGTTCTCAAATTCACATTCAACTTGAGGTCACTTGGCCCTCAAATTCCCTTTTTCTCAACATTCGTTCATGTTTCCCTTTTCTATTTATGTCTCCTTAGATGACTGACTAGCAAACTTCTATGGACTAAGTATGGCCAGGGTATAATTGACATGAGACAGGCTGCAAGGATTGACAGTGAAAAATAATCTTTTTCACCTCTCACTCTTTGAAACCAATTTCAGTTGATTTCCACCCAATTTTAGTAATATTTATCTCAATATTGTTTACTCATCTATCCCAATACTAAGGTACCATTCATTCCAAAAAACCCTTTGAGCCCCTTGTGTCAGGCACTATTCTGTGTACTGGGGTCCAAGTTCTCCACCAACGGAGCAAAACAAAGTCTCCGCTCTGCTGCGCTTCAGTCTGGGCCCTTGGAATGAGCGAATGGTCAGGATGAAGCCGATGTAGAATCATGTTGCATTTTACAGAGAGCAAACTTACATCTAAGTACCTCGAACTCTTAGCATTGCTATAGGGAGAGTGTGTGTGTCTGGAAGGGTGTGGGAGGGAATAGCTGAAGTGGAAAACAAATACAGGGAGGACTGAGTAGGAAACACAGGGACAGGCCGGGCACGGTGGCTCACGCCTGTAATCCCAGCACTTTGGGAGGCCAAGGCGGGCGGATCACGAGGTCAGGAGATCGAGACCATCCTGGCTGACACGGTGAAACCCCGTCTCTATTAAAAATACAAAAAATTAGTTGGGCGTGGTGGCGGGCACCTGTAGTCCCAGCTACTCGGGAGGCTGAGGCAGGAGAATGGCATGAACCTGGGAGGCGGGGTTTGCAGTGAGCCGAGATCACGCCATTGCACTCCAGCTTGGGCGACAGAGCGAGACTCCGCCTCAAAAAACAAAACAAAACAAAACAAAAAAAAGAAAACACAGGGACAGGTTCCTCCCATATTTTCTAGAGATAGAAATACAGAGCCGCAGCAGTTTCTAGTTATAAATAAGATAAGAAAGGGCAACACGAGATTGAGATTCATCACAAATGGTAGAAATTGAGATTATGATTTTAAAATTCAGCCCTCAATTTAAGGCGGTTAAGTTAGACACAGAGAAATTATGTGCAAGTGAAATAGAAGGCATTGCTTTGTGGTTTTGGAAAAACTTTTCTTCTTCATTGTCCATGGGGCGTTTAGATGGAAAAAGTCATTTCTTTTTCTACCTAAAGAGGGCAAGAGCACAGTTTCTCCAACCCCAAAGCATGTGAGTTTTGCATTTGTGGACATTAAATATAAACTAAGTATATGCTTGTCAGATTAGGATAACCTGTGTGAAGCACTTATCAGCTTATTGCTCATTTAAAAAAGTTTACCCAGGCAGCCAGGTTCAAAGTTCCCCTGCTACAAGCTTCTCAGTTAGACCAGGACCTGGGCATTCCCAGCTGGAGCGGGCTCATTGCCGGGCACAGGGCAGATGCTGGCTGGTTTGCGGGCTGAGCTGAAGAACTGTCAGCGCTGCTGTAGGTAGGTGGCAGTATGGCATGCTGGTTCAGCTCCCAGCTTTCTATGCAGCTAGTTAGGGATGTAAAACCATCTCTTTGTGGTCTGAGGACAAATTACTAAATCCTTCTAGCCTCAACTTCGTCATGTGTAAAATGGAGAAGTAATAGCTCCCAGTTATTGTGAGGACTCAATCAGACAATCCATGTAAAGCGCTTAGCACAGAAGCGCTCCATGAATGGTAGTTATTATTACATCACATATGAGCACTGATCAAAGGCTAGCGGCAATTACCACCATAGCTGAGAGCTGAGGGCTTAAGGGAAACTGAATTCAGCCAACATTTCACTAACTAAAAAGTCACTGACAAATTAGACAAAACGTAGGTTTCAAAAGATTCATTTCTCTGACATTACGGAAATATGAACTGGACAACTTTTTGGGGGGTGTGTGGGGACAGTTGAAAATGTTCACTCCTTTAATCAGCTGCATCTATCTTAAACCCAGCCTGAAACCCCTGCTTAGTGTAGTATTTTGATATGTCTGCAGGGGGGTTAATTTTGGCAGAGGCGAACTAATTTTGGTGACTGCAATAAAATTGGGTTAAAATGCTCATATGCTCTGGCAGTAACCAATCCCCCATCAAACATGGTAGGGGTGGCTGGAGGCAATGCGTGTACTTCTGAACAAAGTCTGCACTCAGGTGGAGGTCAAGTCCGAAATGGTCTTCACAGGAGGTGTAGGTCCTTCAAGGAGAAAGGGTCACAGCGCGAAGAATCCATCTGACCTTCTAGGCAGGAGCCATTTCCTTTAAAGAGGGCAGGATACTAAGGGGGCGACCAGGTGGGGTCCGGGGGCGCCTCAAGCTCCTCAAGGCTCGCCGAGCACTGCTCCGTCCTACTAAGTGTCCTGCCGCCCGACTGCACGTCTCTAGGCGGCTGCCCGAGGTCCCGCGGCCCGTGGTGCACACGCAGCCCGCGAGGTACTCTGTGCTGGAACGCGCCCCCAGCCTCCCGAAACCGCCCCCGGCCTGCGGGCAGCGAGCCGGCTCCTCCGGGCGCCCCTGCAGCGTACTCTGCGCTCGGCTTGGAGTTCCCCGTGCGGCCGGCGGTGGGCGCGCGCCACGCGGGCCCGAGCCCTGGGCGGGAGTGCGGCCCCGGGTCCCGCGGCCTCGGCGCCCGCGCGCCTCCCCCACTGCCCACCCCCGGCCTCCGGGCCCGCCCCCCGCAGGGGTCGGCGCAGCCTGTGAGCCGGGGACCCCTGAGCCCCCGCCACGGCGGCCCCGGTACCCGCGGCCTGGCCGCGCGCCGGGTCCCCACCGCGGAGTGGGAAGGAGGAGGAGAGACTGGAGGAGTTGGAGACAGACACAGCCGCGGCGCGCAGTCACGGCTGGAGACAGACGGCGGCGACGGCGGCGGGAGGCGGGACACTCCCCCCTCCGGCGACTGGAGGCGGGACACCTCCCCGGCGGCCGCAGCGCCGCGTCCCCTCTCTCCCCGCGCTGAGGCTGCGGACCGGGCCCGGCGGGATTAGCAGGCGAGTGCGTTGGCCCTGCCCGCTCCGCGCGCCGCCGCGGCCGGCCGGGGATCCCCTGCAAGCCACTGAGCCGCTGCCGCCGCTGCAGCCAGACAGGCTGCGGGTGCCTGGGAAAGTGGAAGCAGGGCGGGGAGCGCGGGGGAGGCCCGGGGGTGAGGTCCTCAGCTCTTAAAGAACCCCGGCGCGCCGCGCTCCCCGCCGGCCCGCCGCGCGCCCCCTGCCGCGCCCCGCACAGCGCCCCTCCCCCTGGCCAGCAGGGCCGGTGGCCGCGGAGCCGCACTGCGGGCAGTCCCCGCCTCCGCTCCGGGGGGGCGGCCCAGGTGAGTGCGGACCCGAGGTGGCCGCAGTGGTCGGGGCTTCTGGCCCAAGTTCACCGCTGCGCTCCGGAGGGAGGGGTGGCGGGGGACTCGGGAACCGGACGCTTTGGGAACTGGACGTCCGCGAGCCTGCGCCGTCGGCTGGGGCCGGAGGGAGAAGCTGGGCGCCGAGCGCGCGAGGTCTGTGAGGCTTGGTCCGGGTGGGCTTGCCGGTGGGCACGGCGGGGATCCGGGGCTGGCCCGCGGGCGGGGTTACGCCGGTGGAGGGACTTCGCCGACCCCCACCCCGTTTTCTGTTTCCTGGTGCCCTGGGGCGCAGGGTGTCCCGCGGTTGCAAGACTGAATTCTGCACCGCCCGGAGGCCAGGATGGGCGCGCGGATGGCAGCCCCAACTGTCTCCGCGCCCCTAGGCCTCGGCGAGCCGTGGCGGGCAGGGACTGGAGGTCAGCGGGAAGCGGGAAGATCCTGCAGGACCTGACCGGGGAGTTTGCGGGAAGGAGGGGGCGGGCCAAGCCCCGCAGCCCCTCAGTCCCGCATCCTGCACCGCGCGCTCCCCGGCCCCGGCCCCTCGGGCCCGCTTCACCCGGCGTCCCCCCGGGTCCCCCCGCGCGCGTTGACGTCGGTCGCGGGACCGCCCGGAGCTCCCGGCATTGGCTGGGAAGTCGATTGTCTGGGGCTGCTGCTGTTGCACTTAGGCTGGGTCTCCGAGCCCCGGAGGAAGCAGGCGTGTGTTGAATTTCTCTCTGCCCCTCACCTTGGAATAAACAGGAAGCGACAAGCACCCAGCCCGGCCCGGCACTTGCCTTTGTGAAGGGGTCTGCCCTGCACAGCCTTTAGGAAGCTTCCTCGGGACCCCTTCCCGGTGCGCCGCCCCGGGTGGGCCTGGGGGCGCGCCCTGTGAGTACACCGGTGGAAGACAGTGGGTTCGGTTTAGGTTAAATCGCTATCGTGGCGGAGAGGGCATTTGCTTGTTTAAACTTTTTTTTTTTTTTTTTTAATTGGAAAAGGAGAAGGTTTCCCGATGAGGCAGAGGTTTTCAGGACGACAGGGACGCATGGTGGGTGGGCGGCACTGGGGGAAGGCGCATCCGAGAGTACAGCGTTCTTGGGTCACCTACCTGGAGGGACACCTCGTCGCCAGTCAGGGCAGCTAGAAGCTCTTTAAAGCAAGCAGGACTCCTTAGCTCTGCCCAGGCACAGGAATGGTTGCTGTGTGCCCATAGCCGCATGAACTAGCATGATTTTTGTTTTTCCCCCAAAATTTTTTAATTAGCTAGAATTAGATAATTTTGATTTGCTTCTTTTCTTTTCCTCTGTGTCTTGGTCTATTCCCTTCTCTTTTTCTCTTTTCTAATTATTTTGGCATCTTCTCATCCCCGGACCAGCGCTGCTTTCTAAATGTTAATTACCATTGCAATACATATTTATTGAGGGCCTACTATGTGTTAGGCATTGTAGGATGTGAGGTAAGAGTAGCTGCACAGAATGTGGGTTCTGAGCGCTAGTATTAGTAAGTTATTTGCAGTAGAGGTGGATAGAGATGGTGAGCAGCATTGACTCTCAAAAATAGGGTCCTATGGCTGGTAAGGAGGTTGGTGCCTTCTCGAAGGGCTAGTGCTGGGAAGCTTCCTTTTAAAAACGGCCCTTTCTGCCGGTTTGGCTAGCCAAGAATGGCATCCTCCTCTCTGTATCTTCCCTGGAGCTTCAGGACTGAGTATTGAATGACAGAGAAGGTTCTGCAAAGTCTGCACAGGGAGACTGCCATTGCATCAAGTCATGTCTGCATTCTGTATATGGTATTGTCTTTTCTAGTCTTTAACTCGAGTGTGTTGTCATCTGTAACTCTCCCTTTGTACTCTGCACAATTCTTCTGGAATATAGTCTTTGTGTTCAGTCAAGGATCAGAGTGTCAAATCTGAGTCATTACATAGACAAATGAGGATGTCTGAGTATTACCCATGTATATTTATTGAATTATATTTGGTTTCCCATCAACCCTTGAAATGTTATTTGATGGACCTTTCTAAGCAGTGCTTTTTAAAACAGGGGGCTAACTTCCTTATGATCTTTGAAAGCTTAATTCTTTTTAAGAGCTTCATTTTGCTATTGACATTGAACACAGTGTTAGGAATTAGGGCTGGGAATGTAAATGCCAGTAAGGGATTTGCTGTAATGGAATTGTAGCTACCTTCCTCCCTTGTTTTAAATGACCTCTCTAATTTCTTAACATTCTGCTGTTACCCTTGGAAGGGCTTGCCATTGTTGGCCATGGTCCTGGTTCGTGTAGGTTTGTATTTACATTGGAGAAGACTCTTCCCGGCAGGTTTTTAGGGCTGTCTCTTGAATCCTCTCATGGGCTTGGTTTGCAAGACCACAATCCTGCAGTGGAACGCAGCCAGTGCCAGCTGCTTATTAAGGGATTTTGTGCCAATTTGTTGGCACATTATTTGAGACTCCTGCACCCCACCCTACTCCCACTGGAGTATATACATACATAGACAAATATTTATTTTCCCCCAACTGCTGACAGTGTTCTAAGAATAGTTTTCTTGCCTGGCACGCGGAGAGCAAGGGCCCGTCTGCAGAGGTGTTTACAGTTTGGGACTGTGCTGTAGTCTTGGTTGACTTAGCAGCCTGGCAGACCAGCCTCATAGCTCCTGGGACGCTCTCTGTTTTTGCTCTGGGCTGCTGCAGGGGTAACCTCCCTGACTGATAGGGAAGCACAGTCAGAGGAGAGTGACTTTTGCTCCTTGTGCATGGTTTCTGGCAGGCAGTCCAGCAGAGATCCCTGAGCTCCTGACGTCTCTGCATGTAGCCAGCATAAAGTCTCCTTGTGGTGGGTGGGAGGTGACTGCTCTACGTCATCACGTAAAACCAAAGCCACCTCAGGGCCCTGGGCAGGAATTCTTGAAATTGTAGACTGCTCTGATCTTTCTGGTAGTCCTTGCCATGTTTCTTCTCATCTTTCTTTGGAATCTGGGCTTATCCAGTCTCTATGATGTGTCCTTCTTCCTGTGTAAGAGTTAGTAGAGAAGGAAAAATGTTATCCCTCAAGAAGTGATAAAACATTGTAAAAGAAGAGCGCACCATATTAACCTGGAAAAATTTTTGGAAATAGTTAACAGAATGTATAGCGGCACATGGATATTAAATATGAATAGCGGCAAAATTGCTATGTAGTCCAAAATTATTCTTTTCTTTCTTCCTTCCTCTCTGTCTCCTTCCCTCTCTCCCTCTGTTCCTTCCTTTTTTTAGGTCTCAGAAAAAAATCTCCTGGAAGCCATTATTTTCTGATGTCAAAGAGACTTTCTGCCTATATGAACTGTGTTAGTTTAGAATTACATCTTGACCTATATTACGGGTGTACATGGAAGATGAGTCTTAAGTTTCAAAATAGGAATGCAAAGGTTCTGTCTACTATTTGAAAATTTAGGCCACAAGACCTGCCACTTTTTAGGGACATTTTTTGGGGGGCATTGTTTGCTTCATTGTTAGGCAGAGAAAGGACTGAAGCTAGTACCTGTACTATTAATTATGCTGAAAATATTGGGTTTGAATTTTCAGTTAATGTCATTTTTTTCCATCACAGGAGGAATTGAAAATGATGTCTGTATTGTCACATATCCATGTGATTTAAGAATGGATTGCTTTTCTTTTGAGTTCTCACTAAAAATGGTACTTTGGCCTTTTAAGCTGTTTTTGTGAAGACTTTTCTTTCCACCAAGCTTGTTTTCCAGATAGGTCTTGGAGATTACAAAGAACATAGATATAATTTCTCCCTTGATTGGCAGCTGCGAGCTTTCCCGGACAAAAATAATGCTGCACTGTGCCAAATGGTTGACTTTTCTAGAATAAAAACTCTAAAGGGTATGCAAAAAGTCCTCTGGTTAATATATTGGCATTCCCAGAACCCACTAACACTCCGGCAGCCTGCCAGACTCCACTTAACGAGGACACAGAATGTCTGGCTCAATCCCCATGAGCAGACGGGGGTGGGGTCTGGATGTCCACACCCTTTATTAATTTTTAATGACTGTACTTTTGTTTTGCAGATTTTCCTCTGTACCCCCTTCTCAACCGTCTCCTACAACGTCACTCCCCCCATCCATTTATTTACTCATTTACTTGGCATCGGAAAAATGTCGAGCTGTTCAGGGTTAAGGATCCTGCTGAGGGATCATTTCTGTTTGCATGGGTTCTTTTGTTGTTGGTTTTTTTTTCTTTTTCTTCCTTTTTTTTTTGGAAGAGGAAGAGAGAAAAGGAACAGAAAAGATGACAACTATTTTTTTTTAAGGATGCTTTATTGTCTGCTGGAAAAAGAGAAGCATTTACGAAACTTTAAGTTTGTCAGACAGTTTATGTGACAGTGCAAGTTGGTGCTTGCCAAGCTCCAGACAGATTGTTAATGTTACATGACAGGGATAAATAAATTACCGCTGTCTGCAACACGCTTGCACTGCAAACGCACTCTGCAGCCGGCGGCCGGCTGGGCGCCGCTCATGGGCCTGGTGTGCATGCAGCTGCGCAGAGGGCCTCTGCCTGCCGCCTAGAATTCTGTGCCTCGGTTCGGAAATGAAAAGGGTGTGCCTTGCTTTTATTTTTGGCTCTACTGCAGGGCAGTAGAATCCAAGGAGCAACTCTGTGTCCTTTATTTTGCTAGGCTGCTCCGCCTCCTCCCCTGCCCTGGCCCCACCTCTGGTCCACACTCCCGTTCTTCCTCTGAGCAGGGAAATCAGGCACCTAGCTTCTTCCCAGGAGACCTCAACTTTGTTCTTAGCTGCCCAGGGCCTAAAGTATCTCAAAGCCAAGTTTCAAGCTGTTTACAGTTGTGTTCTTTCTGCAGGTGCAGACACTGAGAACAAATTGTCTACGATAGATAAGGCTGTACTGGCCTGGGAGGGCCTGGGTGGCACTCCTTGGGCATAATGTACTTTCATCTGGGCAATTTGGAAGCTCAGCTGGCAGAGTGACAGGTGTAATGAACTTAATGGTCTTGCCCTAGTTGTTTGCGGACACACAGCTCATGTTACAAAGCCACCTCATACCAGGGGCCCCTGCCAAATGATTTGCTCTTCTCTTTGTGGATGGGACTTGGGGACTGGACGACTGAGTGGCGTTAAGGTAGGGAAGGGGGTGGGTGTGAGTGATGTGTGTTTGCCCTCATCTGCTCTGTTCCTAAAAGGACCTAGAGAGTCTCCTGAAAGTAGGCCTTGAGAGAAAGAAATTCTTCCCACTCACACTGGCTAGCCATCCTCCATGCCAGGTGTCGCGAGGACCCTCTGCAGATGTGCTTCGACTTCCTGCCTCTGGGGTTTGCAGAATGGCAGGCAGGCTTTTTGCCACACTGTGTGGCTTCCTGGTACACTGCTGGCCTGGCTGCTGGGATTCTTCAGAAGAGGGCTGGGCCGGCAATGCACAGCCAGGCATTGTTCTCGGAGTCCGTGGCCCCAGGGGCCAGCAACCTGTGCACAGAGCTGCAAGGGAATTTCCATTGGAAAGTCTCTCTGCTTCCGAAGGCAGCCGCTGGAGAGGCTGTAGGAGGCCAGGCTGCTTTCCGAAGGGCTCCCTGACCTCTAACCAGGGCACGTGGGCAGATAATAATAACAGCAGCTCCAAGTGCTTCTGTAGCCTCTCCTGTGTGCCAGGCTCTGTTCTGAGGGCTGCCATACACTGATTCACTAATCTAATCCTCACAGCGGCCCTGTGACATGGGTCCTCCTGCCATCTGCATGTTACAGAGATGTCAAGACATTGCCCAGAGTCACCAACTTGTGAATAAAGGGTGGAGCAGCCTGGGCAGTATCGCTCCAGGTTCTGGGATCTGCCTCTGGAGCTAAATGAGGTGGGACCTGGGTCAGGGATTCTTCATCTGGGACCACTTACTGGCAGGGTGCCATTCTCTTCTTGTCCCCATACAGGTCCCACTGGGACTCTATCCAGCCAGCAAGTTCAGGGTTTTGTCCTTCTTGCCTCCGTGCTGTAGCCCTCCCTCCCCAACTCCCTCCCCTGTTTTTAATCCTAATCTCTGCTCTCTGCCTGTTTTACCTGTGGCAAGAGCCTCAGTTATGAGCACTGGACCATGGCAGCTTTGTCTCTGTCCACCTTATCCCTTGAGTTCCTTGAGAGAAAGACAAAGCAACAGTCAGCAGGAGTGCTGGTATTGCCAGATATTTCTTCTGCACTGGTCCTTAAAACCACTTCCATCAGCCTCCCCATGGCACCTCTGGGTGTAGCCTGGTGGAGTGTGACTGCCCGGTTCCTGGGAGCAGCTAACTGCCTGGGTCTGGGGGTGTGTGCTGGGAATGCCCCCACCAGCTGTCTCTTCACTCGGAGGGATCCAGTTCATCCCAGGACAAAGAGCACTATAGTTTCTTTCTTTCTTTCTTTTTTTTTTTTTTTTTTTTTTTGAGACGGAGTCTCGCTCTGTCGCCCAGGCTGGAGTTCAGTGGCGCAATCTCGGCCCACTGTAAGCTCTGCCTCCAGGGTTCATGCCATTCTCCTGCCTCAGCTTCCCGAGTAGCTGGGATTACAGGCACGTGCCACCACGCCCGGCTAATTTTTTCATATTTTTAGTAGAGACGGGGTTTCAGCGTGTTAGCCAGGATGGTCTTGATCTCCTGACCTCATGATCCGCCCGTCTTGGCCTCCCAAAGTGCTGAGATTACAGGCATGAGCCACTGCATCTGGCCTACAGTTTCTTTAAAAATGAAAAAAAGTTATCCCATCTTTAAGAGTCTCTCTTTTTTTTTTTTTTCTTAGATAGAGTCTCCCTTTATTACCCAGGCTGGAGTGCAGTGGCGTGATCCATCTCAGCTCACTGCAACCTCCGTCCCAGGTTCAAGCGATTCTTGTACCTCAACCTCCTAAATTGAGTAGCTGGGATTACAGGCATGCACCACTACACCTAGCTATTTTATGTATTTTTAGTAGAGACGGGGTTTCGTCATGTTGGCCAGGCTGGTTTCTCACTCCTCACCTCAAGTGATCCGCCCGCCTCAGCCTCCCAAAGTGCTGGGATTACAGGTGTGAGCCACTGCGCCAGGCCAAGAGTCTCTGTTTTGCTCCATGAGGTATAGGTAAATGAATCATGCATATTGACGTGTACGTCCTATGAAATGTTGTCCACCTTGGACAAGCTAAATCTTTGAGATTGTGGGACCTAAAGGGAGTACCCAAGAGATGCACATATCATGGGCCTAGCAGGACAGTCAGCTCTTTGCAAACTGGTCCACGGTATCAGGCAGGAAAGGGTGTCCCTCACAGCTCTTGAGCCACCCCCAGCAGCTGGGATGGATGCTGACCCCTATGTAGATACTACCAGGTGTCCCACATGTTGCAGGGCATTTCTGAGCCTTTGTGGCATGGGGCTAGCCCGGCATGGGGCTGATTAAGTTACGGTTGAGGAGGTGAAGACCTCTAGAGAGACTGTCCTGGTCTGGGCCCTGTCCACTCTGTCAACAGCTCTCAGTAGCCACGCATTGTCATGACCCAAGGTGCAAGGCCTGTCTTGGGGTAGCTGCTCCTAGCAGCATCTGTGGGACAAATAACGTTTTCTTTTCCTGATACATGTGTACTGAAGAGAATTAGGAAATAGGGAAAGAAGGAAGAAAATAAAAATCACTGAAATTATCTATGATCTCACTGCTAGAGATGATTAGTAGGTTAGTAGATTCCAGGTTTATTAATTAATTATAAAGTCATTTATGTACTTTTTAGGAAGCTTAGCATTCTTTCATGAATATTTTTCATGTGATTTAAATATTCTCCAAAAATCCTACTTCTAGATTGTATAATATTCTATTCTATGGTTATATTGTTATTTTTTTAAAACCAGTTTTAGGACATTGAGGCTGTTACCGGTTTTCTCTGTTATAAATATGATTGCATTGAACGTCTTTAAACTTTTTTTTTAGAAATTTATTACATAACTTGATAATTTAAAAAAATGGAGATGGGGTCTTGCTCTGTTGTCCAGGCTGGAGTGCAGTGGTGTGATCTCGGCTCATTGCAACCGCCATTTCTCAGGCTTGTGGCATCCTCTGCCCTCAGCCTCCTAAGTATCTGGGACTACAGATGCTGCCATGCCTTGCTTTTTTTTTTTTTTTTTTTTTGTAGAGACCGGGTTTCGCCATGTTGCCCAGGCTGGTCTCAAATTCCCGGGCTGAAGCAATCTTCCCGCCTTGGCCTCCCAGGGTGCTAGGATTACAGGCGTGAGCCCCTGTGCTTGGCCTGAACATTTTTTAAAACATTGTTTGGGTAGATTCTTAAAAGGGAAATTGGGGGCTATAAGACTTTTAAGGGTCCTCCAAAAATATTGCCAGATGGGGCTTTCAGAATGGGAGAGGCAACTTAGATTCCCACAGAGAAGAGGGTGACTGCACCCTTGTCAATGCCGAATATTATTTAAAAAACCTTTGCAAATTTGGCAGTAAATGATATGGGCACATGACGTTTAAATTTTCTTTCCTATCTTTTTATTTTGAAAATCTGACTTTGTGTCATCTGGCTTATCGATGAAAAGAGTTTTGCTGTTTGCTAGAATTTTGTTAAGGCCAAACATCATAATGTCAGTGGATGATCTCAGTAGGTGGGGTAAGACCTTTGTGCTTTTTAAAATTTGAATAAAATAAAATAAAATAAAATAAAATAAAATAAAATAAAATAAAATAGAATTAAATTCTACTCAGGTAGGTTCAGGGCAATAAACATTCTAATAACATGTCTTTTAAACAAATTATAGGATACGATGGGCATAGACTGCTCTTGGTCTTCCCCCAGCCTCCTCATCCTCCCTCTTTAGGGGTAGCCTTGAACTTGCAATGGAGAATGAGGGCCAGGAGGGGGTGGAGTCAGCACCTGGCTGTCTGGATAGCCCCACCATACCTTGTTCAGTCGCTTCTCTTCATTTCAAATGATCCCTATTGGACCTCACACTCTTTGCTAGTCTTGCCCCTAAGGATGCAGACAGAAAATTCATGATGGGCAGACAGAAAATTCATGATCCTCCATACTCCATTCTTGTGTCGTCTGTGGAGGACCTCCACATCCTCTGCAAATGTGCTAAAGTTTTCTGCTTTCCTCCAAGGCATCAGCCCTTCCAGAGTTGCAACAACTATGAACAGTGCCTGACCTCTTAAGCTGTTGCTCCTAAAGCTTGAGAGAGATGAAAAAATCACTTTACTAGGTGGTGATGAACTAATTAAAGACAGTCTTTCATTGAGGGGTTGGAAGCAGCTGGAATGGAGGGTGCTTACCGTGCTGGAGGGAGCAAGATGGCACCACTTTCTCTAGGGCTGGTCATGATCGGTGTGGTTTTGTTCACAGGCACCTGAGCACATCAGGTGGGGAGACCCTCATGTACTGTGCAAGGTGCTCACCTGCTCTTTGGTGTATGCTGGGGGTGCACTTCCACCTGGCATTGCCTGGTGGACAGTGAGTGGGTCCCACAGGACCTGGTGGGCCCATGTATTAGTCCGTTCTCATGCTGCTATGAAGAAATACCCGAGACTGGGTAATTTATAAAGGAAAGAGGTTTAATTGACTCACAGTTCCACGTGGCTGAGGAGGCCTTGGGACACTTACAGTCATGGCGGAAGTGGAAGCAAACATGTCCTACTTCACTTGGCAGCAAGAGAGTGAAGTGCAGAGTGAAGGAAGGAAAAGCCCTTTATAAAACCATCAGATCTCGTGAGAACTCACTATCATGAGAACAGCACGGGGGAACCACTCTCATGATCTATTCCCTTCCCATGAGGTCCCTCCCCCAACACATGGGGATTACAATTTGGATTACAATTCAAGGTGAGATTTGAGTGGGGACACAGAGCCTGAACGTATCAGCACAGTTCTGTGTTTTGTACCAAAGCTTTCAAGGAGGTGCCTAGGTGCGTGAGCCCAGGTACTGCAGGTGCAGACGGCAGAAGCTCAGCTGGTGATGCTGTGCCCCATCTCCCTGGGTTGAGACTGCAGACTGGGTCCTTCTCAGCTCTGCTTGGCCTGCCATCAGCACCACACTCTGTCCCAGGTGCACACCTGCCCTCACCTGTGGCAGTGCTGAGGCCTTGGAGATGGATTCCAAAAGGCTGGAGATGGTATGAGGCCTGCGGAGTGGAGATGGAGTGTGCTGAAGGCTGCTAATGGGGTGGCAGTCCTCCAGTGGTCTGGCCGGTGGGGTCCCTCAGTGTCTTTTGGGGAGTACGCCTCTGCCACAGTCCTTGGCGGTTCTCCATTTTCCTCAGTGAGGTGGTGGCTCTGATGTCACTGTGAGGGTGCTTGCCATTGACCCAGAGGGCTTTGGGTGCCTGACAAATCCACCTTGTGTTTGTTACTGGCTGAGGTGTGCAGAGCTGACCGATTTCTGTCTGATTTGACCTTGCTGTTTGGCTTGCTCCTGCAACACAGTCCCTGCTTTCCTAGTGGGGACGGGAGGCCTTCTGGATACAATGTGTGCAGGACTTGAGGAAATGTCGGCAGTTGGTTGGCTCGGTTGAACATTTGTTTTTCTGCTACTTTGGCTATGAAGATAAATCTTGACCCCTAGGCCAGGCACAAGGCTGGAGTTTGAGACCAGCCTGGGCAGCATAGTAAGACCCTATCTCTACAAAAAAAATGTTAAAAAATTGTGCCCCTAAAACACTTAGCTTTCCTTCTATTGGGTTTGAATATGACATTCAAAATTGTTTACTTCTAAACTAGACGTCCTGGGATTTTGCATTTTTTCATCTGAAGAGTAATGTAAAAATAATAAATGTTGTGTATGTACAGTTACAACTAGCTATATGTAGTAAATTTAGTCCAGAAAAATCATGACATTTGTTTTCTGATAAAGTTGAACTTGGAATGAAGCGGAGCAGTTGTTATCTGATGGACTCTTGGTGCATTACCCTCTAATGTGAATCCTCATCCTTTGGTTGCTGTAACATTGTATGTTGGAGTTTTATAGCTGGGGCACATTTATGTGTCTGAGGGAATGGCTTCTGTTCTGCCATCTGCATGGAGGAAGCTGTCCCCATTGGACCCACCGAGGAGGCAGCGTCCAGGCTGCAGCGCCAGCCTGTGTGTCAGCTGCCACGGGGTGACTGCATCATCCGTGGTGTCCTTGGGACGATTCGGGTAAAGGCCTCCTGAGGGCTTGCCATGGGCAGTTGCTCAGTTATCCTTCTAGCTGTCCCTCCTGGGCCCCTGTGCTGCCGGGCCCCTTGAAGGCTGTGCAACCTGGGGAAGGTCACTGACTCTCTAGGTCTCAGTTCACCTCTGAAATAGCTGTTTGCCCACCTTGTAGGTTTTTGAGAGGATTAGATAAGATCATATGTATGCAGATCAGGTGGGACAGGCCAGCTACCACAGCGAGTGCTCAGTAAAAGGCAGCTCGTGAGCCAAGTGTGTACTCGTGAGACATCTGCCCTGCACTGGCACAGTCAGAGACCCAGTTCCCGCCTTTTGGAGACATAGAGACCAAGGAGAAGATAGAATATGTGTGGTGGAAGCAATTAGCAAGTGAGAGTGGTTTTACAATCACGTCTTGAACTAAGCAGTTTTTCAAGAAAGGCTTTAGATGTGGAGGAGAGTGAGGCCCCCAGGCCCAGAGGTGGTGGCTCTGACGCTTCCTTCGCTCCCTCCCTTCCCTCTCCTTCTACTCTTTCCTCCTGTGTGCATTTTTATGGAGCACTCAGGACGTCCACGCACTAGGCATAGATAAAGACATGGCTTTGTCGCCAAACTGGTGGAAGACAGGTGTGCCCACGGTTGCCACACAGGGCTAACAACCATACCAGGGAGACAGAGGAAGATGTGAGTAGACCTGCTGTCTCCTGGCTTCCTGAGGGCTCAATGTACTTTGGTCAATCAAGGGAGACTTCATGGAGGAGGCCAAATGCTGTTGTGTGAATGTTTGTGTGTCCCAGAAACTCCTCAATTGAAACATAACTCCACTGTGATAGTATTGATAGTATTGAGCGATGGGGCTTCTAGGAGGGGATTAGGTCACGAGGCTTCTCCCTCATGTGTGGGATTAGTGCCTTTATAACAGAGGCCGGAGGAGCTTGTTCACCCCTTCCACCACTCGAGGACTCACAGAAGGTGCCATCTATGAAGAATGGGCCCTCACCACACACCAGATCTGCCGGCACCTTGATCTTGGACGTCCCATCCACCAGAACTAGGAGCAACACATTTTTGCTGTTTCTAAATGACCCCATTGAAGGTATTTCGTTACAGCAGCACGGCTGGACTGAGACATAGACCTCGGGCTGAGACTTAGCAAAAGAACAGATTTTTTTTTAAGGTGAACAAACAGGGAAAGAGTAATCTAGTGGGTTGCAGCGAGAAAATATTAGAACGCATATACTTATTTTTACTCCATTTTTCAAACTTTGTATATTATGTGTACAATGTACTATTACCATAGTATATGTATATAATTTATAATTTATAAATAAATATACATGACCTGTGTGCTTAGACATTTTTGCTTGTAGGAGTATATGCTTCAGAAAATTGGGGGCCCACAGGCGGGCAGTGGGAACATATGTTAAGACAGGGGGAGGGCAGGGCGGGCCATGCATGGCTGCAGGTGGGGGAAGAGGTGGGAGGGTGTCTGCGAGTGTCATGGGTAGATGCTACTGCTTACAGTGCCTGAAATTTCAAACTCAAACTCTAAATTACTTTTGTAGCTTTCAGTTGTTGTGAACTCAAAATCCACAGACCATATCTTGCTCCTTTGCCGCCCTGACTCTCCTAGGCTCCTCTTTCTGGTCCATGCTATCTGAACCCTCCAGGGCGAATCCTGACACAGGTCGGGGAGGGATTGAATACACCAGTTTGGTGATCAGAAATGTTGATAGGACTGCTTTATTTGTGTGGAGAAATCTTCCTTAGGAGGGTGAGATTATTTATTCATGCTCGGCGCAGGGGGACCCTTTTAGGGCCCACATGCATTTATAAGAATGGAGACTTGTAATCTGGTGAAGCTCATTCCTGATGTCCAGGGTGCTGCGGGGCTGCAGGGATGAGTGAAGGTTCTTTCCCTGCCTGCATGGAATGCGCGCCACGGGCAGCATCGTCTTCGAGTTCAGAGGCGTATAGATGTCTATGGGTGAGGCAAAAGGCAGGTGGTATGGGAGGAAGCGGGAGGGAGAAGGGCAAGAGGGGTCTGGACCGGTTTTGCTTGAGAAGAAATGGCAGTGGACACATGGCTCGTGTGAAAGGTGGGTGCACGCAGACAGGCCAGAGGCTTTTGGGAGCGGGAGTGAACCTGGGCACGGGGCGCTGCTCTTGGTGAGCATGTCGGGTGGCCCTTGCCCTTTGGGTCACCATTCCTCCTGATTGCGGCCTGCCCGAGATCGCGTGAGTCTGGTTCTGGTGTGGAGCGTTTCCTCCCATCTTTGTCGAAAACCAAATCAACCAGCCACGAATGGTAAAGAAAAACAAGCCCATTAGAACACCTACCTTGATTTCATATCGAATTGTTTGCAGTGGGGAGCTCTGTCTCGACCACAGTGCTTTAATAGTTGATATTTGTTTACATTTCACAAAACGCTTACATTTCATACTGCATTCAGTTCACGACAGGAAGCCAGGTTTATCACTTTCGCATGGGAATAATAATGCCTTCTATTTGCAAAACGTGTAACTATTTAAAGCTTTTCACAGACAACATCTAATTTCATGTTCCTTGGCTTTAAGGAACAAATAATCAATGAAATGTACATAGAAGTATAATTAATGGATTTGTTTCTTCTTCTCTAATGTGGCTATTAGCTGAATGAGGAATTCAGGCCAGAGTTTATGTTATTTTAATGTGTGAAACCTAATTGGAATGTGATGCCCAATGGTTGTCCAAACCACATGGCAGGCTGTTTTCTGAAGGTCATTGGTCCCAGGGATGGCAGCTTGGTGGCTGGGCAGGCACCCACCTAGTCGATGTCATTTTGGGAGGTCAAGGGTATAGCACTAAAAACTGAATTCGAAGATACACATAGTTACATCAAGGGGACTGAGGGGGCACCCCGTGAAGCTCTCTCCTGGTGGGCCATGCAGGATGGAGTGTGGCGCGAGTACGGTGCAGGCTGGGGCCACCGCAGGGGCCTGCTCTCATCTCCTCCCTGTTAGAGGAGCGTCTTCTGGGCGCTCTTGTGGGACTTAGGAGTATGTCCCAGGTCCTGAGCAGTGCAGAGACTTGGCCTGGTGCCAGCAGTGAGGTGGATCTGCCAGTGTGGCCCCTCTCCTGTCCCACTCGCCTCCCGCCTCTGTCTGTGGCCTGTGCCCCTTTTTGCCTGGCATGGTTTGAGCTTCTGTCCTGGTACAGTTTGTTCGGCTGTGGATGCAAGTTGACTTCAGTTCTGTTTCTCCCCTTTCAACAAAATCACCTTCCTTCCCCGCGTGGCCTTGTCCGGGGGCTGCTGCTGCCCCGTGCTGTGCTCCACAAGCCTCCGTGTAAATCGCCTTCCTTCCCTGCGTGGCCTTGTCCGGGGGCTGCTGCTGCCCCGTGCTGTGCTCCACAAGCCTCTATGTCACCTCGTGCTGCCGCATCCCTTCCCCAGCTCAGCTATTCACTGTTGTCTGCAGCTCTGACTCTTCCGCTGTGGCTGCCAAGTCCCCTGATCCCCTGCTTGCGTTCCAAGTGGAAGCCGTGTGCGCCGTTCACACTGGCTTCGCAGCTTCCTGCTCTCTCCTCCGCAGCCCAGGAAGCGCCACCTCCAGCCATGCTCCCTGGAAGCTGCGTGTGGGAGAGGCGCGTGCCAGCTGTGATGCTCGTCCGAACTCAGCTCCGGACCCGAAGCTGGCAGCAGGGAGAGAAGGCTGCCACGTCTGCTGGCTCTCCCTGGTGTGGTCCTCCTGGTTCCCTGAAGGGAACAGGAGCCAGCGTCCTCATGACCAAGGCTTCAGCTCATTGTTAAAATGATTAGGTGGCAGGTGAGGCGCTTTCTGATCTCCCCTGGTCATGAGTTGTGTGATCAATGAGGACTCTAGACGATGGCAGAGGATCTGCTTGTCGCCACACACAGTGCGTTAGGGATGGAGCTTGCCACCAGTGGCGCCACCTCTTTGCAGGCGCCTGTCCTGAAGGACGTGAGCGGGCGAAGTGCTCTTGGGTCTGCTTGGACACGGGTCACTGGCCGCTAAGAAGGCAAATGCCATGCCGTTCAGATACGTTCTCTGCTACTGGATGATGTAGTGCTGCTGTGATGTAGCAAATGCATTGGCTTGTTGACTGTTAAGAGGTGGCAAGACATCAAGGGACCCTCTGGCTTGCTCTTGGGTTGGCAAGGTTGGCAGAGGGGCCCACTGCTCAGAGCCCAGTAAGAGGCGGGACAGCTGTGTTTGGAAGTGGGCCAAGGAAGCCGGCACCCTCTTATTGGAAATATTCTCCATCCTGTGACCTGTTTGTCGCTGTCTCTGGTGCTCCTGTGACCTGTTTGTCACTGTCTCTGGTGCTGTTTTATGGAAACCTTCTCTAAGCAAAGATGTCTTTGAGTATTTGTTCCCCTTCCCTCCCTGGGTGATGCAGCCTGCTGGTAAGGTGTGGCCAGCTTCAGAGCCCAGAGGAACGGGGTCTCTCCCTTAGCTGTCAGTGGAGAGAGGTTTCTGAGCCTAGAACCTTATACTCACAGCTGGAGAGCTTAGAGGCAGAGTTTTGTCGCAACTGTTGAGACTGATTATGTATTTCCATAGAGGACCTCGGCCCAGAACTCCAAACCCTAGGCTCCTACACCTACCTGCCTACCGGGCATCTCTACTCATAGGCACCTCCAAGCCAGCATGTCTAAAACTGAACTCTTACTCCCCCAGCTGCTCCTCCCTGCCCCTCAGCCCCCCAGCCCTGTCACTCCCTCACTGTCCCATTCCAGTCACCAGCATCCTTGTCTGCCCGTGGTTCAGGCCACACATCTCAGACACTTCTTTCGTCACCTTTTCCCATGGCCCAGTGCATGTTTGAAACCTATTTGTTCTGCCTCCAGCGTTCGTCCCAATATGATCACTTTTCACTGTCACCACCAGCAGTGCTCGTGTGTCCTCTCTCCCTGGGTTTCTGCGGGGCCTCTGACCGGGTGCTGTCCTCCCCACCCGCGATGGTCTGGTCTGGATGCAGCAGCCAGTGACCCTTGTAATCCCTGATGGCATGCCCTGTGCCCCTCGGGCCTCCCTCCTGCTGAGGCTCCTCACCCACGTACCCCCTCGCCGCACAGGCCTCTGTGGTTGCCCTACCCAGAACTCTCCCTGGGTGCGCACATTAGTCGCCTGGCTTTGCCCTAGGAGGCCTTCCCTGGCCCATGTGTCTCCTGCACGGGGCCTGGTCATTGTGAGCTCCAGGAGGGCAGACAATCGTCTTCTTGTCCCTGTCCTGGCCCAGCATCGGGCTGCCAGGACTGTTTGTTGAATAAACAGATGGACTGTGAGCAGGCACCTGTGAGCAGGCCAGGGGAGGATGGTGGGCAGGTCCACAGACTCGTAGGCCTGGATGGGGCTCTGGACTCCTCCCTTCTGCCAACTTCTGGGTGGGCACCAGGTGTGGGTGTGAGGCCATCTCACCTGAGCCTCCGTGGGTTGGGACAGGCCTCAGTGCAAACAGAAAGTCCTGCAGAAAGGCTGAAGTATGAGCAGCAGTGAGAGAGATGAGCCGGGGAGGCTGAGCACCTTCCATGAGCCCCGCCCCACCCCATGGACTGCTGCTCACCTACATTACATTCTTATTTTACTGTTTTCCTCTAAGTAAACTACCTACCAGAAACCAGGAGAAGCAATTGTTTTTCAGACCAACTTTTGCCCTTCCATTCTCTCCTCCCAAATTTAACTTGCTGGCTAAATACATTTTGGATAAATTAGTTATTTATTTGCTTAGAAACCAATTTATCAAGCTGTAAAAAAATCATCAGATTAGGTTGGCACGGTGGCTTATGCCTGTAATCCTAGCACTTTGGGAGGCCAAGGTGAGTGGATCACCTGAGGTTGGGAGTTCGAGACCAGCCTGACCAACATGGAGAAACCCTGTCTCTACTAAAAATACAAAAAATTAGCCAGGCGTGGTGGCGTGTGCCTGTATTCCCAGCTACTTGGGAGGCTGAGGCAGGAGAATTGTTTAAACCCGGGAGGTAGAGGTTGCAGTGAGCTGAGATTGCGCCATTGCACTCCAGCCTGGGCAACAAGAGCAAAACTCCATCTCAAAAAAAAAAAAAATCATCAGATTATTAAAGTTTATTAAATTCATCATATGTAGATGCTTTCTCTTTAGACGAGATGTCTCTATCATAACCTTGATTCTCCTAAGCTGTTTTCCTCTGTTCTTGGGATCAGGAAAAGTTCAAAGTAGAGAAAATTATGGTCTGTGAATCTTTTTTCCATCTTTTCAAAGAAGACTAAATGTTCGACAGCTACCTGGAAGTCTGACTCACCCTCCAGGCATCTGACTGTGCTTTTATTCTGGTATTAGTTTTGTTGCCTTGGATTTAAAATCCACAAGGATTGTGAAAACCAAGTGCGGAAGAAGGAGAAAAAACTGAAAAACCCCCCACATTCTAAATAGTGGTGAGGACTCCTAGCAAATTCATTCCTATTGATGGCTTTTAGCCTGTGTAATAGACCACTAGCCATGTTGCATATGCGATCGGCTTTGGTTGGATGAGTCGACTTTATTTCCCTCCCAGTCTGAGGACACATCTGCAGTCCTGCCCCTGGGGGAAGTGCACATCCAGCCCTGGGGTGGGTTGCTTTTCTTGCAGGCTGGGTGCTGATCCTTGCCTCCGTTAGGAATCTGTTTGAACCTCCACCCGGAGAACAGACTGGAAGGAAATACACCAGGACATTAAAAATAGAGGTCTTGGCATATAGTGCTAAGGATGGTTTAAAAAATTCTGTCTTTTCATCTTTTCCATATTTTCTACAATGATCATGTGTTCCTGTTTTTATAATGAGAAAATTCCCAGTTAACTAGATTTGCTAAGGGTGTGGAATAAAAAGTCACTTTCTGAAAAATTGTGGAAAACAATTTGATGTGTGTCTTTTTAAGCATTTTGGAAGCGCGGTGGAGTTGCTATGGGGATAGCAAGGTTTACTCTCTACAGAGAGTGGTTCCATCTGGCACCCGTCGCTCCCGAGCTGGGCTGGGCAGTTCTGTGCAGAGCAGTTTCTCGTTAGATGTGGAAACAGTTACACAGAGAAGCACTGTTCCATCTTTTCCCCCTGGAACCATCATTTTGCTTTGATCTAACAATAGAAAAACTTTTTTTTTTTTTTTTTTTGAGACAGAGTTTTGCTCTTGTTGCCCAGGCTGGAGTGCAGTAGTGCGATCTCGGCACACTGCAACGTCTGCCTCCCGGGTTCAAGCGATTCTCCTGCCTCAGCCTCCTGAGTAGCTGGGATTACAGGCATGCACCACCACCCCAGGCTAAGTTTCTATTTTTAGCAGAGTTAGGGTTTCTCCATGTTGGTCAGGCTAGTCTCAAACTCAGGTGATCCGCCCTCAGGTGATCCGCCCTCCTTGGCCTCCCAAAGTGCTAGGATTACAGGCGTGAGCCACCACGTCTGGCCTAGAAAAACATGTTAAACTCCTTTCTGTACCCTCTGCTTCCTCTGGGTGCTGGCGTTGCCTGTGTGGGGCTCGGTCCGTGTTTCTCAGTCTGGAGGGTTTCTGAGCTGCTGTTGGAGTGGGGGTGTCTCCTGCACCTGGTGTTCCATGTCGGACTTTCAGATCACAGTTGGAATTAATTTTCTTTTGCAGATGTGTTGACATCTTCCTCTGAGGTTACGTTTTAATTCCCCTTTGCTTTGTCCCTGGAACTGTGGACTCCCTCCCTCCCTAGTCTTGCTTGGAACCAGCGTGGTTCCATCTCAGTTTAGAGATGAGGATTGTAACATTCCATAAGGGACTGTGCTTGGGGGCATAATGTGTGCAGGTAGAGTTCTGTTTTATATTTAATGGAGAATGAAACACAGTGACTTAAGAAGCAGCAGGTGTCTCTGTCTTTGTGATCTTGGGTTATCCCTGGAGGCTCCACTCATAGAACGCTTGCTAGGCATGCTGGCTTGGGCTCTGGAGGCCAGCTTGCTCTTGTTCTGGGCTGTGGCCTTTGGCCAGTCCGAGTCCTGCTCCCTCATCTTGAAAATGGGATCATGACATCTGCCTGCTTGCAGGGTTACTCTGACTGTCAGATGAGATGGCGCAGGTGCCCGCTGGGAAATGCAGGGGACTAAGTGCATCACCCCACGTCCTGGGCACTGGCAGAGTCACTGGTGTCCTGGCTGCTTCCTCCTGTGATCTGATAGGATGTGGCTCTCTGAGGCCACCGTAGATGGTCTCTTAGTTCCCAGAGCTTCTAGTTCATATACTTAGTACCAAGGAAGGTTCTGTGGTTCATGGGCTTGTGGACAGTGACTGCCGGGTGGCTGATTTGTTCTTGCATTGGAGACAGAGGTGATAATTTCACTCCTGGTCCCACGGCCAAGTGGAACTGGGGTGATCTGTTCAGTGGAAAAAGCAGTTAGTTCGAAGACATTCAGGGAACGTGGATTCTTGTTCCTAGCTCGGTCTCCAAGTAGCATTGTCCCCCGAGCAACCAAAGATCCATTCCCTCAGTGCATACAATTGTGTGACAGCCCTGCACCAGTCACTGTGATCACTCAAGACCTCTGGCCTCAGTTTCCCCATGGAGAACCCCCTTCATGGAGGCATTGCTGTCCAGCAGTTTGCATGTGTTCTTTCATTTGACCCATGTAATTCATTTATGAGGTTGGGAAGTGTAGTGATCAGTCCCATTTTACAGATGAGGAAACTGAGGTCTAGGGAATTTAGCACCTTGTCTGAGGTCACATGCTGTTAAGATCTCGTCTCTAAAATGGGAGGCTGGGGTAGAGTCTGGTGGCCTCCTGGATGCCCACCCTGGTTCTTAAGGTCAATGTGTCTGCCTCCTTGCGAAGTCACGGTGCTTGGGCTGATTGTGAAGGAAATGGACAGTGGAGTGAGGCTGTTCCTAGCCATCCTTACCCACAAGCTTGCTCTGAAAATCCACCTAAAACCCCAGGAACTATTGGGAACTGTAAACTAACAGCAGGTGCCAGAATATCTGCCTTTCCCAAGTCTGGAGGGCATGAGATCACAGAGCCATCTAAGCATGAACCCAGGATTTCTCTTCCTTATTTTCCAGTATTGGAACTGGAGACAGATTGCTCGATGACTGGTCGTGGTTTATTGTAAAACGAGAAGGAGCCCCCTCTTAAAAACATTCTGCTGTTGGGCTGGTCCCCTTCATGCATTGCCTCTTGTTGATAGATTTTTTGCTCAACTGGAAGGATATTAGAGGTGCCTGTGCCACGCAATATTTTATGATTGATCAGTGTCTTGAAGCACTGTTGGATGCACCTGATGCCTTCTTTATTTGGGCTGTCAGTGTTCACACAAAAGGAAGACTTTTTACATCTACTCTGTGCTCTTTCTGTAATAAGCTGGGTTATTTTGGAGAGCAGGTGGGAGAACGTGCAGATGTGGGACTCAGCACCCACAGAACTGAGGGGTGGTGTGGTGCAGGCCAGAGGGCGTGGACTGCAGAGTCCTGCCAGCCTGGGTTCACATCTCTGTGAGGTTTGCACCAAATCTGGGTTACTTTTAGGATCCTGGAGAGACTCAATACCTGGGAGGGGCCTACACATAGGCAGCCTCTCCCGGGTGGTGACTACGCCTGTGTTTCTGTGTGGAAATGTGATTTTATAATGTCACGTTCCCAGGGAGCTCACTGAGATGCCTCCTGCTCCTACTCAACAGCCCTAGCCCCTGTTCCTGCCGAGGTTCTGGTGGGAGAGGGGACATTAAGATTGCTGCTTGTAAGGCCAGGCGGGTGGCTCATGTCTGCAATCCCAGCACTTGGGAGGCTGAGGTGGGCGGATCACCTGAGGTCAGGAGTTCGAGACCAGCCTGGCCAACATGGTGAAACCCTGTCTCTACTAAAAATAAGAAAAATTAGCTGGGCGTGGTGGCGCACACCTGTAATCCCAGCTACTCAGGGGGCTGAGGCAGGATAATTGCTTGAATCTGGGAGGCAGAGGTTGCAGTGAGCTGAGATCACACCACTGTACTCCAGCCTGGGCCACAGAGCAAGACTCTGTCTCAAAAAAAAAAAAAAAAAATTGCTGCTTGTAACTGCGGGCTCGAGAGAACATTTGTGACCCATGAAGCCTGCGGTTGGAGGGGCCTGGCGTTAGGGAGAGGACACTGGAAATGTTAATGCAGCTAATCCAGTGAGATTAGCCTGCTGAGCTCAGGGATTTGAGGGAACAAAGGGGAGTGCAGGGGCCACTTAGAAGTTTAAACAGACTCCCTCTCCCTTTTCACCTACGTCTTGTGTGAGGATTTCAATAGCTCCTAAATGAGCTTGCCTGAATGGCTGTGGCACTCTTTTAAATTCTAATTAGCTAGTGAATTAACCAGGATGAATTTTGATTAGTCAGAATGAATTACAGGTATTAATGATCATACAGTCTTAGAGCAAATGAAAGTAGCAGTTGTCCAGAGGGGGCTTGGGCCAGCCATCCGGCTGGAGAGACCTTCAGTAGGCTCAGAACAGCTGCGCTCATTCACTCACTGTTCCACTTTCTTGTAATGCCTGCACCAGTCACAGTGTGGACTGGGGACCAGACGCAGATGCCCTGGCTGTCCTTGGCGGGCCTGGAAAGAGTGGAGCCCCAAGTTGCCGGCTGGCAAACCTCCAGCTGTGGCCCGTGGGGTTTGCTCCATGGTGGCCTGGGCCACGCAGGCTGTACCAGCCATGAGATGCCATGGAGCCAAAGGCTGCGACTGTAGCTGTTTGTGCTGCAGCCAACCTTTACCCAGTTCCTGACTGCTGTTTGTTTGGTTTGCCATGGGTACTTCTGGGGACCTCCTGGCAGCATGCTGGCCCGTGCAACTCTCCTCATGCCAGTTGTAGGGTCCCTGTTCCTGTTTGGCCAAGGAAGGGATTTCCTAAGTGTATACATATTTATTTAGCTTTGCCATGTTTTGGATGGCCTTGGACATAGAAACTCATTGCACATTAGTTAAATAACTAGGCCAGCATTCTGAAAGACCCGACTCCAGACCTACTTCGGTGATGGAGATGGGCACATGCAGGGTCAGGGTGCTTTGAAAGAGTCACACATTCACCTTCCAACAGAGCAGCCTGAGGCTTCCCTAGTCTTGCAGGGTCAACTTGCTGAAAGCTCAGCCCTTGGCCCCAAAGGAGCTCTGAGGCCGCAGGCCCAGAGCCCCGATGTCCCCGTGAGCTGGTGGCAGGGAAGCGGAAAAAGGCTTTCACACCGCCTCCCCCACATATGCTCACAGCCTCCCCTGGGCCCTTTCTTGCCTCTCACATGGCCATCCTGTGGGTTCTTTGGCCTGGGAGGTGCTGCTTCAGCCTCCCTCGGCCTTGAGGTGCTCCAAGACAGCGTCAGCACCTGGGCTAGAGGTCCGTGCTGCCCTGTGCATCCTCAGAGTTTGACTGTAGTGTGCATGTGTGCATGCATGTGCGTGTGTGTGCATGTGTGTGCTTGTGTATATGTGTGCATGTGTGTGCTTGTGTGCATGTGTGCATGCGCATGTATGCGTGCGCACCGTTATTTTCTAATGGACTGTGCAGGCATCTGTTCTCCTCATGGACCAGGAACTCAGTGATCAGGGACTCCCCTGTTTACTTTGATATTCCAGCTGCCCTCCAGAGCGCCTAGCACATAGTAGGTCTTCAGTGACTGCCAGATGAGAGGATATTTAAATGAGACGGCAGCTTTGGAGGGATGACAACAGATTGTGGTCTAATCTCACGATTTTTGCCTGAGAGAGAATTGGCCCTACTCGAGGCGGGCTTTTTTTTTCTTTTCTTTTCTTTTCTTTTTTTTTTGAGATGGAGTTTCACTCTTGTTGCCCACGCTGGAGTGCAATGGTGCAATCTCAGCTCACTGCAACGTCTGCCTCCCGGGTTCAAGCGATTCTCCTGCCTCGGCCTCCTGATTAGCTGGGATTACAGGCATGTGCCACTACCCGGCCAATTTTGTATTTTTAGTAGAGACGGGGCTTCTCCATGTTGGTCAGGCTGGTCTGGAACTCCTGACCTCAAGTGATCCACCTGCCTCGGCCTCCCGAAATGCTGGGATTACAGGCATGAGCCACTGCGCCAGGCCAAGGCGGGCTTTATTTGTGTCTGTTGGACACCTCACATGGCACCTCACAGGGCGCTGGTTTATAAAGACCCAAACCAGTGTCGAGTTCCATGCTGGCCCCGGCGTCTGCTGTGTGCTTTCGCTGTGTGTATACATGCGGAAGTTCATTCCGGAGGCTTCCAGGGTAGCCTCCCGGGTGCTGCAGCGGGTCTCCCGCTCATCACTACTCTGTACACAATGTCTTGATACGCTGAGGATTGAAATGGAGCAGTGATCCTGCCTCAAGGTAGACAGCAAAACCCAGGCTATGTGGGAGTCAGTGTGGTAGGACTGAGGGCGTGCCTGAGGGACGGATGCAGGGGCAGAGAGAGCAGCAGGTGAAGGCTGGGCCTCCTGCTGAAAGCCGGTATTGCTGAGACTCCAGGGTCAGCCTTCCAGCTCCTCCTCCTGACTGACCGCTGGCAATGTAGGGGTGACTGTCCCAGCCTCCTGCTGCAGGGCGCTCTGCCGTCAGTAGAGAATCCTCCTCTGTCCCCGCGGTCCCCTCCCCGCTGAACAGCCTGGATCCTGCTTTCACAGGGACATGCGTGAAATGGGTCCTGCGCCGTAATTACTCCTGCTGGAGACCGGGATTGCAAAGATGACTGTCATGTTGTCTCGTGCATCTTACATCTTTTACTGTGATTAAAAATAAATGTCGTGGGGTTCACGTCCCACAGACCCTTATGTACTGCAGAGGTCAAACTGGGGCGGGTTTCTCACACGCGTCATCACGCGAGGCCAGTGTCCGTCGGGGTGTGTGTCTACAAGCACGGGGCTTCGTGGCCTATCTTTATGAACCCTCCAGGGTGATGTGAAGCCAGCCACAAACAAACACACACATCATCTGAAAACAATAACAAAAGATCGGGGTTCTAGGAAAAAGAGAAAATAGTTTAACAGAGCTTCATTAAACCAAGAACGTGCTTCTGACTTGTTGACCTACTGGAATCGCTTGTTTTCACGTCTGCAGGAAATTCATCAAAACAATTTTGTCTAGGATTCCAGTATTTCAAGTTTTACCCGGTCACGTCAGTGCTTGATTTGATCATCTGCATTTTCCAATTAAAGGTTAAGATTTTAGGAAGCTCTTTGAAGAGGTTGTTTAATTCCTGCTGGTACTTTGGTTTCAGGCCTGGAGCTGTGGCCGGGGTGATCGGGTGATTAGTGGAATCCAACTAAGGTAAGGCAGGCAAGACCTTCGTGGACTTCACTTTGATATGGAAAAACCACTTTCACACACTTACTAATGATAGATTTTTAGAACAATAGTAAAGAGGTTGGTAATATTTTACCCTTTAAAATCCCATGTAGTCTGTATAGTATATAGAAAAAGAAATAAGAACTAAATGCAAATGTGGTATTTTTTTTGCAAGCCACTCTGCATTGTTATTTTTTAATTAAAAAATTAAAAAAATAGATTTATGGGGTACAAGTGCAGTTTTGTTATATGGATATATTGCCTTGTGGTGAAGTCTTGGCTTTTAGTGTAACCATCACGTCAATAGGGTACATTGTACCCATTAGATGTACTGTTTTACTTAACTCTAATAAAGGTAATTTTGAAGTAGTTTATTTAAATCTTATCCAACAGCTTTGGCCTTTCAGGCAGCTCTGACCCCAGCTGTTCGACTTGGGTTTCAGCTGTTACACAGTGGGCTTATCCACCTACCCATCCACCCATCCATCTGTGCTGGCAGGAGCTTTCCCGGGCTGGGTGCTCTTCTCCCTGCCGGCCTGCTCTGCGCCTGGCGCCTGCTCTGCCCCTGTGCCTTCATTTCCACATCTCAGTTCTGCAGCAGCTGAGTGTCTTGGGGCTGTTTTGTATGCTGGAAGCACTTAAAGGCTTTATGTCTGACTCCAGCTGATCTTAGTTTTCCAGTCAGGCCATGTTTTCTTTGGGAGTGTTTTACAGCTGGACTTTCCAAGGGAGTAGGCCACCTTTCCATGGGCAGCATGGTGTGGGAGGCAGGGCCCCTTGGAGGTGAGAGCCAAGGAGCTGAGTTGTCCCCGGCCTCTTCCACTTCCAGCTCTTAGCCTTGGGCACGTCACTAACTTCTGTAGAGTGGACACTGGAATATCTCTCAACCTATGAGGAGGATTAATGAGACAAAATGTGGGAACAGCATTTGAAACTTTATATCAGCATCCACCCATCCACCCACCCACCTATCCATCCATCTAGCCACCTGTACACCCACCCAGCCACCCACTCGTTCATCTGTCCTTCCATCCGTGCACCTACCCACCCGTTCCTCTATCCATTCACCCACCCATCCATCATCCATCCATCCACTCATTCATCTGTCCATCCATCCATGCACCTACCCACCCATTCCTCTATCCATCCACCCACCCATCCATCCACCATCCAGCCACCCACGCACCCGCACATTCATCCATCGATTTACCCATCCATCCGTCTACCCATCCATCTATCATCTCCCCAGCCACCACCTACCCATCCACCCATCCACCCACCCAGCGACCCACCCATGCACCCGCACATCCATCCATCAATTTACCCATCCATCCGTCTACCCATCCATCTATCATCTCCCCAGCTACCACCTACCCATCCACCCATCCATCTATCCACCATGTACTCACTCACCCACCCACACATCCACCCGCCCACCCACTCATTCATCTCTCCATCCATCCATGCACCTATGCACCCATTTCTCTATCCATCCACCCACCCACCCATCCATCCATTCATCCATCCATCCACCCACCCACCCACCCACTCATGCACCCACACATCCATCTATCCATTTACCCATCCATCCATATACCCATCCACCCATTCCTCCATCCATCCATCATCTCCCCAACCACCATCTACCCATCCATCCATTCATCTATCCACCATGAACTCACCCACCCACCCACCCACCCATTCTTTCCTCTATCCATCCATTCATCCACTCACCAATCCACCATCCATTCATCCATCCATCCACCTACCCATCCATTAATCCATCTACCTCCTGTCCACTCACCCACTCATTCTTCTATCCATCCATCTACCCACCCATCCATCTATTCATCCATTCATGCACCCATTCATCCACCCATCCAACCCACGAATCCACCTACCCACCCATCCATTCATCCACCCATCTGTCCTAACATCCACCCACTGATCTACTCATTCATCTGCACATCCATTCATCCTGCCCATCCTCCACCATCAACCTTCCTATTGATCTGTCAGTTATTAAAGTTAATTGCCAAACATAAATATAAAATGTTAGGGTAAAGGCCCCAAGTTTTCTCTGTTACCTACCTACGTCTCTCTTTTTGTTATTATAATTACGAATGAATCCTTGAAATCTTTAAACATCTTTATTGACCCATGTGGGTTGTATTGTGGTTAATATTGTAGTCATTTACGTTTACACCTGCAAGTGTTGCCATCAAAAGCTTAGGCCTCTCCTTCCCTCTTCCCCCAAGACACACCCTGTCACAGCACATCCATATCCACACACACAGCAGGTCTTACTTCTGAATGTTCTGTGTGGAATTTGAGCTTTTGGCAGAGCTTGTGGATTGACCTCATGGTTGAGATTTGCTGTCTTCATGGACAGGTGGGAGTGTTCATTTTAAAGTTAAATTTAATAAATATTTAGAAAGCATGCATCATATGCCTCATTAGCAATTTTGTTAGGTACTCTGGGAGAAACAAACAAGCAAGAGCGCAGAATCATCTGGTCCGTCTGTGGCCCCTGCAATTCCGTGAGGCACTGCTTCCTCTGCACATGAGGTTCCTGGGGAGCATGTCATCTGCCTTATTATGGTCGACTGCACCCTCTGTTTGGTGGGGGGCATGGGTTCCCCTAAGTGGGAGCTGTGCCTGAGTCAGCGTCATGAGGGAAAATGTGGAGAAACCTCAGGGGCAACCATTCCATGTGGAGCTCGTGGGCAGGAGTCATCCTGAGTCTGCAGGACCCATGTGTACCTGGGCTGTACGGATGCATGTGTGACTTCATCCCAGCCCCTCTATTCTTGAGAGCTTATTCAGTATCAGAAATAATGGGGAGACGAGGTGAGACAGGCACGTGAGGGCAGCCGTGTGTAGTCTTGTGTTGGATTCAGGTGATATCAATTTTGGAGGCCTGCCTGAAGTTTTTGCTGAGTTTATTCCAGCAGGAAATACTACCACACCTAATTAATCTTCATACAGGACTTTGCCAATTGCTATGATATGGGGCATTGGCATTATTAGCATCATCACTTTTCATATGTGAAACCGAGGATCGGGTAGATTAAGTGCTGTGCCCAGGTCAGCCCAAGTCAGAAGGCTCAGGGCTGGCTCTCAGGGCCACATCTTTGATCCTGGCTCTCTGTCCGTCTCACTATGGCCCATGTATCCCTAAGACATGTGGAAAGCAGGGTTTCTCCAGTGGAGGGAACCAGAGCAGACAGCATGATCATTTCTGCTTCAAGGGGGCAGAGGCAATTGGAGTTTCTCACATCACCCAGCTCAGAATGGCAGCTGGTGGCCTGCAGGTGAGGGGCAGGGCCCTTGCAGCTCTGCCACCTGGTGTGCATGCTGGCTGTTCTCCAGCCTCTCTTCCTCTTGATTTTCTTGTCTCGGGTTGTTGACTTTTGCTTTTGGCCTGGTGGAGACTAAGGGGAACAGTGTGCAAAGTGCTGAGCCCGTGTCTTGCACAGAGCATCACTCGGGGCTCAGAGCACTGCAGCTATTATTACTCCTTTCTAAAAAGCCAGTATCTGCCTGGAATTACAAGGCAGGCACTGACAGATGTATAAGTAGATGCTCAAGAGCAAATTAAAAATGCATTGTTAAAAATGGATTCAATGTGTGAACAAAGATTGGCATGAAGGTTGGGTCCCTGTATTTTTAGAGGCTAATTAAAGTGTGCGAACAACGATAAATTCAGATAACCCGTATTGCTTGAAGTCACCACAAAGCATTCACTGAAGAGCTAATTGCAGCCTCCAGAGGTTTGGGTGGTCTGCGGCCATCACTGACTTCAGGCTCTGCCTGCTTTTGCCCATGCTGAGACTGCACTGTGCCCTTGGGGTCCCTGTGCAGCCCTGGGGATCTCGCTGCCCTGGCGCCTGGTGATGTGCATTCTGGTGCATTTCTGCAGTCCTGAGTTTGGGATAGACAGTAACACCGTCGTGTTACCACGTGCCACTTGTCTAAATCACTCACAGAAATCTGTGGTCAGGTTTCTATAAAGTGCTTGATTGGTGATGAGGAGATGGGGAGTGATTTATGGCATGCTGGCCCTCCAGCTATTGATGGGTGTACACACACCGAGGTCAGTGCCATATAAAATGCAGATACCACAGCCCCTAAGGGGTGGCTGGCCAGCTGTCATGGCTGCAGTCGGTATTGGAGTGGGCAGGAGTCTGTAAGGAAATGTGATCCATGGGCTTAGAATCCCCTGTTTTGTCAGTGTCTTGGAAAATTGGCCTCCAGAGATCAACTGTGGAGTGCGCCATGTCAGAGGCTGTCTTCTCCTGTTGCGACATTTAGCAGACCAGGTCTGCACACCTGATTTTCCATTAGTCACACTAGAAAGGAGAACATTTGTGCTTCATAACCTCAGGGTTAGACAAACAGCCCTGCAGGTAGATCATGATCAATAACAGGAGATCTTTGTAAACTAGGTTAATTTTGTTCCTGAAAATCTGCAATGTTTTTTTATCTACAAGGGTTTTTTTTTTTTTTTAAATTTCCTAATAGAACATGAGTATTCACTGCACACAGACACAGTGATGGTGGGCTAAGGACAAAAAAGACCTTGGGTAAACTCTAGACCTCTACCTGTCATGATTAGAAACATATCCGTTCTCACCAGATAATCTTTTAAATTCCAACCAGGCTTGCTTTAGGTGCCAGGAGGTAGTAAGAATTACAGGTTCTGTTTTTAGGGCAACGGCAGGATTTTAAACTCTGTATGCCTCCCCTTTCTGTCACTAAGCCACCACTTTTTTACAAAAAGCTTTGTTTTGAAATAATTGTAGATTTTCAGAAGACTTACGAAGATTGTGCAGAGTTCCTATATGCCCTGCTTCCTGTAAAGGCATTAACATCATATGTAATCATGGCACGCGTATCACAACTAAGAAATTAACGTTGGTAGAAAACTGCTAACGAAAACCATAGACTTGACTTGAATTTCACTAGTTGTTCTACCAACTAATGTCCTTCTTCTGTTCCCAGGTGCAGTCCAGGATGCCATGTTGCATCTAACCACTGCTTTTTATTCTTTGTTCTTTAAATAATTTTATTTTTAACTTTTTATTACGGTAAAAATTTCAAACTCTGTAGTAGAGAGCATGCTAGTAGGTCCAGTTGACGGCCGCCCATTTTCAGCCATGTTCCGCTTGTCGTGTGAATGAAGGTGGTCTTAGTGAGGGGCCCAGCCCTGGCAGCACCCTCCACGCACGCACAGGGTCTGCAAAGTTTGTGCCTGGCGGTGTGCTTGTCTTGCATCTCTAGTCACCGTGTTCTTGCTGATGGCGCTCCAGGGTTGCTACTGTAAGCGCCTGTGCTTAAGAACTGGATCTGAGCTTTCCCCGATTTCTGCCACAGTTTTCATAGGCCACGGGATTTGCTGGAGAACCCGCTCACTCTGGAGCCTTTAGTCATGATGTCCAGTTGAGATTTATTGTTCAGTGTGACCCAGTGGTTCAGAAAACCTGTCCAACTGCACACAGCGCCGCCCCCCGCCTTTTTTTTTTTTTTTTTAAAGACAGAGTCTCCCTCTCTTGCCCAGGCTGGAGTACAATGGCACGATCTTGGCTCACTGCAACCTCCACCTCCCAGGATCAAGCGATTCTACTGCCTCAGCCTCCTGAGTAGCTGGGATTACAGGCGTGTGCCACCATGCCTGGCTAATTTTGGTATTTTTTTAGTACATACACTGTTTCTCCATGTTGGTCAGGCTGTTCTCAAACTCCTGACCTCGTGATCCGCCTGCCTCGGCCTCCCAAAGTGCTGGGACTACAGGCGCGAGCCACCGCGCCCGGCCATAGCCCCACTTTTTTGAGCTGTGATTGTAAGAGCTGGACTAAAACAAAATGTCTGACAGAAGAAAAACTACCTTATTTCCACATCATACTTCCCCTCGGTGCCCAGGGTCCAGTGTCACCTCTGGATGCCCAGTGTCCTCCTTTGCCCTGGCAGAGCTTTCTGTTTCTGTGCCTGTGCAGGTTATTGGCTGGTGTGGGCACAGCGACCACCCCATAAGATGTGATGTAGCAATTGTGGAATGAACCACTGGCCTGCTAGTAGGTTTGTAAGTTTAACTGCTAAGCTACTTTACACCAAGATGTTAATAGCTCTTAGTGTTTTTAAGTGTTAACTGCTTGTGGTTATTTACATTTTTGAAGTATTTTATTTTAAAAATGGACACATAATAATTACATATTTATGGGGTACATAGTGATGTTTTGATACATATGTGTCGTGATCAGATCAGGGTAATTAGCATCTCCATCATCTCAAACATTTGTCATTTCTTTGTGCTGGGAACATTCAGTATCCTCCTAGCTAATTGAAATTGTATATTATGTTACTGTTACTTATAATCATCATACAGTGGTATAGAACACTAGAACTCCTATCTAGCTGTAATTTTGCATACCTTAACAACTCTCTCCCTATCCCCCTTTCCCTACAACCCTTCCCAACTTCTAGTATTCCCTTTTCTACTTTTTACTTCTATGAGGTCAACTTTTTACAGCATCCACACATGAGTGAGAACCTGTGGTGTTTAACTTTCTGTTCCTGGCTTATTTCACCTAACATAATGCCCTCTAGTTCCCTCTATGTTGCTGCAAATGATGGCTTTTCATTTTGTATGGCTGATTGGTACGCCATGGTGTATATGTTCCACATTTTGTCTCTCTGCTCCTCTGTTGTGGATCACCTAGGTTGATTCTGTATCTTGGTTATTGTGAATAGTGCTGCAGTAAATGTGGAGGTGCAGGTGTCTCTTCCATATCCTGATTTCCTTTCCTTTGGGTAAATGCCGAGTAGCAGGACTGCTGGATCATATGGGAGTTCTAGTTGTAGTTTTCAGAGGAACTTCTATACTGTTCTGTAGTGACTGTACCAGCTTACATTCCCACCAACAGTGTGTAACAGTTCCCTTTCTCTGCATCCACACCAACATTTATTTCTTGTCTTTTTGATAGTGGCCATGCTAACTGGGGTGAGATGGTACCTCATTGTGGTTTTGATTTGTATTTCCCTGATAATTAGTGATGTTGCACATTTTTCATATATTAATATTTGTTAATCATTTGTATGTTTCCTTTTGAGAAATGTCCGCACTCAAATTTTCTCATTTTAAAATTAGATCTTTTTTTTTTTTGCTGTTGAAATGTTTGAGTTCCTTGTATATTTTGTATATTAATCCTTCATCAGATGCATTGTCTGCAGGTATGTCCTCTGATTCTGTAGGTCATGTTTTTACTCTGTTGATTGCTTCCCTTGCTGTGCAGAAGCTTTTAGGTCGATATAATCCCATTTGATTATTTTTGCTTTTGTTGCCCATGCTTTTGGAGTCTTACTTATAAATTTTTTCCCTGGACCAATGTCTTGAAGCATTTCCCTGTGTTTTCTTCTAATGGTTTTAGAGTTTAGTGTCTTACATTTAGGTCTTTGATGCATTTTGAGTTGATTTTTGTATACGGTGACAGGTAGGGGTCTAGTTTTATTTTTCTGCATATGCATATAGTTTTCCCAGCATTATTTATTTATTTTACGTTCAGGGGTACATGTGCAGGAAGTGCTGGTTTGTTACATAGGTAAACGTGCCTAGCACTATTTATCGAAGAGAATGTCCTTAATGAGTGTTCTTGGCCTCTTTGTCAGAAATCAGTTGGCTTGTGTATATGTGGATTAATGTCTGTTCTCTCTATTCTGTTCCATTGATCTATGTGTCTGTTTTTATGCCAGTATCATGCTGTTTTGGTTATTATAGCTTTATAGTATATTTTGAGGTCTGGTAGTGTGATACCTCCAATTTTGTTCTTTTTGCTCAGGATTGCTTTGGCTATTTTATAATTCCATATGAAACTTTGGCTTTTTTTTTCCTATTTCTGTGAAGAATGTCATTGGTATTTTGGTGCTTAATAGAAGGAAATAAGTAAAGATAAGAGCAGAAATACACAAAATTGAGACAAAAAACAAAGATCAATGAAACAAAAAGTTGGATTTTGGAAGAAATAACAGTATTAACAAACCATTAACTAGACTAAGAAAAAAAGAGAAAAATACCCAAATAAATAAAATCAGAAGTGAAAAAGTGAAACATCACAATGGATACCAGAGAAATATAAAGGATCATTAGAGAATATTATGAATAACTACATGCCACTAAAGTAAAAAACCTAGAGGAAATGGCTGAATTCCTGGACACATGCAGCCTACCAAGATTGAGCCAAGAAGAAAAAGAAAACCTGGGCAGACTAACAAGAAATGAAGTTGAATCAGTAATAAAAGTCTGTCACAGCAGAAAGGCCTAGGACTGGATGGCTTCATTGCTGAATTCTACCAAACCTTTAAAGAAGAATTCATACTAGTTCTTCTCAAACTATTCCAAATAAATTGTATCAGAGATAATTCTTCCTGACTTATTCTACAAGGCCAGCATAACCCTGACACAAAAAGCAAATAAGAACACAGCAAATAAAACCACAGGTCAATATTCTTGATGAATATAGATGCAAAAATCCTACACAAAATAATAGCAAACCAAATCCAGCAACACATCAAAAAGCTAGTACATGATGATTGAATGGGATTCATCCCAGGGATGCAAAGATGGTTCAGTATACATAAATCAAGAAATGTGATTAAATCACATCAGCAGAATGAAGGACAAAAACCACATGAACATCTCAATAGATGCAGAAAAAGCATTTGATAACCTTTAGCACCCATTCATGATAAAAACTCCCAATAAACTAGGTATAGAAGGAATGTACCTCAACACAATAAGGGCCATAAATGACAAAACCACAGCTGACATCGTACTAAATGGGGAAAAGCTGAATACTTTTCCTTTAAGAACTGGAACAAGAAAAGAATGCCCATTCTCACCACTCCTATTCAACACGTACTGGAAGTCATAGCCAGAGCAGTCAGGCAAGAGAAAGAAAGGACATCCAAATTTGAAAGGAGGAAGTCAGATTATCCCTGTTTGCAAATGACATGATCTTATATAGAGAAAAACCTGAAGACTCTACCAAAAAGCTCTTAGAACTGGTAAATGAATTCAGTAAAGTTGCAGGATACAAAATCACCATACAAAAATCAATATTGTTTCTATAGACAAACAACTAGGTGAAAAAGAAATCAAGATGACAATTCCATTTGCAGTAGCTACAAAAAATTTAAAATACCTAGGGATAAACTTTACCAAGGAGGCCAAAGACCTCTACAAGGAAAACTACAAAGCATCGATGAAAAGAAATTGAAGAGGACTGACAAACAAATGGAAAGTACTTGGAAGAAGTACTGTATGGTTCAGATGACCATACTGCCCAAAGAAATCTACAGCTTCAATGAAGCCTCTGTTTGCATTTTAAGGAGATGATATTCTTGAAGAAAAATTGTTTATCCCAAATGCAGAGTTCCTGACTTGTGGCCCATTATTGAGGAGGCTATGGTGCTTTTCTCCTTGGTCTTCAAAACAAGTTAGTCATGGATATGGAAACTCAACCCTCATGACTAAAAGAAGCAAACTGAAAAGAATGTCATTTATATGGTTCTGTAGATATATGATTGTTTGGAGGGGACTTGGGTCCTCCCAGGAGAAACAGTCTGCATTGGAATGTCTCCTTGTATTAGAATATATCTCTTGCCAGCTTCATTGGTTTTTGTTTGTTTGTTTGTTTTTTTGAGATGGAGTTTTGCTCTTGTTGCCCAGGCTGGAGTGCAATGGTGCAATCTCGGCTCACTGCAACCTCCACCTCCTGGGTTCAAGCAATTCTCCTGCCTCAGCCTCTGGATGGAGTAGCTGGGATTACAGGCGCCCATCACCACACCCAGCTAATTTTTGTATTTTTAGTAGAGATGGGGTTTCATCATGTTGGTCAGGCTGGTCTCGAACTCCTGAGCTCAGGTGATCCACCCACCTCGTCCTCCCAAAGTGCTGGGATTACAGGCGTGAGCAACTGTGCCCGGCCTTCCACAGTTATTCACTGTGCACACTTGGCCAGGTGTACCGCTAGGTGCGGGGACCCAGGGTGGGCCACAGCCCCATGTCTGACCAGATGACTGACCTCAGGCAGCCTTTGATGCACAAATGATGAACTTCCAATTGCTTAATGTTATTACAATTACAGACTGATGACGAGGTTGGTGCTGCAGCTGCACCCTGGGAACTCGGTGGTGCCCCCCACCATACTGGGCACGGTGGGACTGCCGCAGATGTGATGGATGACAAGGGTTCCTGCCAGTGAGAGGAATGAAGATGCTCTTTGCTTCTGTGAGGTCAAGGCCTCATTTCATGTGACATGCAGAACCAGCCTCACTTGCCGTCGGCCCTCCACATCCACAGCTGTTTCTGCGCAGGGATGTCTGGCTCTGAGCCCTTCTGCGGAGCAGTGTTGCGCTGTTCCTAGAATAGTGTCCTTGTAGTCTCGTTAGGCTTTGCTTCTCTTTGTGTCTTGTTGTTTTGCTGGTTTTCCAGACCACTAGCTGTACCACGAGGCTTCTGTGAGCAGATGGCATGAGACAGGTGAGTGCTTGCATGGAAACCGGGGCACTGGGGGTCCAGGGTGCAGGCCTGCTTCACTCTGGGCACCCTGTAACTGCTCCTGCTCCCAAGTGCCAGTGATATTCTGCAGATACAAATGTGTGATCACATTGCCTGGGCCCCAGTCTCCGAGGAGCCTGGTGGTGGTGGTGGTGGGCATTTTCAGCCTGGGTGTGCTGTCAGGACCCGAGAAGGTGACAGGAGAAGGTGGGAGGTGAGGAGGAGTGTCAGACGTGGGGTGGGGGGTGTGAGGCTGGAGACCAGGACCCTCGCCCGGAGCCTTGCTGTGATCGGCTGTGGTGGGGAAGCTGGGCGCCACTGCTCTCAGCATGAATGTGCTCAGGCTGTTGACTGAAGGGTGTTGCTCACTCTTTTTTAAGAAGCATGATATACATCTAGGAAGAGTAATATTTTAAAAGTCTTTTTCCCTTTTCCACACCTCCGCTTGAAGGAACTCCAAAGCCTGCAGGGTAAATGAGCAGTGTTAGGATGGCCAAGAGCTCTCAGGCTGATTTAGTACTTGTGGGCAGGGCCCCTTTTCGGATTGATTATGACACATGGTGCTAATGGGGTTGATTTCTAGTGGGAGGTACAGTATGTGTTACCCTTCGAGTTCTGCAAATGAAGTGGGGGGAGGAAGGAATGCATTCAAAGAAAAGAGAGTGGAATTCGGAATAATTTTTTTTGATATTCTCTTAAAGGCACAATGATCAGAACCTGCCATGTTTTATTTCTTTTCATTAGAATTAAGCTTAGGTTCTGGGTATCGGAGCATCTCTGGCACAGGTTGTATTCACCCTTTGGCCCTCAGATGTCACTGAACAGGAAGCTGCCGGGTGAGTTTTTGATAACAAATCTCATGGCAGGATGGTGGCGCCTCCCTCGCCTGCTCACCTGCCCTCCAGGCTGGTACTCACTGAGTGCCCAGTGTGTGCCCAGCCCTAGAGCCGAGGCCGCAGAAGGCCCTGTGCTTGGGGGCTTGCTGCGATACGGGGCATCCCAGGAATCCAGGACTCAGATGAGTCAATGCAGACCTGCTGCTGGGAGATAGTGCTGGAGGGGAGGAGAGTGCTGGCAGAGAAGCATAAGCCCCGGCGAGATTCCACTGAGGGGAAGCCCAGGGATTTCTGGAGGCAGGTGATGGAGCTGAGGGCTGAACACGGACGGGCGGTGTCGCGCCGTGAAGGCAGAAGAGCCTGTCTGGGTGGAGGGCACAGCCCGAGGCCCAGGGGAGGCAGGGAGCTTTTCGGGTCCAGAGCTGATGGGGTGAGGAGTGAGGGGCCCCAGGTGGACTCAGGGTTTTCTTTTCTGAGGCTGAGTGGGATCTTATAGGCCTTGGGGAGCCATTGGAGTGTTTTCAGCAGCAGTGACAGGGTCTGTTTGCACTGGGCCACGGTCTGGAGACTGGGCAGTTTGGGGGTTGGAGGAGTTTCCCTGGCCCAGCTGAGCAGGGCTGGCGCGGACAGAGAGAATCCCGCCTCTTCAAGGTCGCTCAGCTGACCATGGGCATAGCTGGACCTAGAGTGCCAGCGACCCTCCATGCTTCTGCCAGGAAGTCCAGCGGCATCTTTCCATTCATGGTGGTTACGGAATTGGCCGAGTCCTTACTCTGACCTACAGTGAGCCTCAAGAAACAAAAATGTCCACCTGTGTTCAACAAATTAAACATGTAAAAGAACATACTGGGCGTGGTGGCCCACACCTGTCATCCCAGAGCTTTGGGAGGCTGAGGCAGGAGGATCATTTGAGCCCAAGAGTTTGAGACTAGACTGGGAAACGTAGGGAAACTGTTGTCTTTACAAAAGCCCCCAAAATTAGCTGGGCGTAGTGGCACTTGCCTGTGGTCCCAGCAACTTAGGAGCGTGAGGCATGAGAATCGCTTGAGCCCAGGAGGCAGAGGTGGCAGTGAGCTGAGATGGTTCCACTACACCCCAGCCTGGGCAACAGAACGGGACCCTGTCTCAAAAAAAGTTAAATAAAAGAAAAACCCAATTCTTCTTGTTTAATAGGGCAGCAAGACTAAAACAGTAATCATCAGATGAAATGATAGTAGAAAATATGAAATATGAACAAATGATTGAACCCGTGAGGGCTCGAGACTAAGGGGCAGAGACACAGCCAGGGTGTCTGGGTTCAGCAGATACTTCCAGAGCCCTGCTGTGTGCTGGGCACAGGGGCTGCAGACAGATGCCCGCCCCCCCCAGCCCCGGGATGCTCCACACCCAGCAGGTGCTGTTGGATACACAGTGGGAGCTCCTCCTGGCCTAGGGTCTGTGCTGGGAGAGGCAGAGGCAGACAATGGAAAGGCTCCACTCTCAACAAAGAGTGGGGTTTGATGTACTGGGGTCCGAGAAGGTAGCATTAGAGCAGGGAGTGACCATATGGGTACTGGGGAAGATTCTAGGCTGAGGCAACTCTGTGCAAAGGCTGTGGGTGAGCGGTTGCCTGGAGTGGTCAAGGCCACATGGCTGGAGAGGAGCAGGGGGTGCAGAGGGCACATGTGCATGCATGTGCACATACAGGCATGTGTGAACATATGTGTGGGTATGTGTGATTTCCCATAGGGCCCAGGGTCCAGGTGGGATGGGAGCCCTTCCAGGTTTGGAGCAGAGCAGTGTCTGGGTGTAGGTTTCCAGAGGGTCAGGGTCTCTGGGGAATAGATCACGGTGGAGGCCCAAGGGAGAGGCAGGGTGCCATAGGGGCTGTTGCAGCGTTGAGGCCCTAGGGACGGCTCCCCAGGCCAGGGCTGTGGGGTGCTTGGAGTGGAGGAGGAACCAGAGGATGCACTGAGGTGGAGAGCTGGCCGAGGGAGATGTGGTGCGTCTGAATTTCTGCTGAGCACTGGAATTCCATTTTATCAGGATGAGGATGGCTGGGGAAGGGATGGCTTTGATCATTGCTTTTATTGTGAGGAGACAATTTGTCATCAGCATTGGTGTTATTTTGGCCTGACTTTTATCACTCTTGTTCATCATGATCTTGTTTCTGCCTAACTTTCGTGCTTGCTACCCTCTTAGAAAATGATGTATCACTTATTTAGGATATTATGTGTTAATTGTTGTCCAGAAATCAAACTAAGTTTCTTTCCAAGAAAGACGTGATGTAAAGCACTTTGATTCCCTGGGAGAACAGGTGCTGTGTGTGCACAAGGTTTTGCTGCCTGATTATTCTAGGGAAAATGAGACAGTGATTATATATGTTGGCAGGACTCAGATCACAAACTGCCCTGGATGTAGGGGGAGGCTTGGGTGAATCTAAAAGCATCCTCCTGCCATTTGAGGTGAGTCCTCTCCATGTTGGGAGTAGAAATGGCTCTTCTTTTAAAATAGGGTCCCTTTCTTGGCTCTGTCTCTGAGTCACCCTCCTGGGGTCACAGATCAGCTGCATGGGCACAGGTTAGGAATGTGGTCTCAGCCTCAGCCTTGGACCCCATCCCCCCATCAAAATCTGCCTTTTAACAAGATCCAAGGGGATTCTTGTGCACCTTAAAGTTTGGGAAATACTGAGTTAGGACAGTTTTAAAACATTCTGAGGACTTCTTGCTTCGAGATCAGTATTGTATTAGGGCAGCTGGGTTTAAATCCCAGGAATGCCAGCAGGTGTGTAGGACTGGTGTGAACAGTGCTGAGTACTTGGGTCAGGTTACAGATCGACCCCACTAGCATCCAGCAATCTGGCACCCCATGGATGTTTCCATAGAGAGCCCTTTGAAAACGAGAGCCCTGGTAAGCTGGTGTGTGTGCTGGCATGGAAGAGAGAGCCTCTCTTTCCTAAGGAAGGCGTCAAAAGCAGGGGTTAGGTGAATGGAGGGAGCCCAGGCACGTCAGTGCCCAGTGTGGCAGGTGTGTGTGCCGGGGAAGGAAACCTGTGTTGTTGGAACGAAGTTGCCATTTGGCGGAATTTGGTGCACTTACTTGGAAAATATTGCCCAAAGAACTCAGAACTGTCTGTTTTCTTTTCCTTAAACATTTCTCTTGTCAGAGTGATGAGAAAATTGCCTATGTGGGAACTTGAGAAGTGCAAATTTGTTAATACTTCCTTTGACAATGGTTTGTATTCAGAGCTGTTTATGAGCTGTCACAAATCATTTCCAGTTAAAACGTTTCTGCCATGGAGTCATGCCGCGCTGGAGGGTCCGGCGGGACAGACGTGCACAGCCTCGCGGCCCTGGCTCAGAAAGGCCTGAACCCATGTGCCGTGGGTCTGGTTTTTAAGCTGGTGAATTGAATCGTGGAGAATAAAAATGACCTGGTTTCTGTGGAAACCTCTGCTTTGAAAATGTTCTTCCTTTTAATGATCTTCAGAAGCCCAGTGTCAAGGCCTGAGTGTGAGATTTCGCCATTCTTTTGATGGCTGGGACAGAGCAGAATTCAGTGCCAGTCCTTTCGTTCTGTAATGATGATGTTTGTGAGACTTGGGGATGACACTTTTGGCTCATCCCTGGTAGGACGTGGACATGCGGTTGCTTTTCCATGAGCAGGGATGGGTTTCCCTGACCCACTGCCCTGCCCCATCCATGCTGTGCTCATGGGCAGGCGTGTGTGGGGTGGCAGCCTGGGCTTCAGAGTCCGGCCTGCAGCCTGGATGTGAGACACTGAGTGATCATATAGGGGATGATTTTATAGGTCTGGATGCTTTATAGCAGTGGCTCTCACCTGGGGGTGACTTTGTTCCCCAGAGGCCATTTGACAATGTCTGGAGACATTTTTGGTTGTCACAAGTGGGAGGTGGGAGGTGCTCCTAGCATCTAGTGGGGAGAGACCAGGGATGCTGTTAGACTGCCCACAGTCCACGGGACAGCCTCATCACAAGGGTTTGTCCAACCCAATGTGTCTGTCGTGCCCAGGTTGAGAAACCTGCTTTAACAGTAGTGGTAGTTTGGATAGATGGATAATGGTAAAGATGAGAAAAGGATACAATGGGGCTGGGTGCAGTGGCTTAGGCCTGTAATGCCAGGCTGAGGCAGAAGGATCGCTTGAGCCGAGGAATTGGAGGCTGTGATCATACCACTGCACTTCAGCCTGGGCAACAGAGCAAAACCCTATCTTAAAAGAAAGAAAGAAAGAAAAAAGCATACAATGGCCAGATAGTGGTTGAAAACATGTTAGATCTCCAATATCTGGTTCCATTTCTTTTTGTTTTTCATTTATTTACTTAGTATTCAGAAAAGAAATTTCACTGTCCAAAATCCATTTTTTCCCAACCAAGACAGTTGAAAATTCCTAAATTCTAAATAATCAGACACCTTCAGTAGGTACGCTTACTTTTCTTCCATGCTTCCGTAGTATTTTGCTTAACAGAGAATGTTAGGGTTTTCTTTTTGAAGCTCCTAGTTTGTCTTAATGAGTTAATTCTACGAAATCCTTTTTTTTTTTCTTTTGTTAGCATTAACATGGAATCTGCTAATGAATGGCCACTAGGGACGATGGTGAAAACACTTGAAATGAGATGCCTCTATTTGAATATTTTATGGTCATGGAATTGGCTATTTATTTTATTTTTGCTTTTATGATTTCAAAATTCAGATTTCTTTGAGCAAATGTTTAGAGATGACAAGAGGGAAACTCAGGGATGGAATAATCTATTGAGTGTGAACCAAAGATTACATTCTTTTTCAGAATTGTCCTTCCTTCCTTTTTACTGGGTCCCATAAAAGGTTTTATGATCTGATTGTACCTTATTGATATTTGCCAATTGATAAATTTCTTGTTCATTAATTCAGTATTTAGGTCAATGATGTTTCTTCCTGGCTTAGTATGAAGTTTAGCCTTTCATGATACATATTTCCTCTTTCTTTAGCTAGATTACCAATAATGTTCAAATGGGGCAGGGGAAGGATTACACCAGAAAAACTAGCCTTTTACCTCTGTGAAAAGGTGCCTCCCAGAAGCACCATCTAAAAGCAGGTCATGATTTTAATCCAGAATGGCCAAGTGCTGCTGCTGTGTACAACTTCCGACCAGCATGATGCTGGACAGCAGGTCTCTAGGTGGGTTCATTGAGTATTTAGGTCAATGATCTTGTTGTGCTCCATTCGGGATGACTGAGTATTCCTGAAACAAATGCTATTTCTGGCTGCTGCCATTCCCGCAGAGCACTTGTGCAAGTTCATAAGACTTCCTAAGTGAAAGGGGAATTTGCATAGTTTGTGGATTCCTTCCTTCCTTCGTCCTCCTCTCCCCTCCCCTCTCCTCCTCTCCCTCCTTCCTGCTCTATTGCCCAGGCTGGAGTGCAGTAGCGTGATCATAGCTCACTGCAGCCTCATACTCCACAAGTGTATCCTCCCGCCTTAGTCTCCTGAGTCACTGGGACTACAGACACACACCACCATGCCTGGCTAATTTTTTTATTTTTTGGTAAAGACAGGGTCTCACTGTGTTGTCCAGGCTGGTCTCAAACTCCTGGGCTGAAATGATTCTCTTGCCTCAGCCTCTGAAAGTGCTGGGATTATAGGCGTGAGCTGCTGAACCCAGCCCTCCTAATTTCTGATTGATTTTTGAGTAAGATGAGTTTTAGTGCTAAAACATCCCACGTCGGTAGCTCTTAGAGAAGTACTTAGTGAAAGAAACCACATGCCTTCAAATGCTCATATATATGTATGTAAAGCATACATTGGTATGTGGTTTTGGTTCATTTTCTTCCACTTGTTTCTTTCTCCTGTTTTCTGATTCTCCCCTATAATCCATCCCTCCCTCCCTCCCTCCCTCCATTTGTGCTGCTCACAAACTCAAGGGGCATCACTTACATGGGATAATTTGCCTTTACAGCCACCCACGGCTGCTTTGAGAAAGGAAGTGTTCCCATCACCTGTTTTCCTTTGCTTGGCTGTACCTGTAATGACTGAGCCCCACTGGGTGCGCAGGGCAAGACCAGCCTTCGTGTCTCTTGGCCCAATGGAGGCCCCAGGAGGGGAACGTGTGGTTTGGAGAAGCCGCTTCTTGCACCACTGCTCCTGTAACTGACCTTGGGCTGTGTGGTCTGTCCAGCCTCGGTTCCCTGTCTTTAAGATGCATGTAACAGGACCTCTCGGATTTCTTGGGAGGCATTGGGTGGAATATAGCAGGTAGATTTTGTAGGATAGTAGGTGCTAAGTTCAGGTCAGTTACTTCCCCTTAAATAGAGAAGACTCTAAGTGACATTTGGATAATCTCCTGAGAGCACACTGTAACTTCTATTGGAGGTCATTGCCTTGACCTCCTTATGCCCAGGGGCAGCTGAGTGCCCACTTGCCAAGGTGTGAGCAATGCGCCCTGTTCTGCTGTGAGCCTTCTTGGGACCCTGCATAGAGCCTGTTCCCTTCCACTCACTGCTGGCTGGTGTCTGTGGAACAGCCTTCCCTGGCCTTTTGGCGGCCCTGTCAGGGTCTGGAAATCTGGCTTTGTCTCAGAAATCTGGCTGCGGAAGATTTTCCTTTGTGTACTGTCATAAATGCCTTAAATGTATTAGGGTGCTTTGCAAATCTTTCTCTAATCCGTTTTGACAAATAGCTGAGTAGTATTGGTTTTATGTGAACTTGGCAAAATTTGCTCCCGTTCAGGGTGACTGGGGCATGTGACAATTAGTGGGAGGTGGCAGGATTCTTGAGTGTAGCATTTCTCTGACTCAGCCGACTATTTCCTTTTTCCTGTTGCTTTATTATTTATTGTTGCTATTCTTTCTGCCACCCTCTCCCTCCCTCCTTACAGATGTCTGTCTTTCCAGGACTGTCCTTGTATTTTTTTATCTTCTCTCGCATAGACATCTATGGCAGGTCCATCCTTGAATACCCACTGTTCCTTCCGGTGACTACCATGGTGTGGCAGCTCTAAGGGCAGGGAGCTCATCTCTGCTGAATGCAGCCCATTTTGTGGATGCCATGGCACCTAGAAACCAACTGGATGCAGTTGAATGTGCCTCCCTATGGCCTCCCTGGGCTGGGATTCAGAGCAGGGCTCACTTTTCTTCCATTTGTTGGGACTAATGTGTCTGAAGACACTGCCGGTGCCCCACCTGGTTCCCTCTTTTCCAGGTCAGGCAGCCCAGCTTGCTTTCCCCATCCCTCCTCTAATGCGTTCACAGCCCCCTCATTCCTCTCCTAGGTGATGGTGCTGTGGGCTTTCAGAGCTCAGCTACGATGGACTGTGTCTTAGCACAACAGGCGTGAGGAACTGATGAGGGCATTGGGAACGGTGAGGTGCTGGGGCACATTAGTCCTGGCTCCAGGGAATAGCAGAACTCTGCCCCTAACATTCCATTTACTGGTGGAAAAATAGACCAGCGGGTTCTTGCTGTTCTACTTGCTAGATGATAGATTTTCTTCATCTTGTTTACAAGAAAGAATGTGGTTTCTTAGCCAAGGACTTGATTTCTGGTTCCTGGTGAACAGTTTTCAGAGCACTCTGAGCCTCTTCATTTGTAGAAAGGGAACTTTGAGAAAATGCCCAGCACAGTGCCTGCCTGGGACAGAGCGATTTCAGCAAATGTTTACAGAAATCCCAGTTTAGTTCAAGTTGTGAGCTGAGAATCCTTGCTGTTGGTTTTAGGTTTCCAGCCTCAGGCCTTCAGAACCTTTGGGGGTTGTATCCCTAACCTCAGCCGTACCCTAGAGGCCAGGTCAGCAGAGTGAGTGATAAGCGCACTCGTTCCATCAACCGTGCGGTTAGAAACGTAGAGGTTGTCATTAGAAAGTGCAGTCTTTCTATCCTACTTTTGAATTTCAGGGAGGAGCTTCAGGATTTGTAAAGACTTCATCTATATTGAAGACTGCCCAAGAGTTATGGCTTACCCGGCTGCAGGCAGCATGCCACCTGTATGCAGTACCTGTGCTGTGTCTAAGGAGGAAGGGCGACTTGGTGGTGGGGGCGGGGGAGAGGCAGGACTGCGAGTGCCACCAGAGCTTGAGAGAGCAAAGAGGAACAGAGGAGATGGGGGTGGAGCTGTGCAGAGCAGGGCACATGTGCGGCTCTGTGTGTAGAAAATGAGTCCCGTGTGGCTCTGTGTGTGGAAACTGAGTCCCGTGGGGCTCTGTGCGTGGGGGCTGAGTCCCGTGTGGCTCTGTGCATGGAAACTGAGTCCCGTGCGGCTCTGTGCGTGGAAACTGAGTCCCGTGTGGCTCTGTGTGTGGAAACTGAGTCCCGTGCAGCTCTGTGCGTGGAAACTGAGTCCCGTGCGGCTCTGTGCGTGGGGGCTGAGTCCCGTGTGGCCCTGTGCATGGAAACTGAGTCCCGTGTGGCTCTGTGTGCCTGGGGGATGAGTCCTGTGTGGCTCTGTGTGTGTGGAAACTGAGTCCCGTGTGGCCCTGTGCGTGGAAACTGAGTCCCGTGTGGCTCTGTGTGTGTGGAAACTGAGTCCCGTGCGGCTCTGTGCGTGGGGGCTGAGTCCCGTGCGGCCCTGTGCGTGGAAACTGAGTCCCGTGTGGCTCTGTGCGTGGGGGCTGAGTCCCGTGTGGCCCTGTGCGTGGAAACTGAGTCCCGTGCGGCTCTGTGCGTGGGGGCTGAGTCCCGTGCGGCCCTGTGCGTGGAAACTGAGTCCCGTGCGGCCCTGTGCGTGGAAACTGAGTCCCGTGCGGCTCTGTGCGTGGAAACTGAGTCCCGTGCGGCTCCGTGCGTTGGGGCTGAGTCCCGTGCGGCCCTGTGCGTGGAAACTGAGTCCCGTGCGGCTCCGTGCGTTGGGGCTGAGTCCCGTGCGGCCCTGTGCGTGGAAACTGAGTCCCGTGCGGCCCTGTGTGTGGAAACTGAGTCCCGTGCGGCTCCGTGCGTTGGGGCTGAGTCCCGTGCGGCCCTGTGCGTGGGGGCTGAGTCCCGTGCGGCTCTGTGCGTGGAAACTGAGTCCCGTGCGGCTCCGTGCGTTGGGGCTGAGTCCCGTGCGGCTCCGTGCGTTGGGGCTGAGTCCCGTGCGGCCCTGTGCGTGGGGGCTGAGTCCCGTGCGGCCCTGTGCGTGGGGGCTGAGTCCCGTGCGGCCCTGTGCGTGGGGGCTGAGTCCCGTGCGGCTCTGTTTGTGGGGGTTGAGTCCCGTGCGGCTCCGTGCGTGGGGGCTGAGTCCCGTGCGGCTCTGTGTGCGTGGGGGCCGAGTCCCGTGCGGCTCTGTGTGCGTGGGGGCCGAGTCCCACGCTGCTCTGTTTGCGTGGAAACTGAGTCCTGTGCGGCTCTGTGCGTGGGGGCTGAGTCCCGTGTGGCTCTGTGTGCGTGGGGGCTGAGTCCCTTGTGGCTCCGTGCGTGGAAACTGAGTCCCGTGTGGCTCTGTGCGTGGGGGCTGAGTCCCGTGCGGCTCTGCGTGGAAACCGAATCCCATGCGGCTCTGTGTGTGGGGGCTGAGGCTGAGTCCCATGCGGCTCTGTGTGTGGAAACTGAGTCCCCTGTGGCTCTGTGTGTGGAGACTGCATCCTGTGCGACTCTATGTGTGGGGCTGAGTCCTGTGTGCCAGTCTTCCCATTGCCATCTCAGGGATCCTCAGGGCAGCCTGGTGAGGACAGTGAGGGCACGGGATTGCAGCTAACACACAGAGCTGTGCAGTGAGGCAGGCAGGAGCTTGCTTGGGAGAGAGGCAGGGGAGTCGAGGGGCACCTGGCACCTTATCTGGGCCAGCTGGCCTGGGTTCGAGTCCCAGCTCTGCCCATTGGCAGCCATGTGACCTTGGATGCTTCACTCAACCCTCCTGTGCCCGAATTTCTCCATCGATAAAAGGAAGATGTTGGTAATCGTATTACCCACCTCATGGGTTCTTATAAAGATGGAAAGAATAAGAATCAATCATGTTCCGAGCTTGAGACACAGCTGGCTGATTTTAAGTGTATGTTATGGTTAAAGTGAGGGAGTCGAGCTTGGACTGTGGACCACCTGACTGCATTGCTGTCCCTCTAAAGGTCATGATTGGGTGGTAACTGAACTTCAGCTTCTCCTGGATTCATAATCTTATTTCATTTCATAAAGTACAATCATACAGTCAACATGACTTTAGAATATTGGAGGAAACTTTCTATGTTCCTCAAGTACCATTTAATTAAAGAAAAAAAAAAGAATTTTGGATGAAACTAATATAACCCTGGGGTGGGCAAGTCTGTTGGGGGCATGGGAGGGGCTATGATGGAGCAGGGCAGGACACGACCCGGCCCTGTCCCCTCTGGTGGATTGGGCCCCACCTGTCCCTTTCCAGGCCCAGAGTTGAGCAGTTGGTTGAGTGGGTGGGTGGGTACCGTTTGAAAGAGCGAGTGGGGGCTGGTTGCGGGATGGACCTGAGTGGCTAGGATGGGTCCTTTGAGGAGGTGGCCCTGCCAGGCGGCTGCTTTACGTCAACGGCCAGTGAAGCTGGGGCTGCAGACCTGGAGGGCTTCCCAGCCCCGCCCCCGAGTTATCCTCAGAGCAGGCCTTGCTGCTCTTTCCAAAGGGTGTCTGCAGACCGTTAGACAGTTGCTTGGCCAATGTTCAACAGTGTGCAGGAAAATGCTTAGAAAGCCAGGAACGAATGGTTTCTGAAGTATTCACCATCATTCAATTCCACAGTGTCCCTTTATGAGTTTAGCTAATGGGGAGTTGACTTCTCTGTGTAGATATTCTGAGCCCGATTGCTTAGGTGATGGCATTCTTGGCAGGGAAGCCGCTAGCCTGTTTTTCGGAGTAGATGTTGTCCTGTGCTTCCTTCCCATGTGGGACTGCCATGCAGGTTGAAGACGGTTTTGTGCTTTTCTCTGCAAATGGCTGTTCTTTGGACTGTGTGAGGTGATTCTGCGTAGCCTCTCCCTTCTTCCAGGATTCTGAATCTGGATTGATTTTGTTGATGAAGCTTTCTGAGATGCATTGCTGAAAAGAGTAGTTGAAGAATGTGTCTGGAGAAAGCATATGGGTGCATTTCACAACTGTGCTGTTTCATAAAAGCGTTTCAAGTACAGTCTTCCCGAACCTGGAGGATTCGCAACTGGCCTATAAACAGACTCCAGTATTTCAAGGTTGAGGAAGACGTTGGCAAATTGATCTGTAAAATTATATAAGAGCTCTCTCTTTTCTTTTACCTGAGTTAAAGCTGAGTTGCCCAAGCCAGAACCTGGTGCTGTTCTGACCCCCTCCTGGCTCCCTGATCCATCCACTGTGTCGCCAAGGCCTGTGATTCTACCTTCTAAGTGTTTTCCACATGGCTCCTTTCCTCCCGCTGTGGTCACTGCCTTCAATTCTCAACATTTCTTGCCTGGACTTTTGCAACAGCCTCTGAACAGACTGCCCTGCCTCCAGCCTCTGCCGTCTCTCCCCTCCTCATATCCTTCCCTGCGCCTTCCAAACTCCTGGTCTAGGACCTCGTTCTGAGAACCGCCTTACCACCTAGTGGCAGGGCTGACCTGTCACTGCGTAGCTTTGAAGGTCAACGCCAAACTTACCTGTGTGGCCTGGACGGGGTCTCTGTCTCCAGCCCCCATTTCACTCAGTTCCTCCGGGGACACTCGAAGCCCTCCCCCTTCCCACTGTGCTGCCTGGAGCATGGCTTTCTCTGTCCTGCAGCACAAATGTCAGCTGCCCAGGTGAGCCCTTTTCTGGGCTCATCGCAATTTGTCAAAACGTGTGACAGGGATGAATAGCTCCATGCACCCAGGAGCAAGGCGTGCCACATCTCTTCATTTTTCTTGAGAAATAAATCTCCTTTGATCCCTGACTCACTGAGAAAGATGGGGTGGCTGATATCAGTCATCTGGGGACTGTCCTCCCCAGGCACGTTTCCGAGGACTTGTCACTCAGTCACACCTGGCCCCACTCCCCAGGGCTTCGTTGGCCATGGGTCCTGCTTGCCTGGTGCTGAGATCTTCTTCAAGGTCTGCTGAAGTCATCTCCTGTTGGGGTGGCCCTGGGACTCCACTCTGCTGCACACAGCTCAGGCCTCCAGGGGTCTTCCTCAGCCCCCTCCTCACTACTCCTGAGGTCTTTGCCCTCCCCTGGGTGGGTCCCTCTTCTCCTCCCACCCCTGAGCACTCAGCCTCCTCCTCACCCCCACGTGGATCTGCTCGATCTAGGTTTAGAGCTCTGGTTTTAAGCATCGATATGTTTAAGCATTATCTGGGGAGCTTGTTAAAAATACGGATTCCTGGACTCCACCCCAAGAGATTCTGACTCAGAAGCTTAGATGATGCCTGGCAGTGAACGTGTGTTTTAGCAAGAATGGCGGGCTCCTTGACACGGTTGTTCTGTAGTTTGGACAGTGAGTAGCACTCGCCCAGACCTTAAAAACAAAGGCTTTTTCGGGGCTTGTTTTTAGGGCTCCCCCGACTTCTTCCTGTGGACCCAGGAACACAGAAGATCATTTTGCTACAGAGTCCGCATAAGCCCTCTGCCCTCCAGCCCTGCATTCACAGCTAGCCTGGGAGCTCCTCGAGGGCAGGGCGTGGCTTCATTCCTCCTGCACAACTCCTGGTACCTCGCACTGGGTCCGTGGCCAGATGTGGGCAGGAGCAGTCTCGGGGACAACAGACACAGCCCGCTGAGGAAGGCACCCAACCCTGGGCTTGGCTTTCCTTTCCTTTCTGGCATGGGGCTCAGGTGTCCAGAGGCGGGAGGATTCCGAGGGTCTCTGGTGGCTGCCTTCTCCAGATTTGGGCTTGGACTGGGCACAGCTGGGAATCAGTTATGTTTTGTTTTGTTTTGAATTGGCATAGTGACCGTCTTAGGCAGAAGGCAGGCTGCCGCAGGGCCTCCACGCTCAGGCGCTGCCTGGCGATGGCTTCTCCGTGGAGGAGAGGGAACTGCTCTGAAGCAAGCCCAGCACCGCAGTCCTGGCCAGACCCGTGGGCAGATCCCTGGAGTCCTGTCCCCACACTACCCTTGGAGCTGCCTTCCGAGTGTAAGTTACAGTTTCAGTCACAGCCTCAGAGGTGGCAAGTCACTGACTAGGAAGAGAGTTGAAATGAACAGAATTCTGAGTAAGAGTAATACTAAGAGTTACAATTTTATGTTCCAGTGAGGTAGAAAATCTTTTACGTCGACTGAAGGCTAGATCTCCTTTCATGTGGAATCTCTTTGTGAAAGAACAGCATTTTCTGAGTTCACGCCTAGGTCTTGGTTAGAATCAACAGGGTAATGGTGGCAAGGGAGAGGTTTGTGAAAATATTCTCAGACTGCACTTGTGAATTATGAATGCGACTGCTAACATTGCTTTAGCAGTTCAGTGACACCTATCTTTGCAAAATGTACTTTCACTTGTAAGGGCCAAATAATTCTAATAGAAACATTTTTTGGTATGTAATTATGTAGATGTAGAGTGATACACTTTTTTTTTGCTGTGCACTTAAAAATTATCAAAGTAATGTTTGGAACGTCTGGAAACTCTACTTCTGATCACTGGTCAGTTTCACGCGTGTGTGTGTCTGTGTTGTATTGTTTTTAGTGTGTGCACACAGGCCTGCAGCCTTAGCAGTTACTGGAAGAGTGGTCTATCTCATTTATTTTAAAACCAGCATCACCCGTTCCACCTGTCACATGTGGTGGTGGAATTTGAGAAGAACGGGGACAGTTTGATCAGGATAGTGAAGCTGCCCAGGGGCATAGCCTGTGAATGCTAATTCACTTTCTGTAAACAACCTCTGCAGTGTTTGGTGTTTGCATGTATGAGATCAGCCGTCAGTTTTCGCTCAGATCCAGCTCCTGCTGCTGTCTAACTGAGATGAGCAAGCCTCACTTCAGACGTCGTGTGTAACCCAGCTACTTCATTTGTTCATTCTCATCTTTTGCTTTTCTGGAAGGTTTCAGCCAGAGGCTGGGGCCCCGCATTCTGGCTGGCTGATTGGAAATCACGCACATGTAAGGATTGTCCAGCAGCTTTCCTGGGGCCCCTGGTGACAGCTTGCATGCCATGAGAACTGGCACAGACTGTGAGTCACCCACTGTCCTTCCTGAGCTTTGACTTAAGGTAACATGGGCAGACCAATGCATTGTTTCTTTTTCTTTTAAAACAATTTTTTAGAGATGAGGCTTCACTATGTTGCCCAGGCTAGACTTGAACTCCTCACTTCAAGCGATCCTCCCACCTCCCCTCTGTAGTAGCTGGGACGACAACTACTACCCCCAGTGCACCTGGCTTGACACATTCTTTTTAGTCTTTTGAAACTCTTGTACTTTCCAAGATGTGCCTGGAGAGATATTTTCCTCTTAAGTTTAAGACTATAGTTTTCTACTGATTTCCTTTGTTTTCCTGTCCCAGGGCAGAATATTTTGTTCCTGTCGATGGACTGCAGATGGTGCCCACTCCGCCTCCCCTGCCAGTCTGTCCTGGACTCTCTATCCGTTTTCCTTAGTCTCAGTTCCTCCTTTACCCTCCTCCCCCCTCGGCTTGACTCTTCTCCCTGCTTCCCTCCCCTGTTGGGATTCTGGCCTAGTGGGAGATGGTTTCATCTGAGCATCTGAAAATATGGGGCTTCTTGGTCTTTATATGCACATCTGAGCATGCTACTGAAGGCAGAGGAAGGGAGATCTCTTAGGGAGTCAGCACATGCAAAATGCTGTGCCTTCAGACTGCCTCTGCTACCTCTTACAAGGAGCCTCACACCGCAGGCTGCCCTTTAGCTGTTCCCTTGGAATGCAGCCTTGTTAAGTCACTGCCAGCGTTTCCCCTCTTGGCGTCCCTTTCTCTTACCTAAGTTGTTAACTCCAGACTTCGCTGCTTTCTTAAAGGCTAAAGTAATGGGCAGAGTAAAACCCTGAAATGTTTAGAAGCTATGCAGTATTATATTGTAAACCTGTAAAAATTCTTAACAAAGTTAGTGGCTTGGAAAGATTTTCATGAGAACTTCAGCTAAAAGGCAGTAAAGTAAATGCCTTAAAATAACTAAACTTTGGCTTATAACAAGGCCATTGTTTGGCAGTGTCCACTTTTTAAAGACTTTCCAGAACTTGGAGGAGGAAATGATCCTGAGACAAAGTAGTGATTTAAAAAATGAAGACAGTAAATTAACATTGACATTATTCGCCAACAATTGATTTCTTGTCTTCCAACTTTTTACCCTGCATTCTGAATAAATTGGACCATGTGAGGAACTAGAAGATTAACTTTAGGGTTTTTGTTTGATTGAAATTGGTTTTGCAGAAGTGGAAATTTGGCAGCATGTATGGAAACCAGTAAATCAGTTTACAGTGTTCTGTGCTTCTTAGTTTATGAAACCCACAAGAATGAGGAAAGGCTGCATGTCTTTGAATGCGAGAGGGCTGAACTAATGTAGGGTTTGCCTTTTCTGGAAGTTTATTTTTACCCTTATTAATTTAGTAGCTTGTAGAGCAGCATGTCCAAACTTTAACTAGTTAATAGTGGCTCCCAAGCTGAGCAAGATTTCAATGCCAATGGTTATTTTTCAGTGGTCTCATAGAGAAAATACTGGGAAATATTCTAAGAATGGTGTAAAATGAAGAGGAACTTGGTAATTTTTTAAAACACTGGCTCAATGAAATGTAAGCAGCTGGCTTACACACAGTGACAATCTTTACAATCAGATATTGTGCTCTGAACTAGTGCTCTGATGAGGTAGTAGAAGCATGTCTCTATTTTCAATTAAAATGATCCGTTAATGTGGGAATATTTGGAGCATCTGTGTCTTTTCAAATGAACCGGGGTAGATGATCTTTTTTTTTTTTTCCTGAGGGGAAGCCCATTTGCGTGGTGGCTTCTGCTGGTAGCATCCGTGCCTGTTTCCCAGCCTGCTGGGGCCCTAGCGAGCTGTCCGACGTCATGTGCTCACACTTGGAGTCAGTCTGAGTCGGCAGTGTGGGAGTTCCTTCCAGAGAGATGTGTTCTTTTCATCTTGAATGGTTCATAGGTTTCTGCAGCAGGCATGGTCTCATTCTCAAACTCAGTGTCCTCACAGCCTTCTTCGACCCCTTCCTCCTGGTATCCCCTTGGATGTTCTGTCCTCCATCCTCCCATGTGGCCCTGTCCGTCACCTGACATCCATGTTAACATGCTTATGGGTATCACTCGAATAGCTGCCTTCACAGCAGGCTCTTGCTGCTGTGGATTTGAACAAGTATTTGTAGAGGAGTCAAGGCAGGCTACCTTGATCTGCAAACACACCAGGGCTGTCTAGAGCCGTGTCACTGGACCGCTGTGCTGGTGTCTCCTGGGGGCTTGCTAGAAATGTGGAGGCTGGGCATGGTGGCTCACATCTGACATCTTAGCACTTTGAGAGGCCAAGGTGGGATGATCTCTTGATCCCAGGAGTTTGAGACCAGGCTGGGCAACACAGCAAGATCCTGATTGTACAAAAATTTTAAAAATTAGCTGGGCCTGGTGGCGTGCCTACCTGTGATCACAGCTGCATGGGAGGCTGAGGTGGGAGGATCACTTGCACCCAGGAAGCAGAGCCTGCTATGAGCTGTGATGGCTTCACTGTAATCTAGCCTGGGTGACTCTGTCTCTTAAAAAAAAAAAAAGAAAAGGAAAAAAAGAAAAGGAAATGTAGAACCTTGGGGCTCACTACAGATGTGTAGAGTCTGAATTGGCCGGGTCGAGAGGGCAAAGTATGCTCGTTCCAGGCCTATTTGCATTACCGCGTACAAGTGTATCACAGCACTGGAAGCCAAGGCAAAGGTACTTTAGCAGTAGAATGTGTTTTCATTAAGTTATTTCAGAGTACTGGATCCAGGACTTTATTTGCAAAGTTTATGCGTAGATGATACAGATGGGGTGAGTTCTGTTTGGCTAGAGCGGAATGCAGTTAGCTGCTTTCTGCTTTCTGGACCCTGCATGGTTGTGCTGCGAGGGATCCTTCCTCAGGGCGTCGGCAGGTTCCACTGGGAGGCTAGAACTCTGCAGGAGCGGAGACCACAGCCAGCACTAAAGAAGTGATCTCTGACAGAAGGGAAGAGAAAATGTATTTCAAATAATGAGACTAAGTATTGTTTTTAGAAATTAAAAAGTTATACATGTGATATGTATGTGTGTGTGTATTTAAATACCACAACCCAGAGTGTGTTTGTGTACATATGTATTTGGATATTATCTGTGTATATATGCATACATGTGTACATATTGCATTTGAAATGTGTGAAAGTACACAGTGACTACTACTATGGGGGATTTACAGAGGAAAGATCAAACATAGTTTAATGGAGGAGAACGACCAATAATATATGTTTATTATTGGCTCAGTTTACCTAAACAACAACTAAACACATACACCAGTGAGCAGTAAACATTTTGCCATTCAGAAATGCTGGGAAATAGGGTGTCATGATTTTTAAACCATTCTAGTTAATATAGAACTGTCCTATTATACCATTGACACTTAAATAATGAGACTCTAATGAGGGTTAGCTAAGACTCAAGTGACTGTAACCAAAATGATTTCTTGCTGCTGATGTAGACGACTGTAGGATCGTCCATTTCTTTGGCATCGTGACGTTAGGCGTTCAGTGCCTGTGTGAAAGCGAAGGGTGGAGAGGGACCCTCTGAGCCTGTAGAAGGCCCATTTCCCAATTCCCACTGGGGGGCTTCCAGCGCACTTTCTGGGTACTTAGTTCACGAGGTCTTTTTGAGTCTGCCGAAGGAGATCTTAGCTACCAATGAAGACCAAAGAGTCCGGGTCGAAGGCCTCTTCTCAGTGTTCTTCCCCTTGTGATGTCCTCAGCATCTGACACAGGGCCTGGCATGTTCACTATCTGATAAGCCCCTGTTGCGTGAAGTCCTTGAATGCCGATAGCGTTCCCTGAGGTTGGCCTTGTCCTGTCTTCCTGTAGATGGCTCTGGAATTTTTGACGCGCAGGAGGTGGGGCCTCTGAACTTTGCTGCCTGAGCACTTGAGCCAAGAGAGTGTTAGTTGACATTAGGCACATAGACTGCTTTTGCTTTGACTGACAGATCTTGGTTGAAGGGAGAGGGTGGGAAAAGCTGAACCAGCCCTGGTACAGGGACTGCTCCCAGCAAGTCAGTTTCCACCCCACCCTCCTGTTCAGTGCTTTTTTTTTTTTTTTTTTTTTTTTAAGACGGAGTCTTGCTTTGCCAGGCTGGAGTGCAGTGGCACAATCTCGGCTCACTTCAACCTCCGCCTCCCAAGTTCAAGTGATTCTCCTGCCTCAGCCTCCCGAGGAGCTGGGACTACAGGTGCATGCCACCATGCCTAGCTAATTTTTGTATTTTTAGTAGAGATGGGGTTTCACCGTGTTAGCCAGGATGGTCTCGATCTCTTGACCTCGTGATCCACCCGCCTCAGCCTCCCAAAGTGCTGGGATTACAGGCGTGAGCCACCACACCTGGCCCTCAGTGCTGACTTTGAGGGATGCTCCTGACCTGTGTGTGGCAGCTGCTCGGGGTCTGGGTTGCCTTGGTCCAGGTAGAAATCCCCTAGAGGGTTGTCGTGGGACTCAGGTCTTTGAAGAGACTGGACACTTGAACTGTGCCCCAGCAATGGCCGGAGTTGGTGCTCTGTGCTCCAGAAGAGGGGACTTGCCGGGTGGCCATCGCCATTCCTTGTTCGTTCCCGGCAAGCAAAATTGGACCACTTTACTGTTGCATCTGGTTTGAAGAGACTTTCATTTCTATTTGGGGAGAAGAACACTCAAACACAGCGAGACAGCTGCCAGACGGTGCCTGGCTTTCGCCTCTGTCTCGCTCCTCCTGGCCGCGTTAGTGTCCCTGGGTATCACCCCATGCCGCGTGCTCCGTATGTGTTCCTCGAATCTGAAAGGCGCTGATGAAATGCTTGCTGCAGCTTTGTTAGGACACAGGCGGTCATGCTTTAGGCTGCTGCGGGGACAGAGGCATTATGCAGCCTGTAGGAGCCATGGCCAGTGCATGGTCACTCTGCATGGCAGCCTTGTAGACCCAGCTGGGACACTTCAGGGACAGCTGGAGACCTCCTGTTGCTCTTGACTGGGGTTACCATGACCGCTAGCTCTTCACTGAGGCCAGACCCAGTGAGTGCAGATTCCTGGTGCTGGCCGATGAGGCCCTAGGAAAGACGCACCTATGGTCAGTCTGTCTTGGCTTCAATTTACTCAGAATAATGTAGTCCTGTGAGAGAGAGAGAAGCTAGGGAGCTGTGGTGCATCAGCTAGTAAAGATGTTAGAAAATTGTCAAAACAAAAACGATGTGGCATTTACAGGTTGAATGCATGAATGAATGCACACGTGCATTTTATGATGTGACACTGTCCCTGATGCAAAAATCAGGTGGGTTACTGCATCTGTGGTGATGGGGTGGGTCCATCTGCAATGTTTCTGAAAAAAACATCATAAAGCAAGGTTGGTTTTGGGAAGGGTGCCTTTCTTTTCTATTTCATATGTCACCAGCTGCTCCGTGTGTTTTCTGTCCCATTATGATTTTCCTGAGATGGCTCTTCACTCTGTCTCTGGGCCTCCTTGTGTTTAATTTATTTGTTTTTGAGACAGGGTCTCACTTTGTTGCCCAGGCTGGAGTGCAGTGGTGTGATCATAGCTCACTGCAGCCTCAAACTCCTGGGCTCAAGAGATCCTCCCGCCTCAGCTTCCTGAGCAGATAGGACTATAGGTGCGCACCACCACATCCGGCTAATATTTTCTTTTTTATAGAGACAGGATCTTGCTATATTGCTCAGGCTTGTCTTGAACTTAAGCTATCCTCCCACCTTGGCCTCTCAAAGTGCTGGAATTCCAGGTGTGAGCTGCCGGACCCAGCCCCTTGTGTTTTAAATGGCTCTGCTTCCCAGGACCCAGCCACCAGCTGGAGTGAGTCCTGCTCCCCAGAAAGGCCAGAAGCCTGCGGCCAGGCTTCTCTTCAACTTTTGCCCAAACAAATTTCCCATCTTCCTTTACCTTAGAGAGTGAGAACACCGTAAAGATGAAGAATAAGCGCGCCTGCTTCCCTTCAGGGTTTTCCATCCTCCAGCCCCTCATGCAGTCCTGTCCTGGTGCAAGGGAGGTGGTGCCTGTCCCTTTTCAGGAGTTCCACCCACTCTGCCTCTTCTTGCTCTGCTTCTTAGGGGCCCATGGCTCACAGCTGTGTCTGGGACGTGTCATTCAGGAGGTGGTTTAGGGTTAGTGAGATCGGCAGCCCCACAGGACCCTGCTGTTGGAAACCCACGTGTGGATGCCCCGATGCCTGGTGCCATAGGGTATGGCGTGTGAGGAGCTCAGCCAGTGCCTTCTCTTCTCTCCTCAGCGAGCGGCTGTGCTTGCTGGCTCTCCTCGGTGGCTTCCTCTTGAATGAACCTTTCTTCTGAAGGCTTGATTTCCTTCCGGGAGGCTTAGTGTTTCTGCTCAGCCTTCTTTCTTGGAGGCCTGGGCTTGATGTTGAGTTGTGTTTGGTGAGGTTATGGAAAAAGCCTGTGTTTACTAAAACAGAGGGAGGAGGCCTGGATGGGGCATCAGGTCTGTCTTTGTGCTGTAACCTGGAGCCGTTGATCTCTTGGCTGGACCTGGGGAGGGGTCGGCCAGTGACCCCTCCAGTTCCCTGCTGGCCCCTACACAGGGGATGCTAAGCAGCAGGTCAGTGTCTATTTTCACAGCTAGAGAGTTAAAGTTATGCTGAAAGGAAGAGGTGAATTTGTTGCAGTTCTCTGCCTCGTGTCATGGAACTGCTGTTTTTAGTTTTTCTTGGCTTGGGTGTGAGAATCCTGCTGCCTGCGAGGCTAAGCATGAGGGAGAAAGCGTGGAGACGATGATCACGTTTGCTGAGTGATTGATGAAGAAGTGGGAATATATCATACAGTCCTGAATGTAGATTTCAGGGGAGTGTGACAGGTTTCTGTAATGAATAAAGTTTTTCTTTTGTACTCTTTTAAGTAATTGTATTGATTTAAATATTTTCAAATATCACTGTTATTAAAAGTAGTCCCTTTGGAATGTAAAATAGACACAATGTTGGGTAGCAGGAACTGTGTATGTGTTGAATTATTATTTTCAACAGAGCTTAAAGTCTTGATTAAAATAGTTAAAAATCATCAGTTTAAAAATGGAGTATCTTAAAGAGCTGGGCATGGTGGTGTGCACATGTAGTCCTAGCTACTGGGGAGGCTGAGGCAGGAGGATCATTTGAGTCCAGGAGTTTGAGGCTGCAGTGAGCTATGATTGTGCCTGTGAGCAGCCTCTGCACTGTAGTCTGGATACCATAGCAAGACCCTGTTTCAAAAAAAAAAAAAAATCCAGAAGAAATTTTGAAACAGGTTGCCAGGAAATTGGATTGGCATTTTGTTTTAGAATTAGAGCCTGGTCTTTTGACCCATACAGGTTTTGTCACTTTAGTTGGGAAGGAAAGATTTATTGATACTAATGGAAAATTAAAAATGAGTCACAAATTCTTACTTTGGAAATTCTCTTAGGGAGCTTTTTTGTTTTTAACCTTGAACTGTAGATAAGTAGATGCCAGAGAAGTGGCAAGGATATTTGACAAAAGTAATAACTACTGAGTGACATTTTAAGCACTGACTCAGGTTCACTGGTAAAATGAAATCAGTGCTGGAGAAGTTGTGTGTTCATTCTTTTGGGGTAGAACATGAAGCCAAATATCTTCAACCTATTTTGAAATTCAGAGCTATGGGCTCTACTCTGAAGGCTTGAATAAGTTCGGTTGCTGTGGCCTTTTTGTGACTAGACATTGGCAAATCATAGTTCTATTACTTTGGCTCACTTAAAAAAATGTTAATAGCACAACAAGCTGACTGTAGTCAATAATAACTTAATTATATATTTTAAAATTGAAGAGTGTAATTGATTGTTTGTAACTCAAAGGATAAATGCTTAACAGGATGGATACCCCATTCTGCATGATTTACTTATTTCATATTATATGCCTGTATCAAAACATCTCATGTACCCTGTAAATACATATACCTACTATGTGCACACAAAAATTAAGAATAAAAAAAATGTTAAAGGCCTCCCATGTGCCACATACTCTGCAAAGTGTTAGGGATGCCAGGATGACGGGGATGTGGTTTTTGCCCACAAGGAGCTAAAAGTTGAGTAGGAGAATGAATTTCCACTTTTGGTAGATGAGGCAGGGCAGAGGCCTGCTCTAATGTACAGATGTGTATGCGTTTAGTATATGCATATATGCTTTATATTATGTAACCCATATTTAATTACTAAGTTATTTTATTTATTTATTTATTTTGAGATAGGGTCTTATTCTGTCGCCCATGCTGGAGTGCAGTGGGTCGATCTTGGCTCACTGCAACCTCAGCCTCTTGGGTTCAAGTGGTTCTCATGCCTCAGCCTCCCGAGTAGCTGGAACTACAGGTGTGCACCACCACGCTCAGCTAATTTTTGTATTTCTTGGTAAAGATGGGGTTTCACTGTGTTGGCCAGGCTGGTCTTGAATTCCTGGCATCCTGATCCACCCGCCTCGGCCTCACAAAGTACAGGAATTACAGACATGAGCCACCGTACCTGGCCTAATTACTAAGTTACATTTATCAGTTTTCTGTTGCTGTGTAACAAATTATTATAAACTTAGGAGCTGAAAACAGTACTCATTTGTTATCTCACAGTTTCCAAGGCTCCACAGTCAGGCATGGCTTAGTTGGTTCTCTGGTCAGGCTGTAGTCAAGGTGTTGGCCAGGCTGTGTTCCCATCTGCAGGTTTGAGTATGGAAGAATCCACCTCCAGGCTCATTCATGTTGCTGGCAGAATTCATTGACTTGTAACTGCAGGACTGATGTCCCTGTTCCCTTGCTGCTTGTCAGCTAGGGGCTGCTCTCAGGTCCTGGGGAGCCCTTGTAGTGCTTTGCCAAGTGGCCCCTCACAGGCCCCATCATGAGGTGGCAGCTCGCTTCTCCAAGCCAGCAAGGGAGTCTGTCACTCCCTCGTTGCGGACTCCTATGTAGGTCGCCTGGTGTGGGGAGAAGCATTCTTTGTGGTATTCGGTTGGGTAGAAGCCAATCACAGCTTCCACCTACACTCAAGGGGAGGGAGTTGTACAGGGTGTAAGCAATTTGGGGAGTCACCTTAGAATTCTGCCCACCACAGTACCTTTCTGGTTATTTCATGGACTTCCGTTCCCAAGAAATCTGAGCGTTTGCGTCCTAGGAAGACTGGTGAGAGCAGCCCCAGTGGAGGAATAAAAACTAAGATCTGGAAAATCAGCAGTGGGTTGTTTTCATCTCTCAGCAGGCAGGAAACAGGAGGAGAAAGGAATGTCTGTAGGCTCCCAACACTGATGGGAAGGAGGTGTTTGGCTGGGGTAGAGCTCCGCAGGAATCTCCCAGGCTCCTCTAGCTAGGTGCAGCCGTGTTTTATCCGGCTGTCTTTACATGGGCTGATCACTCAGGAGTGGCATATGGCAGGAGCACGCTTTGGGGTACGAGCCTCCTGGAGAATGAACTGCAGCACACAAGCCAGACAGATGGTGGCTTAGTCCCCCTTGGACAAGAGTGTGTCCTGCACACTGGAGGGCGGGGTGCTGAGAGGCGCTTGTGGTGTCTGAGGCCGAGCTTTGCTGAGTTCACCTGAAACTGCTTTGGAGCTCGAGGCGGTCACCCGAGGATACCCGGCGCTCCACCTGGGACGGTGCGATGCCCACAGAGCATGCTCACTCAGTTGGGATGGGGATGCCAGTGACAGGTTGTATGGAATGGACAAAATCTGAAGCACCAGCTGGGAGGACACTCTCCTAACAGGATGGTGGGCAGGTAAAGGCAGCCTTGCAGGCAGAGTCACGAACGTTACCATCCCAGCAGTGTCACTGCTAGAGGGCTTGCCTCTTCCATGAAATCAGACATGTATTTCAGCAGAGGAATCACTGGGGCCTGCCCGTCTTAGGTGGGCCCATGTTGTCTTGAGACTGGATTGTCGTGAAAGAAGATGGTCTTTTCACAGCTTTTAGAGTGTGTATGAATTTTAAGAAGACCAGTCCAACAGGGATACTATCTGTTATTTGGCCTCTCATCAAAGAGGAGGCCCGTGCCTCTGCAGGAACAAGCGTGTGTCCTTTAACAGATGAGGACTCGGTGCCCCTGTGACTGAGTGGAGGCAGAGGGGGATTTTGTCCCAGTTTGGTAATTCTGTGCTGTAATTCTTCTCTCTTCCTTCCCTTTATTACTTGATGCCTATTATTGCATTTTTATTGTATTCATTTTGATATTTATGCCTCTTCTCGTGACAGCCCTCAAATATTTAACTGTTTTTGAAACTTGAGAGGGGGACACACAAAAAGAAACATGGCTCACAGAAGTTCTTCATCTTTCTTTCTAGCGGTTCAAGCTCTACGTTCGTGACATCAAACCTCCTGTTGGGCCATTTCCGAGAACTCCCATCAGTTTCTGTATAGTGTAAAAGGTAAGTGGAATTACTTGTGACTGTTCTTTGTGATGATGTCTGGGAAGCAGAGCTTGTCGCGGCAGGAGCTGCTCTGCAGTGGTGGACCTGTCTGGCTGCGTTTGTTTTGACAAGGGTGTGCCTCATTTGTGTGTTTCTTCTTTGGGGCTGGATGTTAATGGCTGGGGCTTGGGTATCTATTCACAGTAGAAGCTTGGGTGACACCTGTGTGTTTTCAGAGCCAGCCCTGGTGGGGGACAGTCAGTGGCAGAGCTGGGAGATGCCCAGAGCCCCCTACCTGGCATGCCAGCTTCAGCCTCTGGCCTCAGGATGCCCTGCTCCGCTCGAGACGCCATGTTTTCTCAGTTCATCTGTGATTTTAGTGATGCTTATTCTGTCTCATTGTCAGGCTTCACTTGATGTCAAAGAACATGAAGTGAAGAAATACATGAGAATTTTCAGGAAGGTAAGACATTCTATAAAATATAAGGTCCATTTTTTTCCCTATATTTTTAATGTGCCTGGTGGTGGGACTCATTGCTTATGGGAAATCCCTTTCTAGAATGTAAGCCTTATGAGGGCAAGGACCTCCCTCTCTCCCGCTTGTCTTCCTTCCTTCCATTTATTTTTTCTTCAGGGTCTAGAACAGTGCCTGCAGTGTCAGGAGCTCGATAAAACTTTTGGCAAATGAAACAACTTGATGAGGAATCCCCCCTGAAGCTCTTGGAGCATAACCCAGCCTTTTCCTTTCTGGTTGCTGTTGGCAGCAGAGGAGGCACCTGGAGAATCCAGGAGGATTTGTGGTGCTTCCTTGCTGAGGCACACAGACCCTGGAATGTAAATGGACTTTTTACAGTTGGGTGCAAAGCAGTATGCATGGCAGAGCAAACCACGCCTGGGTTCTGTGTGGGGGCAGCTCCTCCACTGCTGAGCTCGTGTGTTTCTCTCCTCTCTCCTGAGTGAATTTCATGCCCAATCGATTGGCTCTCGGGAAGCTGGGGTGGAAAGAGCTCACGGGGAACACCCAGACCGCACGCCTTGTGGATGTTCAGTGACTGACTAAATGCTTGTTATTCACACGATCCCTTTATTAACCTGACAGAACAGCACGGTGTTTGAAAATCCCTGCTCTTCGCTGGCTTGGTGGGTGTGGAGGAGCTGTTTTTCTTCCATCGTTTGGCACACCCACCGCCAGTTTGAAGTGGGCGGCGGCAGCGCCTCTCTACCAGGGCTGACAAAAGCGTGGGTGCAGTTTCATTTCTCTTTTATTGTCTCAAATACAGTTGCCATTGAATTGACCCACCAAAAACTAGCACTGTCTTCAAGTAGAATTTTACTAGGTAGCGGAACACACCACTGGACTATGCCCCCGAAGACTGAAACTTGAGTTACAACATTTCAGCAAAAGTAAAAATAATTCTTGCAAATGACATAAGTATCTGATTTTCCCCCTTATGTGGGGTTACCTCACTCATCAATTAGTTTAAGCAACTTTCAAAATTGGTAATGGAAAACTTTGTCTTGACTGTACTGGTATATGTGGATTTTAAATTAAATACAGAGCTACGTTGCTTCTCCTGATAATCAGAGCAGCTAAAGAAGAAATCACTATCTCTGCAGAACTGCGTGGCGCTTCATCGTCATGGGCAATTTTCAAGCACAGACTTAGATTGCGAGGCGTCGTAAGAACTTTCACACCTCTAAAATAGGTTCTTACAGCTGACTGTCCTGGAATTTATATTTGCTCTGTTACTTGCAAAATTTTGTCCCTTAAGCAGCTCACAGCTGGACTGTGAGACATTCCTAAGAGCTGATAAAATGGACAGGTGGTATTGCCTTCTTCTGCTTTCTGTCTGCTTGCCTGGGAGGGCCCAAGGAGGCCTAGAGCTTTGCGTTAACTGCAGGATGTGCCTGTCTCCTTGTACAGTGGATTTATTTGGACTTGGTTTTAAAATGCAGCCTGGTCCCCGTGTTTAGGTTGTTATTAAATGCACTTTTGAGTTTTTCCCTCCTCGATGAATCTGAAAACATATGCCCTTGCCATATGGCGTTTGTGTGGGGAACTCAGAAGCCACAGACCTTGGGTTGAGTTCTGGCGTGGTAACTTTCATTCACTTTGTTACCTTGGCAAGTCCTAACCCTCTATGAGTCTCAGCTTTTCTCATCTTTAAATGGGATAATATTTATCTCATGGAATTACTTTGAAGATGCCTAATTCAGCATTCCATGCACAGTCGTCACTCAACAACATGTTGGCTGTTATTTTCCACCCTAATGCTGGCTTTCTGCTGTGATCTGTGTGCTGGGGGGATTGGAGGAAAATAGCAGAGGTCCTGCTCTCTCTGTCCTCTTTCAGGACTACGGAAGTTTGCTAAGGAATTTCACACGGCATCCTGCTGGAGCGTGTGGGGGAGTGCTGCTGACGTGATTAAGCACAAAGGCACTGGGGTGTGGGCAAAGAAATCGTTAATTCAGGCTCCCTGCACCATTCCCTGACCTCCGCATAAGACAATGCAACCTCAGACTGAGATCTGGCTGGCTGTCAGCACAGACTGGAAAGGTGCAGCTGGAGAAAACTCCACCTCTCTTTTGGTTTTCTTCTTGGTCCTTAAGGGATCTGAAGGCACCGGTGCAGACCAGGGACCATGCGGATGTCTTCCAGTGTGAGACCAGTGGTCCCTGTGGGGAGACACACTGGAACAATGAAAAAATAACCTTAGACCCAGGCAATGCATCCCGACCTGAACTTCTATCTTTGCTCAATTTAAACTTTTTAAGGTAAAATCAAAGAGGACCAATAGTACTGGGAGAAGCAATCATTACCTTTGAATATAGGTCCCTGCTGTCTACACTGGTAAATAGAGTCCTGCTTATTTTCACCAGATGTGTGTATAAAGTGATCTTCGGCACCGTGCAATAAAACAGATTAACTCGTGAAAATGTTATCAAACAAAAAGAATTGGAATCCCAGCACTTTGAGAGGCTAAGGCAGGAGTATCGCTTGAGCACAGAAATTTGAAACCAGCCTGGGCAACATAATGAGACCTCAGCTCTACTAAAAAATCAAAAAAATTATCTGGGCCTGGTAGCTCATGCCTGTGGTCCCAGCTACTCAGGAGGCTGAGGCGGGAGGATCACTTGAGCCTGGGAGTTTGAGGCTGCAGTGAGCTATGATCATGCCACTGCACTCTAGCCTGGGCAGTACAGCGAGATCCTGTCTCCAATCTCGCCCTCCACCCCCCTCAAAACAAAAACAAAAACAAAAAATACCCACAAAAGACAATTGGAGTTGTCATGTGAATGACCATCTAATGCTGGGGGCTTCTAACTTGAGGAGGACTGAAACTCAGCCTTGAAGGTGGTTCCTGCAGGGGGTGCCCCGAGGTTTCCCACCTGCATGGGCAGTGGGGAAGCTGTGGGTCAGAGCTTCTGCTGGCCTTTCAGGTTGCTATCAGGGAAGTGACACCAAGGTGGCCAGTGCTGGGATCCTGGGAGGGATCCCAGGTTTGGGGGTTCTATTCAGGGGTCTCCCTTGGCTTCTGAAAGAGTTTCTGAGTTCTTCAGCCTTATTTGGGACCCCTCTCTGTGTCTCCCATGTCTCCTCTTACCTCCTGTCTCCTCCCGGACCTCTGTCTACCCAGCATCAGGGGACTGGATTCTGAAGCTCCATCTCACCATTGTCCCCGATTCTTCAACTTCAGGGTTGTATTAGTCCGGATTCATGCTGCTGATAAAGATATATCCGAGACTGGGAAGAAAAGGAGGTTTAATTGGACCTAACAGTTTTGCATGGCTGGGGAGGCCTCAGAATCATGACGGGAGGCGAAAGGCACTTCTTACATGGCGGCAGCAAGAGAGAATGAGGAAGAAGCAAAAGCGGAAACCCTTGATAAACCCATCATATCTCATGAGACTTATTCACTATCATGAGAATAGTATGGGAAAGACTGGCCCCCATGATTCAACTACCTTCCCCTGGGTCCCTCCCATAACACGTGGGAATTCTGGGAGATACAAGTCAAGTTGACTTGTGGGAACACAGCCAAACTCTATCATCCTGCCCCTGACCCCTCCAAATCTCACATCCCCACATTTCAAAACCAATCTTGCCTTCCCAATAGTCCCCCAAAGTCTTAACTCATTTCAGCATTAACCCAGAAGTCCACAGTCCAAAGTCTCATTTTAGGTAAGGCAAGTCCCTTCTGCCTGTGAGCCTGTAAAATCAAAAGCAAGCTAGTTACTTCCTAGTTACAATAAGGGTACAGGTATTGGGTAAATACAGCTGTTACAAATGGGAGAAATTGGCCAAAACAAAGGGGCTACAGGGCCTATGCAAGTCCAAAATCCAGCGAGGCAGTCAGATTTTAAAGCTTCAAAATGATCTCCTTTGATCCCAGGTCTCACATCCGCGTCACACTGATGTAAGAGGTGGCTTCCTGTGGCCTTGGGCAGCTCCACTCCTGTGGCTTTGCAGGGTACAGCCTTCCTCCTGGCTGCTTGCACATGCTGGCATTGAGTGTCTGTGTCTTTTCCAGGCACACGGTACAGGCTGTCTGTGGATCTACCATTCTGTGGTCTGGAGGATGGTGGCCCTCTTCTCCCAGCTCCACTAGGCCATGCCCCAGTAGGGACTCTGTGTGGGGGCTCCCTAGCAGAGGTTCTCCATGAGGGCCCCGCCCCTGCAGCAAACTTTTGCCTGGGCATCTAGGCATTTCCATACATCTTCTGAAATCTAGGCGGAGGTTCCCAAACCTCAATTCTTGACTTCTGTGTACCCGCAGGCTCAACACCATGTGGAAGCTGCCAAGGCTTGGGGCTTCCACCCTCTGAAGTCACAGCCTGAACTGTATGTTGGCCCCTTTCAGCCACTTCTGGTGTGGCTGGGACACAGGGCACCAAGTCCCTAGGTTGCATACAGCACGGGGACCCTGGGCCCAGCCCACAAAACCACTTTTTCTTTCTGTGCCTCTGGGCCTGTGATGGGAGGGGCTGCTGTGAAGGTCTCTGACAAGGCCTGGAGACATTTTCCCCATGGTCTTGGAGATTAACATTAGGCTTCTTGCTATTTATGCACATTTCTGCAGCCAGCTTGAATTTCTCCTCAGAAAATGGGTTTTTCTTTTCTATTGCATAGTCAGCCTGCAAATTTTCCAAACTTTTATGCTCTGCTTCCCTTATACAACTGAATGCCTTTAACAGCACCCAAGTCACCTTTGGATGCTTTGCTGCTTAGAAATTTCTTCCACCAGATACCCTAAATCATCTCTTTCAAGTTCAAAGTTCCACAAATCTTTAGGGCAGGGGCAAAATGTTGCCAGTCTCTTTGCTAAAACATAGCAAGAGTCAGTTTTGCTCCAGTTCCCAACAAGTTCCTCATCTCTGTCTGAGACCACCTCAGCCTGGATTTTATTGTCCTTATTGCTATCAGCATTTTGGGCAAAGCCATTTAACAAGTCTCTAGGAAGTTTCAAACTTTCCCACATTTTCCTGTCTTCTTCTGAGCCCTTCAAACTGATCTGATTTCTGCCTGTTACCCAGTTCCAAAATCACTTTCACATTTTCGAGTATCTTTTCAGCAGTGCTCCACTCTACTGATACCAATTTACTGTGTTAGACCATATTCACCCTGCTGATAAAGACATACCCGAGACTGGGAAGAAAATAGGTTTAATTGGACTTACAGTTCCACATGGCTGGGGAGGCCTCAGAATCGTGGCTGAGGGCAAAAGGCACTTCTTACAGGGCGGCAGCAAGGGAGAATGAGGAAGAAGCAAAAGCAGAAACAAACCTATCAGATCTCGTGAGACTAATTCACTATCACGAGAATGGCACAGGAAAGGCCCTCATAATTCAATTACCTTCCGCTGGGTCCCTCCCACGATATGTGGGAATTCTGGGAGATACAATTCAAGTTGAGATTTGGGTGGCAACACAGCCAAACCAAATCAAGGGTTAAGAGTGGCATTGAGAAAATCAGAAATGCAGCAAGGGCATCAGGGATGCCGAATGCCCTTGTTCATAGTTTGGATTAGAGAATGCCAGCCCGCAGGAAGAAAGTCCCGTGGTGGGAACACCACTTTCAGAGGTGGGAAAGAGAAACTTACCACCTCTGCCACTTCTGCCCATGGCCTGAGACCTGGGCCTCGTCTCCGCCTGCTTGTTGGATTCTGTCTTCTGTGATTAGAGTTTATTAGTTTCTCATCAAGCAGACCTGTGGAGTCATATGGGATAAATACTTTGACGCTTTGCTTTAAACTCAAATGCGCTAGCAGCTCCGTCAGTTCATGCCTAGCACAGCATTGTCAAACTGCTAAAAAGCCAGCAAATTTTCCACCTAAAATTTTGTGGGGGAGGCCAGGGTGGGGGATGTGGGGAAAAGATGTAAAAATAAACCCTCAGATTCTGGGTTGCTTGGTGGTGTGTGTATTTTTCCGTGGTGCGGGAGGTTAGAAATAGCATTGCTTTTTATGGGATTCTCAGCAGCAGCTTGAAAATTTGGCTTTGAGGATTTGGTCTCCCTGTGTGGGTGAGGTGAGTCCTCTGGTGCGGTTTGGGGGGCAGTGCACCCCAGCACCTCCCTGTCCGTTTTCCGCCTTCCTGCCCCTGCTCGAGGCCACCCGGATGAGCTGTGCTCGAGTGTGAAACACGCTTTGCCAAGGTCAGGTTCCTGAGATGACTCGCCCGTGGCAGCTGGTGCCAGTGTTAACAGACTGCATCGCAGCAGTCCCCATAAGTCACATCAGTGCATCTGTGAGGGCAGTCGCAGGGAGGGGCGTCCTTTGGGGATGTGGCATGTCGGACGGGCTGTGCCTCTCAAGCCGATGTGAGACGACCTCCCCTTGACGTCCTGACATTGGTTGGGGGCGTGGGCTGCCCTTTCAAAGAGAGTCCTGAGGGATTCTTGAAATTTGTTATATAGTTCTTACAAATGGAGGGAGGTTGCAGCGTCCCTCTCAAGTGCAGTACAGAAGCGAAATGTGAAGGAGACAGGCACTGGGACAGTGTTTGTAAGCCCCAGGGGCCCAGGGGCATCTGTGAATTCCTTGAAATGTTGCCAGTTCCTGGGGAGAATGCCAGGGCTTTGATAGGATTCTCAGGAGGGTTTTGACCTCCAGAAAGGGTTAAGAGCACTTGCAGTGGAGCACAAGGTGTGTGGTTCATTTGGCTTGGGGCAGTCACTTCAGTGATGGTCAGATTGGAGGTGTCATGAGTGGGCAGAGGGTGACATGGACAGGCTTGCCGAGGACAGTCAGGGGACAGGATTCTGTTGTCAATTGTGTAACTTAACATGGGGGCCATTGGAGGTGTCTGCTGGGCTTTTCCTTTGTAGGCTTTCTTCTTGAAATTCATATAATATTTTAAAGTTGGCGTGCTTCCTGCAGGAGGCTTCGTGGCGATGCTGGGTTAGCTTAGTGAGCTCAGTGCTTGGGAGAGGGTTCCGCTGTGCACAAGGGGTCTGGGGTCTGTCTGCTTAGCCTGACGCTTTAACAGTTTCCCTCTTTTTGTCCTGGGATCTGGTTTGCTGGGGCTGTCCACATTTTTCCATGTCTTTCTTGAAACTCGGGGGTTGTGGTAGGGAAGTCAAGGCTGCACCCTTGTTAGAGAATGGTGGGGGAAACTCAAGCCAGTCCTTCAACTCAGCTTTCACAGCACACTGTTAACTTTGTTTCTCAAACTTTTTGTCCCTTTAAAAAAAACTGTGGTAAGATATACATAATGTGGAGAAGTTGGAACCCTTCTGTGTTGCTGGAAAAAATGTAAAATGGTTCAGTTGCTATGGAAACAGTATATTTTAACCATTTTTAAGCGTACGGTTCTGTGGCATTAAGTACATTCACGTTGTGCAACCATCACCACCATCCATTTCCAGAACTCTCTCCATTTTCCCAAACCAAAACTGTGTACCCATTAAACATTAACTCTGCATTCCCTCTCCCTCCAGCCGCTGACACCCATGGTTCTACTTTCTGTCTCTATGATTTTGACTGCTCTACATACCTCATAAGTGGAATCATGCAGTATTTGTCCTTTTGTGTCTAGTGTATTTCACTTAGCATAAAGTCTTCAGGGTTCACACACATTGGAGCCTATCTCAGAATCTCCTTCCATTTTAAAGCTGACTCATATTATGTTGTCCTTGGAACAGGAAGACGAGAGCTAGAGATACAGTTGGAAAAGAAAGTTAGGGTCAAACTATAGAGTTTTGTTATTTATTTATTTTTAGAGACAGGGTCTTGCTTTGCCACCCAGGCTGGAGTGCAGTGGCACAATCATAGCTCACTGCAGCCTCAACTTACTGGTTCAAGCAATCTTCCTGCCTCAGCCTCCTGAGTAGTTGGGAATACAGGTGTGTGTCACCATGCCCAGCTAACTTTTAAAATGTTTTGTAGAGATGAGGTCTCACTATGTTGCCCGGGCTGGCCTCGACCTCCTGGCGCCATGAGGTTTTGAATGCTCTGCATAGATTATCCCATACGATGTGGGAACCACTGCACTTTTCAGAGGAGACAGTGTCATTAGATGCGTGTTTAGGAAGCTGAGTCTGGTGGCTGAGGGTGGGAGTCAGTGGAGAAGGAGACGGAAGCTGAGAGGGCCAGCCAGGAAGGACAGTGAGGAGCTGTCCCTGGCCTGGGGGACAGGGCCTGAGCTGAAGCAACAGCTGTGGAGAAGAGGCCTGGGGTGGAGGGATCCGTGCGCCGATTGTGTTGGTAGCTGGAATGTGCAGGGCAGGTGGGGCAGAAGGTGGATTGCAGAGTGACTTTTGGGCTTCAGTCTTGGGTAAAGAGAAGGTGGTCTGAGCGGAGACAGCAGCCTAGGAGGTGGCGCTCACTCCGAGTGGAGAGCCTGGACCAGCCCGTGTGGCTGGATGCGTCTGGAGGGCAAATGTGGGGAAATGACTGGAGATTGGCTAGAAAGCAGTCAGGCTGGGAGAAGTCACCACACACAGAGACTTGGTGTCACCCGCAACAGCACAATCCCCACCAGGACGTAGAGGAAATAAGAAAGCAGCCCTCTGGAGAGCAGGAGAAGTCTGCAAATATCTTAGTATATCTTTCTATGAAATACTGTCCCATAAAGTACAGAAAGATACACTCAGATGTCTTGATCTTGGTGCTGTAATGACATTTATTATAGTATAATCAGGATGATCTGTTCTGTTATCAAGTTTTTGTTTGTTTTTCATGATTTTTCAAAAAACAGTTGTTAACACTTTTTAACGTTTAGCCCAGGTAGGAGGATCACTGAAGGCCATGAGTTTAAACAGTAAGGTTGAAATGAGTTTGCCTTCTGTATCTCTTGAGTTGTATCTGATAAAGAGAAACTACCCGGTGCTTCCCTCTGGAGAGTGGGTGCAGGGTGGGGACATCCTCTGGATAAGTAATTGGCTGGTGACTACGACGGCGCCACCCTATGGTGTGGGCTTCTGTAACCTTCTCCACTGTCTGCCCTCAGGTTATGGGGTGGGGCGGGAGGTGCCCAAATTCTTATTCCTACACTCTTCTGATTTCACATTGAACTTAGTGTGGATGGATGGAGAGAGAAACACTTATTATGAGGATTGGATTTAGTCCCAATTGAAACCTGGTAATCAAATATTTATTTCAGAGAAAATGCAAGTAATTAATATAAGCTTCCTACAATTTAGAATAATTAGTGGAAGAATGACTAGAAAATACTGACATTGGTTCAATACAGAGAAAAACGTTAAAAACCTTATCTCACAAGAGGCAAAGACATTAAGGCAAAATGTACCTGCATAACTAGTTTTAATTTAGTAATTTGGGTGTTTAGGTATTTTTAGAAAATCTCATATAAACGTAGAAGCCGTCAGATAAATGACCAGATGCTACTATTATCCTCTCCAAAGTGATCACTCTATTCCGTGAAGAAGGTGGAATGGGAACAATTACTAATTTGTATTCCTTTCACATTTTGAACTGAGGATTTACTTCTGTAGTAATCCTAATTGTAATATTTGGGTGGTGGTTTTAATCAGTAAAATGTCTGGCAGTTTTATAATCCTCTAGATAAATGTGAGTTGAATGTAATGCAGAATGAAATAGGCAAATGTCCCAACCTCAACTTCAGGTGAATAAAGGAAAATGATATCCTTTTAGCCACCTTCCATTAGCTTAGCCAAAATTACACTGATAAAGGTCTCTTCCCTATCTGTTTAAAGGACACGTGTATTGAAACTGAAAGATTAGTTTAGCTATCCATATTAGAGTTGTTTATATTAAAATTGTGTCCAATTTATAGTAAAGAAAAATTTAGTTGCTAATAGGACCAGATACACAACTTTGGCTATTTCAAGTTAAAATATTGCTGAAAAATTCTATTTCAACAATCTAAAAATAATCTGTAAAGGTGTTAGCGCAATATAGTGACTATGAAAGAAAAGCCATGCAGAAGTCACTCTGCAAGGTGAGTCATGGGGCCACAGTAGCAGCCCCGCAGACCGTGGTCACTCTGCAAGGTGAGTCACGGGGCCACGGTAGCAGCCCCACAGACCGTGGTCACTCTGCAAGGTGAGTCACGGGGCCACGGTAGCAGCCCCACAGACCGTGGTCACTCTGCAAGGTGAGTCACGGGCCACGGTAGCAGCCCTGCAGACCGTGGTCACTCTGCAAGGTGAGTCACGGGGCCACGGTAGCAGCCCCACAGACCATGGCAATTGACCGCACCTTCTGCACTGTGATGACACCCGCAAAGCATGAGGACCTCCTGATATGACTGTCCTACTTAGAAGCACTTAAAACACCACCTAGGAAAGAAATGAACAAGCACAGAGCTTTGGCAGGAGAACTTAGGCACTGTGGAAACAGCCTCATCCAAGCCCCAAGCCTTCAGGCATTTTGACATCTGGGGACTTTTAGAAACACCAGTCAGGCCTCATAAGGAGCTGGGACTCTGTTCCTCTTTGCAACAATTCAGAAGGCTCCACTGCTTGGTATTTTCCACATGGCTGTAAAGGTCCCAGCACTGGAGCTGTTTAGCAGTTGTTTTGAATATGCTCTTGTGTCAGTCTTCTGAGTTCTAAAAGTAAAATTGTTCAGTTCCAGCACGCATAATGGTTTAGTTCCTAGGGACTTAAATCACATCATATTCACTTTCTCATTTGTCTCATTGCATAGGTGTATAAACTGAGGAAATGAGAGATTATTTGAGGCCTAGACTATTTGTGGTGACTAACAGTGTTAAAGGGAGTAAAAGCATTTTGTAGATTGCAGAACATTGAACTGTTCAAGGATTCATAAGTGTGTAAATATAAGTAGAATTTAGTACTATATGGCCAGTTACTTGACTAATCACTTAACACGAAATCTTCAGGAGTGTCATCTGTCTTTAATTTACAGTTGAACAAAAACACCGACTCCATCTTTTGGGAGCTTCAGTGAAGAAAGCATAAATAAGACTGTGATGAAGTTTGCTAGCTGGCCACTGTCATACTTTGCAAAGTAAAAGAGAGATGAGTCATTGCTAAAATTATGGGGCCGTCTGTCTCTATGCTCAGCCACAGACCCAGCTGTGTCCAGTCCTGAGCCATTGGGACTGCCGTGGAGAGATGGGAGGTGGAGAGAACAGCTGGGTTGCAGAATGCCAGATGTAAATTCCTTCTTGCTGAAGTTGGGTGCTCGAGCTTCTAGAGGTGAAGACTTGTCTTCAAGAATAGGCTTCCTCCTACATGAAGAATAATCCCATCATATCTCAGCCTTCCTTGTGATATTGGGGGCTCCTGGAAGAGGTTCAGCAGCCTCTAGGAGAACCATGGGAACATTCTGGATGTTCCGGTCAGGACAGCAGATTCCTGCCCTTCCCATACCCTGTTGGGGAGTTTTACTGTGTGGGCAGACGTGGTGGGCTCAGTAACTGTGTGGGGCTGTACCCTGTGGGGAGACCTCAGTCCTCCCATCTGAGCACAGCTGGAGGAGCCGGCAGGGCCTGGGTAGTTGGTGCCTCCCCTTTGCTGATGGGGCACCCATTCTTCCCCCTGGTTATTGTCAAACTAGATGATTCTGTTTCCCCATAATTCTCAGGGTCCTCAGTGCCTTGATCCTTGAAGAGGAAGAGGGGCTGGGGATTCCTTCCTGTCCCTGGTTTTCCATAGAAAAGTATCAGTTAACCTTTTACATACCTAAAATGTTTGGCTTGCAGATAGTTTCAGAGTTTGTAGCAGCCTCCTGTCCATTAATCGTTGTTTATATCTTAAGCATTCTCCAACTATCTCAATATATCTTAACTTATTCTGGGTAAAATGATCCTGAACCATAGAACCCTAAATTATGCACTTTTTGCTTGGCTGGAAGAATTGATAGCTATTGAAAGTTTCCACTAATTTGCTTTCTTCATTTGCTTGTTTTTCTTTCTTTATTCTTCAGACAGGTATTCTTTAAAAAAAAAAAAGATCTGCGTTTGTTTTAGGCATTTTTTGGCACCTGCTTCTTGCACATGTAAAAAATTAGGGTATCTTAAAAGAGTTTTGTTGTTTACCTTCAGATGTGTGAGCTACTCCTGATTTGTGGATTTAGTGAGATATAAAACTAAAGTAGAAGTCAGGTGCTGGTGCATTCTCAGAAGTTAGATTATACCAGAAGAACAGAAACACCTTTTATCCATTAATTTAAATCACAGTTCATTTATACCAGACTTTGCCTCTAAGATCATTGGCCTATAAGAATATCTGAGGGTGCAGTCTACATAAGGACCACACTTTCAACCCCAGTGAACAGACCCGCAGGCCCTGCTCTGCACCGTGGCTTCCTGAGAGAAAGGCAGCTCTGCCCAGGGGCCCAGTCAGCCCTTCTTTTGTGACACATGGGGATTTTAATTTCCTGGGGCTAACTAAACTCTGAAGTATTTTCTCAGTTTATGATCAATAGCAAAACTAAATAAACCTAAAACAGGCTGTTTACCAAGTCTGGATGGAGTTTGGGCCTCTGAGTCACAGCACAGTATCTGCTCAGGAGCGTGTCTGAAGAGTGGCACACACATCCACGCCGCCTCTCCTTCCCCAGCCGGTCTGTTTGCTGACGTCTTTACACCTCTCCAACTGAGGCTCAATCTGTTGTGCTCCAGAAAACAAAATGACAAATGACATAATCAGCCACAAAGCCCTCTGCCACCAACAGAGGTGTTGGAAGGCAAAAGCAATTGTTAGTTTGGAAGCTCATTCACTCATTCACTTATTTATTCAATACATAGTTATTGAGTATTTGCTGAAGGAAACTATAAAATGTTGGCGCTGGCAAAAGCCTTGGACAAATCAAATTGTACAGTTGCAGAGGGTGAGGCGCAGATGGCTGTGATGATCGGGCTGTGGTTGCAGAACGTGTAGCTTGAGCTGCGGGGACCTGGCCGGGTCCCTGGGTGTCTGGAGCACCTCTCACCTCCTCACAGGCACAGCTCTTCCTTCGCCCACAGTAGGCTCTGCAGGCTGGCCCGTCTGAATCCCAGCTGAGTTACCCCAAAGCCACAACTAGATCTGAAGACTCTCAGGAACAATGAGGGTCTCATCAGTATAAGTGTGATCGATCTTTAAAAACTCCTGAATTTTAACGAAGCAATGTTTCTGAGGAATTAGAATGTGCCATTTCATGACCAATGTAATTTTCTCTTGCATTCTTGAGCGTACAATTTTTCTTGAAGATTGTGCTTTTTTATGCTTAAGATTGACTGGGTATACCAAGCAGAGGTCCCAGCATGGGGCGTTTTTCATTTACCAGGAAAATATGGCCCTGAAATCTGTTGGGCTGACTGCTTGGTTACTTTTTGAGCCAATTTGATGAAATTTTGGAAGATATCCCAGTGAAACGAAATTTTCCCTTCTAGGCTACCAAACAGAAGTTGGGTGTTTTTAGTGTAGTCTGTCCACATGCATTTGCTGTGTGCCCTTCAGAGGTGCAGCTGGGGTCAGTGAAGCACTGTGGGATTCAGAAGTTCCCTGGCCTCTAGGAGCTTGCCGGCTGTCTGGCTGTGGGGTGGATGGAGATAATGGTAGAGCATGTCTGCAGGCCAGATTACTCTCCTCATTCACTGGCTTGGGTGCTTCAGTGGCACGTGGCAAACAGCAGCACTGGGTGCACCTTGCTGTGCTCATAGACTGTCTGTGGGTGGGCTGCTGGCACAATGCCTGGGCGTGCCCTGGGCATATTTGTGGCCCTGTGATCTGCGCTCTGTTCCTGTCACTTTCTCCCACTAATTCAGATGGTTATGTGGCTTGAGATGATGGCAGGTCAGGAACATTAGAGTTATAAAATATTTTTGGCATTTAGAAACATTCTAGACATTCTCCCATCCGTAGGCTGTGGGTTAGCCCTTACAATATCCCATGAAATGAAACATCTCCAGTACGTTTTGAGAAAGGAGAGAGGATGCCATTGGGGTGGGCTTTCTCAGGCCCAGTTCTGTCATGGAAATGTTGAAAACCTTTACAAATCATGCCTCTAGGTGCAGAAATTGAAGCATAAGGGAGCCCTAGGAGGGACTGAATACCATGAGGCGTGGAAAGATCTTTCTTGGTTTCTGCTTTCTTCACTTAGCAGCACAGTGTTTTCTGGTTATTGCATGGAGGATTTATTTTGCAATTAATGAGGCAGCAGTAGGTGGCCTTCTACTTTGTGGGAGATCAACACTCCTGATACAAGTTTTTCATTGGCGATCCCGTTACTGAATTGCCTCAATAATTCCAGGGCACAAAGGCCACTGGAGAGAGATCTAGGAGTTTTCCAACCCCGGGGATGCCCGGAAATGAGACGATGACGGAGGCCATGCGGATTCCACGAGTTCAGCGAGGTCTTGGAGAGAATGCCCTGGAGGCAGGCGAGCTTTGGTTCTGGGGCTCGAGCACCACGTCCCAGGAATGCTGTGAACCTTCACTGCTGACATCTTAACTTAAAAGGTGGATGCATGCTGAAAACACAAACTTGAAATCACTGGTTGAGCTCTTGGCTACATTACAGTTTTTGACAGTCTTTGAAGCACTGAAATGTGTAATTTGGTTTTATGTCTTTCCTATGGCCTGTGGTCAATTTTTGGAAAACTCACCCTTTTCTAGACATATTCATTTAGTCCTGGGTGGGGTAAAAGGAGAGGAGACAATATTCCAGGTTGCTGCTGTGACGTTTTGCCACATAGACGACCTGTAGCCAATCTCCTGTGTGAGTGTGTGTGTTTGTGTGCTTTCTCTAAATCAGCAGTATTTGACTGTGATTATTTTATGGCTTCTGTTTCCCCTCTACCACCTCTGAACAGATACCGAAATTATTGAATTAAGGATAGATGCATGGAGCAAACACCTCCTCATGTAGAAGTTATGCAAACCTATGCAAACCCCATACAAATGAGCTGGCCAGGCCAGTGTCTAGTTGGGCAAAAATATCGGAAATATTGTGCACACCAGCCTGTCATTGCTGTCACAGAAGGAGAGCAACAAGGAGAAGGGTTATCTCTGGTGCATTTCTGGATTAAATCATAACTTTAGAATACTTTTCTCTTTTACAAAGTCTGACTGTCTCTCTAAGTAAGACATCTTGGATAAATGTCCCTTTCCCTCTCCGTGTTTCCGCATTGCATGTTAATTTTCAGGTGGCAGTTTTATCTCATTAGTCATTGTCACTTCCACTGATCACCCCTTTGAAGCTACATGTAAACTTTACTTTTAAACTTTCTAAAAATGCGGCTTTCCCCCCTTGCTTTAGGTTCCAGAAAACGCTTTGTTCCTGGCACTGTCCAACCTTAGGGATCACATAGGAGTCAGGCTCACAGGCTTCTGGGGCCAGAGGAGCACTTTAATACCAGGTCAGCAGTCACTCAGTTGTTTCTGAAGTTGGAATGGCAGATTTGTCTCAGTGGTTCTCCTTTTAAACCCTTTTATGCCGGAGGTTGCAATTTTTTGAATTGCAGACGTGTGAAAAATCAGACCTTGGCAATGACCTTGAGCAGTAGGATATAAATAACTCCCACATGCTTAGCGTTCCAATAATGGAACACTGCGCATAAATGGGTTAATTAACCTCCGGTGATTTAAGTTTAACTCTGTAAAGTAAGCTGAGAAGTGTGCATGGGAAGTGCAGTTTCTGTCCGCGATGAAAGGGCTGAAGGTGGTCCAGGTGGCTGCTCTTGGCAGCACCTGAGGGCTGGGGGCACGTCAGACAGACGGCCCAGCCGGTGTGCGGAAGCGTTGACCAAGATAACGGCCCCTTCTCCACAAGGCTTAATCACTCGACCTGAATGCATGGCAAGGCATTTTTGTCATCAAAAGGATGAGGTCTGTGGTGGCTTAAAATGTAGCTGTTATTATAGAAGAGTGAGTTACGTCTTTTCTTTAGAACAGAAAGAGACCAAAGCTATCTCATAGAACTAAAACCCCTCAATGACAAGTGAGGAAGTAGATGTGAGAGGTCACGCGACCTCCTGAGGTCCCAGCCTTCCTAGGCGGTGGAGCTGTAGAGAGGGCTCTTCACTGCTGCCTGGCCCATCTGGGGTGGCCTGCGCTCGGGGACACAGGCGGATGAGGAGGATGTTGTGGAGCCCACTGAAAATGAGAGTCTTAATGGTCACTAGGAAAATTCCGGTTGCAGACTTTTTACATCACACTTGATATTAGGACAGCCTACCTACTTGTTTGAGTGTCACAGCCTGATATGTAAAATAGTAAAAAAAAAAAAAAAAAGTTGTCTTTTTAGCTTGTTTTTTATGTGGAGTAGCTGAGAGACTGTATTCTTGCTGGACAGGAACATGAATTCTGTCTTTAGAAAATGCTTAGGAAAAGGGAGTGTACTGGGGACCGGCTGGTCTGATTTTAGGCATATGCACAAGGACTTTGTAGTATCAAGCGCAATAAAGGTCATGCGTTGGATTCATAGGTAAACCCTTCTTGCCCTGAAAGAAGCAAATTGTGGAATCTCTGTTTCAGGCTGAGGAATTGGACCAACAGCATTCCTAAGGGGGAAGTTGCTTCAGCAAATATGGCAGCAGTAGGGAGACCCCATTTTGGCATCTGGACATTGTAGAAACTCAAGATACTTTCTGTCTTGCTTGGAATTTCCCCTCACACAGGGCTTACCCTCCACACACCAACATGCATATTCTTGCATGACATGCTCACATCCTGGAAAGCTGAGCTGGACCTTGTGGCTGGGATGGCCTCAAAGTTGATTATGTTGTAGGGTTTCTTCTGTAGAAGCATCCGCTGATCAGCTGCATGTGTGGGGTCATACTGTGCCCGAGCCCAGGGAATACCAGTGGCTCCTGTGTGTGGAAGCCTGGCGTGGGTGCAGGGCTTCTTCACCATCTCCCTGCAAAGTCAGCTGCATCGTGCATGTCACCTGGACTTACTAATAACATCAAACATATCTTCCCTATCCAGTGGCTTGTACACAAAGTTAAATCTGTAGAAGAAGCAGAATGTGTTTTAAAGAATCAACTGGCACCTTGAAATGTTAAGCATTGTATACTGACTGAGCTATGATGGTGGTAGTCTGGTGACTCCCAAGGGGGAAAAGTAACTTTGTGTGGTTTTTCAGGGAATACATATTCTTGAATACCTGCAAGAAATAGCATAGCTGCTGTGGCTTAAATATACATGCTCCTATGAGGCTATAAGCCTTCTCTAGTAGAAATAAACCATCATGTATATATTTTGATATGTGTGCTTTTAATGTTTGTACAAAAAGAATTGTATTTGGGGTTTTGTGTGTGAGACTGAGGACTGTGTGCTGAGGAAGGCAGAATTTGTAAAGTTGGAGCTTTGGGACTCCCAAGTACCCTGGAAGATCACTGGCTCCCCTCTCATACTGTGCAAAGAGAAGACCTGAGGCTGCGAGGCGGGGTGCCTTGCCCAGGACCCCACCGGCAGCCCAGGGTGGAGGCAGGAGCAGAACCAGCGCTCTTGCCTCTTCCGTCAAGGGCTCCTGCGCCTGGCGGGCATCTCTCGTGCATCCCTCCAGCGCGGTTTCACGAGTGCTGTGCCCAGAAGCCAGGAGGCATGACCTGTCATGTTAGAGCAGGAACAGAGTGCCGTAGATGACTTCTGCTTCGCAAGAGGCGACCGCCAAATCAGACCGGGCTGTGATTCTTCTGTATAAGCTTGTGAGATGTTTTAGGGTCCTCTGTCAGGATAGGCTGAGGTATATGAATCTGCTAGGGCTGTCCTAACAAAGTACCACAGACCGGGTGACTTAAATGACAGAAATGTATTTTCTGTCAGGTCTGGAGGCTCTAAATCCAAGATCAAGGTGCTGTCAGGGTTGGCTTCTGGTCAGGCCTGTCTTCCGGGCTCAGAGACTGCCACCATGTCCCTGGGTCCTCATGTGGCCTCTTCTCTGGGCACACATGAGGGGTCTTTTCCTTTTCCAGTAAGGACACCAGCCCCGTCAGATTAGGGACCCACCCTAGGACTTCTCTTAACCTTTTTTTTTTTTTTTTAAAGAACTCTTAGGCTCAAGCAATCCTCCTGCCTCAGCCTTTCAAAGTGCTGGGATTACAGGCGTGAGCCACAGAACCTGGCCATAAACAGCCTTTTATTATTTAATTTAAAGCATTTTAAAATAATAAAAACAAGAAAATTTAGCAACAAAGAAAAGAGCAGAAGCCATCCATTCTGCCACTATTTTCACACAACCACATTTTCCTTTGTGTGCATTTCTTTTCAGCCTTTAAAAATTGTTTTAAGACCTGCTTTCCACAAGGTCATGACCACACAGCTGTGTGAGGAGGCCGTGAGCTTTGAGGGCAGGCTGACCAGGGTGGGTTTCTGGAGCCACCATGGACTCGTTATGTGCCCTGGGCAGTCAGTTCACCTGTCTGCACCCAGGTTCTTTGTCTGTGTAGCGAGGGGATTCCTTCCCCGCCAGCGGGTTCTCGTGGGTTTGCGGGAGATGGTGTTCATGAGAGCGCCTGGCCTTTCATGGTGCACAGTTCACGACTTCCTCTTCTCACCTGGGTACTTGTTTTTTATTTTGCTTCGTGTTCTGAAAGGAAATCACTGCCCTCTTTGATAAGAGAAGGCCTCTGTCCCCGAGGATGTTCGCTGAGCAGGGATCAGAGCTAAGCCACTCTGGGTACTAAGGGGCCTCTGCATTTTGGAAGGGACTTTGCCACTGAGGCCCGAGGTGGGGATCATAGCACCGTTTGGTGTTTTCTGGCCAGTAGAGTCACATGGCCCTTTCTCTGTTGCTCTGTGGTGCACCTGTGGGTGCTGGGACCACTTAACCCTCATTACCTACCAGAGCTGCTGGCCAGCACAGGCACTTTCTGGAAGGGGAGCGCCTGTTCCAGTCATCAAAACACTGTCTCCTGAATCCAAAGTCATGATGTTGGTGCCCAAATTTAAAGTTTAATGTTGGGCCCAGTGCAGTGGCTCATGCCTGTAATCCCAGCACTTTGGGGGGCTGAGGTGGGAGGATGGCTTGAAGCCAGGTGTCCAAGACCAGCTTGGGTAACATAATGAGACCCTGTCTCTACAAAAAAGTTTTTAAAGAAATTAGCTGGGCATGGTGGCATGCACCTGTACTCCCAGCTACTTGGGAGGCCGAGACAGGAGGATCACTTCAGCCCAGGAGGTTGAGGCTGCAGTGAACTATAATCCCACCACTGCACTCCAGCTAGGGTGACAGAGTGAGACCGTCTCTAAAACAAAAAATAATAAGTCCAGTGTTGAAGTCCCTACCAGGCCCATCGGTGGTATCTAAGATGCTGGACAGGCCTTGCTTTGATGGTTCAGGTGCTAAGGCATGTGGCTGGGGCCAGGATTTGGACTGAAGCTGAAAGTGGAGGCTGGGCCCTCTCTTAGTTATAGGCGCTAACCAGGAAGATGCATGGGGCATGCAGCAGGCAGAGCCTGGGTAAGACATGGACATGGCCTGACATGGGGACACCCTAGGGGGACAGGCCTGCCACAGTGATGGGTAAGCCAGATGATTACTGAGAGGCAGCCTCCCTGCTGCTGTTGAGGGGCAGGGCTCTGGTTCCAGGGTGCAATGGTGCACAAGCTGGGGGTGGGGATCAGTGTTTAGAGACCTTGGAGATTCCTGGCATCTATCACTAGGAAGCCAGCATTATGGTCCTGGTAGGAATCCTGGGGCTGGAGGCCTGCCTGGAGCTTAAATGGAAATGCACAATGTTGGAGCTGCTCTGGGCACGGTGATGTTGCTGCTCCGGGCACGGTGATGGACCTGCTCTAGGCACAGTGGTGGAGCTGCTCTGGGCACAGTGATGGAGCTGCTGTGGGCATGGTGATGGAGCTGCTCCAGGTATGGTGATGGAGCTGCTCCGGGCACGGCAATTTTGCTGCTCTGGGCACGGTGATGGAGCTGCTCCGGGCACGGTGATGGAGCTGCTCTGGGCACGGTGATGGGAGCTGCTCTGGGCATGGTGATGGAGCTGCTCTGGGCACGGTGATGGAGCTGCTCTGGGCATGGTGATGTTGCTGCTTTGGGCATGGTGATGGAGCTGCTCTGGGCATGGTGATGGAGCTGCATTGTGCATGGTGATGGAGCTGCTGTGGGCATGGTGATGTTGCCGCTTTGGGCATGGTGATGGAGCTGCTCTGGGCACAGCTCCTTGGGGGTCACTTGATGCGGACAGGACGTGCTGCGGGGCCACTGGCCTGTGGCAGTCTGGTTGAAGTCCATCCTGCCTGAACTTGGGATTGCTCTGAGACATCCGTGGGCCTTGCCACACTCTGGGAAAGCAGGCATCCATACGTCATGCGTAGTCTGACCATGTGGGCTTGTCCAAAATTACTCCATTCTTGAAATTCTGGGGGAGCATCCACAGGCTGCCTTCATCACTGCCTCTGACATTCTAAAAGGGAGTGCTTAACTTAGAGTCATGATTTTACGTAGTATGTAGGCATTTAAGGGACATTTGTATTATAACAAAAAAAGGAAGAGGTGTTGATGTCCTTGGAAAAGTGACTATCATTTCTATAAATTCCTGCCCAGTTAGTGTGAGATCGGAGCACCCTTCCCTGCCAGGGGCTTGCTTACACTGTGCTGGATGGTGGACGGGGTGACTGTAGCTCAATGCTGGCGAGACCCTCTTTCTGAAATAGACACATTTTAGCAAACGTAGTGGAGTTTCTCAAGCATATAGTGTGCCTGTTTGATATCTTAAAGCAAAAGCATTTAAAAATCTTTGTTTAGCGGTTTGGTTTTGAACATGTGCCCTTTCCTGGTCTCATCACAAGGTGGGTAGCATCTATCCTCTGCCTTACACCTCCCCACCTTAGAGGAAGAAAAGCCTGAGCAGCTGGCTGCAGGGGCCAGACACCTATGGAACTGGGACAAGAGCACTCGTGAGCCCTGAGTTTGAGACTAAAGCCCTCTGTGACACAGCCTTTTATTTTTAGTGGGAAGACCAGGCTGGTGTGACACTTAAAAGTGAATTTCAGGACTGGGTGTGGCAACTCACACCTGTAATTCTAGCATTTTGGGAGGTCGAGGCAGGAGGATCACTTGAGCTCAGGAGTTTGAGACCAGCCTGGACAACACAGCAAGACCCCATCTATAAAAAAATAGAAATTTAGTCAGGTATAGTGGTGCACAGCTGTAATCCAAGCTACTCAGGAGGCTGAAGCAGGAGGACCACTTGAGCCTGGGAGGTTGAGGCTGCAGTGAGCTATGATCATGCCACTTACCCTCCAGCCTGGGCGATAGAGCAAGACCCTGTCTCTTAAAAAAAAAAGGTAAATTTCAGGAAGCAGATTTGTGACTTCTACATGGCTGCTGGTGGTGACGTCTGCATTGGTGGTGGTGGGTGTTTTAGGGTCCTCATGTCTGGAGGATATTTTTCCCCACACTGAAGGCAGCCCACCTGTGTTCCCCTGGTGCCTGCACACATCAGCCTCTCATGGCTCAGTTGCTGGCTTTGTGTGAACACAGAGACAATGTGTTTGATTTGGGAACAGCTGGTCACAGCCCATGTGGCTCTGCCCCATGCTTCACACATCTTGGTTCCTGCAAATTCCATGCCCCAGCCTGGCTTCCGGTTCCTGCTTGTCTCTGGAGAGCCGTGGTTCCAGGGCCAGCAGGTGCCTCCTTACAGTTGGAGTCTGTCCAGGCACAGCAGAGAGCCAGGCCCGCAGAGGGGGCCGGCAGCCTCTTCCCACTCTCCTGCCCACCCCGCGCCTGTGCTCTGCCTCAGCCACAAGGCCACCTCACCAGGCAGAACAGATGGCAGTGGTGAGGGCTGGAGCCCTCTGCAGGGCCTGGGAACTAGAGGGCAGGTTCTGTTCTGATGGCCTTTTTTCCCAAGGACATGACATTCGCGGGGTCAGCCATGACTGCTGCCCCAAGGGAGGCCTGCAATAAGGCACCCGGTGCCAGCATGGAGCCCCATTGTCCTCACTCTTCCTCCTGGGCCTGTCCCGGTAGAGATACCCGGAACCCTCTCCTTCTCCTGGCTTATTTCGGGGTGGGTGTGTGAGAATTGGCTGTGAGATGAGTGACAGCAGGATGAAGGAATTTGGCATCTTTAGTTCATCTTTATATGATCAGCCCCTGCACCCAAGAATTTCTTGGTGGCGTTCACACTAAGAAGTGTCAGAGTGGGCAGAGGGAATGCATTGGGTTGTATTTCAGTGAGGGGTCTAGGCTGCTGAGGATTTCTCTCTGGAGGCCTCCATCTGGTCTTGCATTTCTGAGGCTGAACAGACACCTCTCATGATCAGAGATGGGGTGTGGGAAGGAAGGAAGGGTGGTGAACTGGGAGCCGGCAGCGCGTCCCAGCGCTGAACCCGTGGCACCTGGCTGCTTGGCTGTGAGGGCTGATCTTCCAGTGCCCGAGTCCCCGCTGTGAGCGCCCTGAGGAGCATGTGTGTCTCCGCACTATGCCCTCAGCGGCCGCTGGAGTGGGGCTCGTGTGTGCCCTGCAGCTGAAGGGGAAGGAGGCCGAACTGGCCGGGGTGTCCGTGGTTGGGGGGGTACAGGTGTTGGGAGTGGGAAGCATTTCCAGCCAGTGAGTTTAGGGATGCTGCCTACTCGGTCCTATCTTGGAGAGCCTCAGTGTACCTTTAGCGTGCTGGAGACGCCAGTGGTCCTTCTGTACAGAAAACCTCAGTGTTATTTAACCCAGAATGTCCTAAATGTATGCGAACCCAGAACACTCTTTCCCCACAACTCCAGTCAGCGCAGAGTAACCTGTGCTGGACCAGATGAGCTTGAAGGAGACTTCCCGCTGGACCATTCTCGAACTTGAGAGTGGAGTAGAGGGTGCTGTTGCATATTTAGAGGGTGATAGGGTGACAGAAGGCTGGGGCTTGGGGCGAGGGGGGTGGGGAAGATTCTCTTAACAGAGCTCTGGCTCTGCATTCTAAAATTAAGTCCTGTGGGTCACGTCTGCACCCACAGTGCCAGCAGGAACCGTAGGGGTGGCCTCATCTCTTCAGCTGAACTTGCACGTGCAGAGACGGAAGCTCACCTTGTCCCCAGGAGCCAAGGGTGGTGGCACAAAACGACCACGTTTCTGTCATGCTCATGCACTCTTTCCTGTCCCTCTCCTTAATGGATTGTAAGTTTCTTGAAGCAAGATTCTTTCTGTGTGAATTTTGTGACCCTCACTAGGCCCCATTGCCCATCGTGCACCTCCTGTGGAGTAAGTGATGGATGGCCTAAAGAAACCATAGGGACCAGGCGTCCTCTGTCCCCTTCCTTTCTCTGCAGGGTCTGAGGTGGGCGTCATTGGGCAGACAGGCAGGAGAGCTCCTGGGAGGTTTTATGGGTTTGATGGCAGGGGAGGGACCAGCCCCGCTGGGCAGCCCTCTCCTGACCGCCTACCAAGTGCTGTCTTACCCTGCCCCAACCCTCAGTTTCCCTCCACTCTCTCCCCCTCCCAGATACGTACATATAAATGTGATGATGTTTAGAAGCTGAAGCATTTGAATAAATCAGATGCTTTGCCCAACCCTGGGATAAAGGCTGTAGTTATTTTAACAACAACAACAACACAGACCCTGCAGTCTTCAGCTATTTCTGGATGTGGACTGGTAATTAGCATGCCACTTGTAATTCACTGCTGTCGCCGGCTGTTTGTTTCCTTGTTTCCAACGCAGCCCAGTTTGGGAGACTGGGTTTATTTCATTTGGAAATGTGATTCAGTGGAGACCTCTAAAATGCCATCACAAGATTAGTGGTTTTCTGTAGCCAGAGTTTGCCAAACCTGGCGTTTGAAGCTCGATGATTAGTTTTCAGCAGCTCTGTGCAGGGGAGTAACAGCTTGCTGCGATGGTATTTCACTTCAGAGAAAACTGTTAAAAGCAACTGCTTCAAGAAGCACTGGCACTACCTGGGGAATGGGATACTTGAGGGGGACAGATTTGGGGATAGGTTAAAGGAAACTCACAGGGCTTTGCTGTTTCAGCCTCAGAGACCTTTTACATTTTCAGTTAAATACTTACTGATGTGCATGGAGGCCAAATGCAGATGAGTGTCCTGCATGAAATTTATTCTGCCCCAAGTGGAAGGGGAATGTATGCCCTGGTGAGAAGGTTCCTGGAGGCCAGAACGCCTTGCTAGCTCTGCAACTACAGAGGGAAAGGAGGAAAACATGCACTGCTGTTACACGCAGTTATGGTACATGCAGTTGTTATGTTTATGCAGTTATGGTACATGCAGTTACTGTTACATGCTGTTATGTTACATGCAGTTGTGTTACATGCAGTCATGTTTATGCAGTTTTGTTATATGGAGTTATGTTACGTGCAGTTATGTTACATGCAGTGCAGTTATGTTACATGCAGTTACTGTTATATGCAGATTTGGAGCCCGACCTGCTGCTGACTGTAAAATGAGAACTTGGCCATGGTCCAAGAGGAAAGCTTTTGGTTCCTGCTTTTTAGAAAGATTTATTGGGGGTAGGCTTTAATGAATAGACAGATTCTTTAGACTTCTCCAGTGGCCTGGGGCTGTCTGCCCTGGGCACTCAGCTGACCTCAGAGCTGCCCACAGGGAAGGCACCGGAGGGCAGGAGTGCACCCCTGCAGGGCACATGCTGGACAGCAGCCATGTGGTGCCTAGACCCCGGCCCAGATGTCTCGTCAGATCCGTTGAGGGGGAAATAGGTTAACTTTGTCTTCTGAAGACAATTTTTTTTCCCTAGAGGCAGGGTCTCACTCTGATGCCCAGGCTGAAGTGCAGTGGTACGATCATAGCTCACTGCAGCCTCAGCTCCTGGGTTCCAGCAATCTTTCCTCCTCAGCCTCCTGAGTAGCTAGGACTACAGGTGCATGCCACCATGCCAGCTAGTTTTTTTTGTCTTTCTTCCTTTCTCTCGCTCTTTCTCTCTCTCTCCCCGTTTCCTTCCCTGCCCTCCTTCTCTCCTTTTCTCCTTCCTTCTTTCCTTTCTTGTAGAGAGGGGCTCTCGTTATGTTGCCTGGGCTGGTCTCAAACTCCTGGGCTCAAGCAGTCCTTTTGCCTTGGCCTCCCAAAGCCCTAGGATTACAGGTGCGAGCTACTGCTCCTGTCCGAGACTTTCCTTTTGATGAAAGAAAAAGGGAGTTATTTTCTACATGAGCTAAATCTTTTAAATGAATCCCCCTCCTCCTCACTCCCCAAGAAAAAGAGAAAGGAAGATGAAAAACCCCCAAAATAGAACAGAACCCTCTTAGGAATGGGAAGCCCATGCATCTTTCTGGGGACCTCTTGTTGAAGGCATTAGCTAGATAAGCACCAGGTTCTCCTAGTAAGAGGGCTAAGGAGATCCTAGCTGCTCCATAAGATGTGATGAAAAGAAGGAATGAGCTTCAGTTGTACAAAGGCCCACGAGTCATCTGCAAACTATGGCCTGAAGTGTTGGTAGACAGTGCAGTTGTCACCAGGAAGTCATTTCTGGAATTTTTCAGGCAAAGCAAGCACCTGGAAGGATTTGAGTAGAGTCCTGCACCGCCAGGGGTGGATCCAGGGTCCTGGGGTCTGGTCCCCCCGGGAGGCAGCCCTGCTGCTGCAGTCCTGGACTCCAGTGCACAGGCTCCCAGGCCAGGACCTGGGCGGCTTCCCGGCTTCCACACTCAGGGCTCATCTTGGTGGATGTTGCACAGGAGTTGGACCTTAGATATTCCTAGAGGTCTCCACCTCTCAGCATCTCTGGCTGAAAGGTGGTTCCTCTGTAGAATGTTGTGACTGTATGGTGTGGGCAGCGTGGGGAAGGGGAGGAGGAGGAGTTAGTTTTTCAAAGAAGATTTCCTGAGCTCACAGTTGGTTGGTACTCACATGTTGAAGAGTGCAGAGATGGGAGATGGCCCTCTTGGTGCTAGTGTCAGGTCTGTATCTCTGTGTTGGGCCTGGCTTGGTCAGAATGGTCTCGTGCAGCAGGGATGACTTCAGGGAGTCCCCAGCATGCTGTCGCAGCACAGGCTGTGGGGCAGGCCACCTGGAAGCTGCTGGGGAGGGCTGGGAAGGTGGTTCTTTCAGACTCCCCTGAGGAATGAGGCCAGGCAGCCACTGCCCTGTATACACCGACACACGCTTCAATCCTTGTCATGGCAACATCAGCCCTTTTGAGTTTAACCTGCTGCAGGTTTGGGCAATGGGCCCCATTTGTTTTGGTTTCAAATTATGATATTCAAGAATAATTTCCATTTTATGAAACTCCTTGTCATGGACACAGACCTGAAGATGGGAGACTGCTAAACCTGGTCCTGCTGTGGGGGTGTAGGAGGGATCCCTAGGGATGGGGACAGGGAAGATGACACAGCAGACGGAAGGAGTGTGAGGAAGGCAGACTCAGCCTGCATGCGTCAGCCTGCTGACGGAGGGCGTGTTTATCATTTCACAGTTGAAAAACTGAAAAACTTAGTTGACTCTTGTACAACATGGGTTGAAACTGTGTGGGCCTACTTGTATACAGATTTTTTTCAATAAATATATTGGAAATTTTTGGAGATTTTCAAATATTTGAATAAACTTGCATATGAATCTCGTAGCCTAGAAATATTGAAAAAAATTAAGACAAAGTTAGGCATGTCATGAATGCATAAAATATATGTAGATACTAGTCTATTTTGTCATTTTTATTACTGTAAAATATATGCGTACCTGTTATAAAAAGTTAAATCTTATCAAAACTTATGCACACACTTACATATATACATGGTACCATTTGCAGTCGAGAAATGTAACGCAAACACAAAGATGTAGTATTAAATCATAACTGCATAAAATTAACTGTAGTCCATTGCTATACTACTGTAATAATTTTGTAGCCACATCTGGTTGCTATTGTGGTCAGCTCAAGTTTTTTCAGTATCCACTTAAGACACTATGTGATCCTTATCATCTCCGCATGAGCAGTTCTTCTCAACAGTAAATTTCATGTCACAGTGAAAAGGAATCTCTTGAGGTTCTTGCATATTTTCACTGTATTTCCTGCAATACCATAAGCCTCGAAGAGCAACATGGGACCCAAACCCATAGGAAGTACCCCTAGTGATGCTGGAAGTGCTCCCAAGAAGCAGAGAAAAGTCATGACATTGCAAGAAGAAGTTGAATTGCTCGATTTGTGCTGTAGATTGAGGTTGGCAGCTGTGGTTACCTTTTGCCATTTCAAGATAAATGAAACCAGCATAAGAACCACTGGAAAAAAGAAAAGGAAATTTGTGAAGCCGTCACTGCAGCTATATGCCAACAGGCACAAAAACTTTGCACTTTTTGCAAAATACCTTTGTATCTTGTATTGAAAATGCAGCTTTTATATGGTAGAAGGATGGCTATTAGAAAGCTCACCTATAGACTCTAATAAGATTTGAGAAAAAGCAAAGTCGTTATATGACAAAGCAAAAGAAATGCAAAGGATCTAAAGATGGAGAATTCAGTGCCAGCAAGGGATGGTTTGATAATTTTAGAAAGAGATTTGGCTTAAAAAAAAGTCAAGATAATAGGAGAAGCAGCAGTTGAGTTCCCAGATACCATTAAGAAAATCATTGAGGAGAAAGAATATCTGCCTCTATAGGTTTATAAATGCAGATGAAAGTGGTCTATTCTGGAAAAAAAAGCTACAAAGGACATTTATTAGTAAGGAAGAGAAGCAGCATGGATAGGCTAACTCTTATCATTTTGTGCAAATGCAGTTGGGTTTATGAACAGGACGGCCCCTGAGCCTTGAAGGAAAAAGGTGAACACCAGCTGCCAGTCTTTTGATTGTAGAACAAGAAGGCCTGGACAGTGAGAACTCTTTTCCTGGATTAGTTCCATCAGTGTTTTGTCCCTGAAGTCAGGAAGTACGTTGCCAGTAAGAGACTGCCTTTTAAACTTCTTTCAATACTGGACAGTGCCCCTGGCCACCCAGAACCCCATGAGTTCAACACTGAAGGCTGAAGACTGAAATGGTCTATTTGCCCTCAAATAAGACATCTCATATCAGCCTCTAGATCAGGGTCTCAAAAGGACCTTTAAGGCTCATTACACACGGCGTTCTATGGAAAGGATAATAACGCTGTGAAGGAGAACCCTGATAGAGAGAAGGTCAGGAAAATCTGAAAGGATTTCACCATTGAAGGTGCCACTGTTGTAACAGAAAAAACTGTGAGAGCTATCAAACCCGAAACAATAAATTCCTGCTGCAGAAAACTCTGTCCAGATGTTGTGCATGACTTCATGGGATTTGCAACAGAGCCAACCAAGGAAATCATGAAAGAGACTGTGGCTATGGCAAAAAAAATAAAAAGGTGCGCCAGGGGAGAGGGGGAAGGAAGGATTTCAAGATATGGATCTTGGAGAAATTCAAGAGCTAGTAGACACCACACCAGAGGAATTAACACAGGACGACTTAATGGAGATAAGTACTTCCAAACCAGGGCCAGGTGATGGGAAAAAAACATAGAAGAAGCAGTGCCAGAAAATAAATTGACATTAGACAGTCTGGCAGAAGGGTTCCAGTTATTCAGACTGCTTTTGACTTCTTTTATGACATGAATCCGTCTATGAAGTGGGCACTGAAACTAAACAAACAGGGGAAGAAGAATTGGTGCTGTTTAGAAACACTTAGATAAATGAAAAAGCAAAAAAGGCAGATGGAAATTGCAGTGTGTTTTGTGAAGTTACACCAAGTGTGCGTGCCTTTCCTGTCCCGGTTCCCACCTCCTTCATCGCTTCTGTCTCTGCCCCGCCTGAGACAGCATGGCCAACCCTGACTCTCCCTCCTCCCCTCAGCGTACTCAATGTGAAGATAACGAGAATGAAGAACTTTATGATGGTTCACTTCCACTTACTGAATACTAAATATATTTTCTCTTTCTTATGATTTTCTTTTTTTAATTAAAAAAAAATTTTTTAAGAGACAGGGTCTTGCAGTGTTGCCCAGGCTGAGTGCAGTGGTGCCATCTTGGCACCCTGCAGCCTTGACCTGTCAGGTTCAAGTGATCCTCCCACCTCAACCTCCCAGGTAGCTGGGACCACAGGGCATGTCACCACTCCTGACTAATTTTTACATTTATTTTGAGGAGAAGGGGGTCTCACTATGTTGCCCAAGCTGGTCTCAAACTCCTGGCCTCAAGTGATCCTCCCCCTTCAGCCTCCCAAAGTGTTGGGATTACAGGCATGAGCTGCCATGCCTGGCCCCTAATTTTTTAAATAACATTTTCTTTTCTGTAGTATACTGTATTATAAGAATACTGTAAGTATATGCATAATACATATAACATTGAAAATGTGTGTTAATTGGCAGTTTATATTATCCGTAATGGTCAACAATAGGCCATTAGTAGTTACATTTTTGGGAGTCAAAAGCTATACTTGGATTTTTGACCGTGGAGCGGGCTGGCATCCCTAACCTCTATTTAAGGGCAACTATCAGATGGTTCAGAAATAAAATCAATTATCAAAGGCATTCATTCATGCCTGCTGCTGTCCACTCTGTCCCTGCCTTGTCTCTGCAGTCGTGTTTCTTATATATCCTTCTAGAATTTCTGTATGCATTTATAAACAACTTTAAAAACAAATTAGCCACCTCCACCCTTCATCAAGCCCATTTTCCTGTACCATGCTTTCGACACTCAATGTGCCTTACAGATCCTTCCACGTCCGCACACAGAAAGCTTCCCTTTTTTCTTGTCCCACCCGCCGCCCCACACCTCTCCTCTGCCTTTGTTTACAGCCATCTGGTGTCCCATTTAATAGACATGCCAGTTTACATAACCAGTCCTCTATTGATGAACCTTTGACTTAATTCCAAATTTTGCTATTATAGACAAAGTACAATGAATAATATATTTTATTTCTCTTAATTTCAATTCTCAAACATGCACGTGTACCTTTAGGATGAATTTCTGCAATTGGATGTGCCAAGGCCAGAGCGTGTGCATTTGTGGCTTTGGTTGACATCACCAAGTCGCCCTTCCTGGGGCCTGTGCTGGTGTACTCTGAGGCGCGATTGTGTGAAAGGTGGGCGAAGGTGCCTGTTCGACCACATCCTCACTGGTAGACTGGGTCACCACAGTTTTGGAAAGGTGAGAAATGGTATCTAAACATAGTTTGAATTTGCATTTCTTTTACTGGAAGGGAGGCTGCGCGTGTTTCACATCAGAGCCATGTGTGTTTGTGGTTGTTGAACTTTCTCTCTTGGATTGCTAGGAGTGCTTTATGTATTAGGGAAGCAGACTTCCCTAATGCGTGATAACGCATGCAGATACTGTTTCCAAGTTTTTGTTATTTGTCTTTTAAATTTGTTTTTGCATTTGTCTTTTCACTTTGATTTTTGCCAGGCTGGAGTTTTGATGTTTATGTGGTCATAGGTGTGAATATTTTCTTTTGTGGCTTCTGGATTTTGAGACACAGTGGCTATAGAACCACTGTAGCCAAAAGTTATGTTTGCTTTTGGTTTCATATACTTTGCTTTGGTCCTGTCTTCTTGACTTTATTTAAAATAGTAAGATATTCTTACTACATTTTTCCATTGCCCATAGCTGGAAGGAGATTGTAATTATCACCAAAGATGAAAAACTAAGGCATGTTCTCAGCAGAGGCAGATTAGACTTTAAGTTAGAGGCTTGTCCTTGGTGCAGAGGCCTGTGAGCGACCCGGCCCCACTTGCCCTGCACACCATGGCGTGGATTGTGGGCAGTCACAGGGAAGACCTCTGGCTTTGCTGGGAGCTGGGGTACGGTTCTTAGAGTGCCATTCTAGAGTGGCTTCGCGTACTGGTAATGAACGCCCATCAAGTGGCCTTGGGAATTCATGAGCCGGATGATGATGACTTCGCCGGTGAAAAGCAAATCCCAAATAGGTTGTTTTCTGTGCATTCCAGTCCCAATTTCTCTTCCAAGTAATTATTAGATGTGCCAAGCCTGTTACGTTTATTACTTACAGAATTGTTTTTGTCTGTGTGAGTTTACTGAGGACTTAGGGGTTGGTATGTGAGGAGGGGAGCCCCCCTTCTCCTGTGGGCACTCTAGCACTCTTAATAATCAGTATTAAACATGTTGAAGGCCATAAAGGAAATAACCTTCTCTTAAAAACAAGTTAGAGTCAGTCATAAAACTGTTTGCCTAGACCTTGATCACTTAAAATAAGATCTTAGATGTGATGTGTCTTTGTGGAGTATTTCCTGTGGCTCGGGAGGTGTGCATGAGAGTGGGGTCTGAGGGACAGTGAGGGGTGAAGGAAAGGTGGGAGAGAGGGCCTTCAGTGACTGTACCAAAGACTCACAGACACTGGGTGTCTTGGTGATGGGTGCACATAGCCCTTCTTTTGTGACTGAAGCTGTGTGGCCTTCATCCCACAGGGTCTGCCCTCTCCAGATAATTCTGTCACTGAACTTCAAACTGTCAATGGAACGATAGCGCAGTCTCTTAACAATGCTTCAGGACAGATAATAGAGCTGTGCGGGCAGCCTCGGTGACAGTGTTGGGAATCTGCAGAATGGCTTTGTCCACTTCTTTCCTTTCAGAGGAGACATTGAACCTCGGCATGGTGTCTCACGCCAGGAATCCCAGCATGTTGGGAGGCTGAGGTTGGGGGATCGGATTGCTTGAGGCTAGGAGCTTGAGGTCAGCCTGCGCAACATAGTGAGACCCCTGTCTCTACCAAAAAAAAAAAAAAAAATTAGCCGGGTGTGGTGGTGTACACCTGTTGTCCTAGACACTTAGGAGGCTGAGGTGGGAGGATCACTTGAGGCAGGAGGTCGATGCTGAAGTGAGCTATGATCATGGCACCACTGCCCTCCTCCAGCCTGGGTGACAGAGTGAGACTCTGTCTCTTAAAAAAAAAAAAGGGAGATATTGGTGGGCCTGCAAGGACATGCAGTTGGATAGAATTAGGACCATGTGTAGCATGGTGATAGACGTTGTGGTTGAAAAGGAAAAAAGACAGTCCTTGCCCTAGAGGTTTTGCGGTATAATCTAATCAGAGAGGCCAGCAGCATGGGTGTGGAAGAACCAGGAAAGCCAGAGCA